>NC_000019.10:44816631-45119661 GCF_000001405.40 Homo sapiens | reverse complement strand
CCCACTGTTTCACAAGCAATGTATAGGTAAAATGATAGCTATCTTAGAGCTGCTGCAAAATAATGCAGGTGAGAGTGGCATGGAGATAGGCAGGAACAGATTGGCCATGTAGTCATCAATTCTGAAGCCAGAAAGTGGGTCGGTCCATCAGACTCATTATACTCCTACTTTCTTGTGTCTGAAAATGTCCATCAAAACACAGTTAAACGGGCCAGGCACCGTGGCTCATGCCTGTGATCCCAGCACTTTGGGAGGCCAAGGTGGGCAGATCACCTGAGGTCAGGAGTTCGACACCAGTCGGGCCAACAGGGCAAAACCCCATCTCTACAAAATACAAAAATTAGCCAGGTATGGTGACACATGCCTGTAATCCCAGCTACTCAGGAGGCTGAGGCAGGAGAATCGCTTGAACCTGGGAAGCAGAGGCTGCAGTGAGCTGAGATCGTGTCACTGCACTCCAGCCTGGGTGACAGAGAGCAAGACTCTGTCTCAAAAAAAAAAAAAAATTAGACGGGTGTTGTGGCACGTGCCTGTAATCCCAGCTACTCGGGAGGCTGGGGCAGGAGAATCGCTTGAACCCAGGAGGTGGAAGCTGCAGTGAGTGAGATCACACCACTGCACTCCAGCATGAGTGACAGAGAATGAGACTCCGTCTCAAAAACCAAAAAACAAAACAAAAAGTTAAATGAGAAAAAAAAAAAAGCAGCAGCTGCTCAGAGGCGGTGGCCCACAAGGAACCCAGAGGCGGCAGGTGGGCCGGGAGGGAGGTCTGGCACCAAGGCCAGTCTCTCACGACAGAATTAGTTATAAAGCCCAGCCCGGCTGTGGAGGCAGCCACCTGGGTGGCTCCCTGGGGCCCGGCCAGCAGGTGCTCAGTGAACGTGGGCTAAAGGAAGGAAGGAACTTGGGCCTCATGCCCACCCCTGAGGGACAGGACAGCCAGATGGAGGGTTGTCAAAGGAGAACTCTGAGGTACACGGTGAGGGGTGGCAGGAAGCTGGGGCTCCTGGCACAAGTCCGTAACTGTGGTGTCCCAACGTTCGGCAGGGAGTCCACTGACAGCTGTCATTTACTACGCAGTTATCTCAGGCAAGCCCTTTATGTACCCGAGCTCCCTGAAACCTTAGCACATCCCTGGGAAGGGGATATGGCCGGGACCCCCAACCCAAGACAAAGAAGAGGAGGGTCAGAAAGGTCACATCCCTGAGTGACCACACAGACCACACACTGTGGGGATCCTCCTCTTTCACTGCTGAGCCACTATGACCTTCAGAGTCAGCCTCCTAAATGAGAGCCCAAAGTCAGCTCCGTGGCCACACACTTGCCTTCCAGGAACAACATCCTCAGATGCCCTGTGACACAGGTCACAGGCCCCGGGCTTCCCACCCACTCTGCACTGGGGAACCCTCTCCCCCTGCTAAACTGGGAGCTCCCCTGGGCACTCATGGGGACAGCGGCTGGGTGCCGGGAGGCCTGGACATAGAATAGGGCAGTGACACAGGCCAGCCTGAGGGGAGGGCTGCAGCTACCTCTGTAGGCAGTTGGAAGCCCAGGCGGGGACTTCTGGCTGCTGAGCCTGTTCGGAAAAACCTCTGCCTGTGACTCCTTGGGAAAAATGAAGGGACGCTGGTGGTGAGTTCTTCTTCCCAGTGAACAACCGCTGGGCACCTCCACCCCCAACAGCCTCTCAGTAACCCAGAGGCCTGAGAAACGCGGATCACGCGGGGGCTGGAGCTGTAAGGCTGAGGAGGACACCTTCCCCAGCAGCCTCGGGCTCATCAGCTGAGCCACTGAGTCAACAATGCCAAGGACGAGCACTGGCTTACGGAGCCAGCCTCCTGCCAGGTGCTACTCTAAGACTAACTCTGCGGCCTCATTCTTGCAGCCCGGTCTACCAGCTGCCCTAAGCCTTTGCTCGGGTAGCCCCACTGGCCTGTCCCTGCCTTGGGTGGGATGGCTGGGACAATCTCCAGGCTAGGTTTCCCACCACCAGTCAGCGCTTCAGAACTGCATGCCCATGGTAGGCACACAGAAGACCTGGTGGGGACCTGCAGGGAGACTCCCTGAGATCACCTCCCACCGTAGAAGGAAAACCCACGTCCTGTGCAGTCCCCGCCATTCAGACCCAAAGCAGGCGCACAATTAGCTTAGGAGACCGTGCAGGAGCGGGCTGGTTGCTGCCACAGGCTTTCACTCGGCACCACCTGTCCCTGCACTGAGAGTAAAACCTCAACTCCTCAGCCCAGGACAAGGCCCCCTGATGCCAGCACTCCACCGGGGCTCACCCTCGGCTCGCCCACGCCTCCTCAGCCACTCTACAGGCTTTGTGGTTTGTTCCCGCCTCCGGGTCTGCAACTGCTCTTCCCTCCCTCTGACAGCTTCCCTCCCCTCCTGCAGCTTAAGCCGCAGCTGACTTGCCATTCAGATCTCAACTCGAAAGTCACCTCCTGGCCAGGCGCAATGGCTCACACCTGTAATCCCAGCACTTTGGGAGGCTGAGGCGGGTGCATCACTTGAGGTCAGGAGTTCGAGACCAGCCTGACCAATATGGTGAAACCCCATCTCTACTAAAAATACAAAAATTAGCCGGGTGTGGTGACACGTGCCTGTAGTCCCAGATACTTGGGAGGCTGAGACAGGAGAATCGCTTGAGCTGGGAGATGGAGGCTGCAGTGAGCCAAGATCGTGCCACTGCACTCCAGCCTGGGCAAAAAGAGCGAAACTCTGTCTCAAAAAAAAAAAAAAAAAAAGTCACCTCCTCTGAGAAGCCTCTCCTGACCCCTTTCTGTAGCAGCACCCCCATCCCCATCCCCCACACCACACCCAGACAACACTCTGCCTCCTCACTGGACACGTCCCAATCTCTAAGGATCTACTTGCTCGTTTTCTGTCCTAGACCAAGGGCTCCCTGAGTCTAGGGACGTCACTGTGGTGTCTGTCGCTGTGAGTCTATGAATGAACGAATGCACCGACTCACTCTGGGAAATGAAGACAACGTCCACCCTTCCCTTCTCCCCAGAGAACCACGGGCTGGAGGGAAGGGAGCCCGCAATGCGTCCTGGAAAGTTAGCCTGCTCAGGGGAGGCTGGGATGGCCGGTCCTTCCCTCTCAGACCCCCGTGCCCTCCTCAGGCCTGCTGAGAGGCCGTGAGTCCTGCAGTTTCCTGGGTGAGAGGGGCTCTTCTCTGCCCTTCCCGGCAGGGAGGCACCACCATTCAGCCAGTGGGTACCGTGGCCACATGCTGCAGGATGGCCAGCTCCAGGGGGCGGGCTAGGCTTACATAGCCAACAAGGAGCCAGGCCTCCAGACCCCAGGCCTCAGGCAGGGATGTGGGCAAGGCCTGCCCACTCCAGTGAAGGGCGCAGATGGCAGGTGCCACAGGCCTGCCTTCCCTTCCCCTCGTCCTGACCTTCCCAACTGCCTGCCGCAGCTGAAGATCCTGTTACAGAAACAGATGCGGTCAGAACACACTCATGGCTTTCCAAGTCTCTTGGGACGGAAGGAACAAGGCAGATTGGGCGCACCTTCCCTCATGCCACAGCGCCTCACACACAGCAGCTGCATGTAAGGTCAATGGCAGGCTTGGATGAAAGCGGAAGTCAAGGCCTTAATCCCTGGGTCCCCAGTCAAGCAGTGTGCTAAGCACCCGAGTCCCCCCATGTGACACACAACTTTTTTTTTTTTTTTGAGACAGAGTCTCACTCTTGTCACCCAGGCTGGAGTGCAGTGGCACAATCTCAGCTCACTGCAACTTCCGCTTCCTGGGTTCACGCAATTCTCCTCCCTCAGCCTCCCGAGTAGGTGGGATTATAGGCACCCGCCACCACACCAGGCTAATTTTGTATTTTTAGCAGAGACGGGGTTTCACCATGTTGGCCAGGCTGGTCTCGAACTCCGGACCTCAGATGATCCACCCGCCTCGGCCTCCCAAAGTGCTGGGATTATAGATGTGAGCCACTGCGCCTGGCCGCAACTTTTAACGATAAATAATTTTTACGAGCAATGGCAAGCACTTACATATACTACCTCATTTACTGTCTTCAACAACCCTAAGATAGGTAGGGTTTATTATCCCCATTTCAAATGGGGAAACTGAGGCCACAGAATCAGTAAAAGTCAGAGCCGGGATTCGAGCCTGAGCAGTCTATGGCTCCACAATCCTCACTCTTAGCCAAACCCTTGACCTTTCTGTTCATGCCACGGTTTGGGGTACAGCTATCCCTCCCCCATCCTTTCCAAAGGAGGAAACTGAGGCGCAGGGAGATGGAGCATGTGCCAAGGACACACAGCACAGGTAGGCCTGACTTCAAAGCCCACTTCATCTGGTTGGTGGACCCCATGCCTCACCCAAGAGTTTAAGGCGTTCAATATCCTGACCCAAGCCAGGTACCTACCCACCAGCCTCGCCACTGTCTCCTCTGTTCCAGCCTTGGTTTATTTCCTTCCAGACCCTTCTCTCAATCTGCAGTGGTGCTGTCTGCTGGTTGGCCAACTTGTTTCCCACACTTCCCTCTCTCTGGACAATAAGCCTGGAAGGCAGGGCCGGGCTTGCCTTGCCACTGCTGTGTCCCCAGTACAGGACTGGGCACTGAGCTCAATACTCGCTGAATGCATGCCTGAACCACTAAGAAAACACAGCCAATCCTGTGGTGGAGACTAATAACACTCTCAGAACACAAGGGCCCAAGACTGTCCCCTAGCCCAGGGCTTTCTGCTGGGATGTGTAGGGGGAGTTAGGGGGTTCCTTTATGGCCTCCATAAGCCCCCCAGCTGGAAGGAGCTTCCCAAAGGGATGTACACATCTGAGGACACTAGTGACTTTCTGCCTTGTGATGTGAATGCACCTTCCGAAAATTTAATTTTTTATATTTTGTGGAGATGGGGGGGGGGGTCTCACTTGTTGCCCAGGGTGGTCTTGAACTCCTGGCCTCAAGTGATCCTCCTGCCTCGGCCTCCCAAAGTGCTGGAATTATAGGTGTGAGCCACTATGCCCAGCCTGTGAATGCACCTTCTAAACACATGTAACAGCAACCTAGTGAGGGCATGGCCTTTGCAGTCAGACCTTGTATTTGGGGGTGCCTATTTGGGGTGTCTGCAGAGCCTCCTCTAAAAACTGCCCTCCACCCCAACAAGCGTGGGCTGGCCCTCTATCGCCCATTTGACAGGGAGGATGTGGGGTCCTAGCTAAGCCTGCATGAGCTGCCCGGGTCAGGGGGCTGGACTGGGTGGTCCTGTTCCAGACACCAGGAGGGCTGGGCTTGTGTGGCCCATGGCCAGCCTAGTGGAAGACGTTCTGAAGAGAGAAAGAGGAACAAGGAGTGCATGTGTTCCAGAGAGCAGGTGGCAGACCTGGTTCCTGCCAGCTTTCAGGACCCCTGGGAACAGGCAAAGCCTGGCCTCCATCCAATGAACACCCTCATTCACCTCCTGTGGCCCCAGGTGGATTCTGGCCCTGATAACTCAACAGACCCCAGTTGACACAGGCAATGGCTCTCGACCCTTCATGGCTGAGTCTCCTCATCTGCAAAATGGAGCCAATGAGACTGAGACTGACACACAAAGACTTCTAAAAGCAGCCACTGAACTCTCTTGTGTAAAGCGTCTAGTGTGGGGCTGGCGCGTGGCAAACGGAAGCCCCTGTTATTGCAGAGGCCAACGCCTCAGCAGCCCCCGGGAGAGTGGATGCTGGATGAGCAAAGAGCAAGCAGAGCCACCAGCTCCAGCCAGGGGCCCCCAGTCACCACCCCACCTGCTGCCTCCACCTGCCCCCGGGCTCTGAAACGCTGACCACACCCACTCCTGTCTGCCCTGAGACAAATATTTACCCAGGGCTGGGCACCTGATGGTGCCGAAGTGAAGACCTGGGGATAAATAATCACCAAGAGTGGTGAGGGGGCGGAGAGAACTCTCTGAGTGAGCTCACGGAGTGGAGGGGAACGCAGACTCAGGGACAAAGGCAGCGATGGCCCAGGGCTGACCCTGCCTCCTCAAATCAGAGGCAGCACTGGGGCCAAGTAACTCTGTTCCTCAGTCTCCCCATTTCCAGCTTTGCCATGAAGAGTCAAGAGGACAGGAGGTAAAGCTCTCTGAATGCCTGGTGCCTGCAGACAGGCTCTGCTACCATCGTGCAGGGCAGGGGCTGGGCTCTGGCTGCCAGGAGTGAAGTTCAGATTTGCCACTGACTAGCTGTGAGGAGCTGGATCTCTCCTTCATTGGTAAAATGGGGCAGCAATTCCACCTACCTCGTGGGATATGGATGGGATAAAACCAGCTGATGCACGGAGGGCTCAACGCCATGCGTGGCACCCAGTGGGTGTTCCACCAACGCTAGCTATTATGATTCCTGTTACGAATCTACAGGCCCACAGTGGCCCCCATACAGCCCTAACTGCTCTGGCACTGCATGAGAAGGCTGGCCTTTTCTACTTTTTTTCTAAGGGTAATGCACATCTTCCTGCCCTCACCCTCTTCAGAAAAGACATGCCAACACTTGAGCTCCCAGAGGGCCGGGTGGGCTTCACATTTCTCTGTGAGGACCCTGCCAGCCGCACATCCCCAGCCCTGCACACTATGGAAGGGGTGTGTAGTTAGGCACTGACTCTTCTCTAAGCTGTCGAGGGCAGGAGCTGTGACCCCTCCCTCTGCCACAGAGCCCAGCACAGGTAAAGGAATCTTGAACACTCAGGCATTAGGGAAAGTATGAGGCTTTGGGCTTACATGGCCTTGGGGTCCAGGTCCTACTCCAGAAAGTCCTGGATACTAGAATCCATTTCTTCCTCTTGACCCCAACTGCCTCAAGCTCAACAGTACCTGCTTCACCCAGCACCTGCTTCACCCAGCACCTGCTCTGTGCCCCGGGCAGGGTCATGCTGGAAACAGCGTCCAAGACAACCCTAATCCTGGTCTCTGTCCACACAGGAGTCCTGGTCCAGTCGGGAAGGCAGACCCATCCCTAGACAGTGACAAGCCAGAGTAGGTAGAGCTGGGGCAAAGGAAACCCCTAACCCAGACTTGGGGTTGGGGGCGTCCTGAAAGAGGGACCATCTAACACCACTGGCCACTAGAGGGCAGGGACTGTGAGTCTTGTTCGCATTGCCCCCCAGAACATAACTACACTAGGCACACAGCTGCTGCTCCCCTAAGTAGGTGCTGAAGGAAAGACAGCCAGGAAGGAGACTCTTGGAGAACAAGCAGGAGTCAGTCAGGTAAAAGGTGGCGAGAGCCACTTCAGAAAGATTGGCATTACCTTGAGAAGCCAAATGTACTCATCAACTATGACCAGCCATTCTGTTCCTAGCTCCAGACTCTAGCGAAAGTCTTGCTCACGCCCCAGGTGAAATGTATCAGAAGGTAATCCCACGCCTGTCATCCCAGCACTCCAGGTGAAATGTATCAGAAGGAATCCATGCCTGTAATCCCAACACTTTGGGAGGCAGAGGCGGGCGGATCACTTGAGGTCAGGAGTTCCAAGACCAGCCTGACAGACATGGTGAAACCCTGTCTCTACTAAAAATACAAAAAAGTTAGCCAGGTGTGGTGGCAGGAGCCTGTAATCCCAGCTGGGATTTGGGAGGCTGAGGCAGGAGAATCGCCTGAATTCAGGATGCAGAGGTTGTAGTGAGCCAAGATTATGCCACTGCACTCCAGCCTGGACGACAGAGCGAGACTGTCTCAAAAGAAAAAAAAAAAGAAAGAAAAGAAAAACCAAGACCCAGGAATTTCCTCACAATACCATGTTTATGAAACTCAAAAACAGGCAGAACGAAACACCATGCTTTTCAGCATGCAGACATGGTTGATAAAACTTTTAAAAAGGCCACCTGATGACCCTTTCCCTTTTTATTGAACCTGACACACCTGTCCCTCACCCATCCACCCCCGCCCCCCGCAAAAAATAAAAAACACAGAATGACAATGACAACAGTCAGGACAGTGGGCTCCCTCCACCCACCCACAGGCAGAGGTGAGTTAATGGCAATGTTCTCACTCTGAAATTAGGAGGGAGGCTCACAGGTCTTCAACATATTACACTTCAACAACTTACATGTACATTACATACATATTCCATATGCCAAGAAGATAAATGGGCTGGGCAAGGTGGCCCATGCCTGTAATCCCAGTACTTTGGGAGATCGAGGCAGGCGGATCACCTGAGGTCGGGATTCGAGACCAGCCTGGCCAACAAGGCAAAACCTTGTCTCTACTAAAAAAATACAAAAGTTAGCTGGGTGTGGTGGTGCGCACTTGTAATCCCAGCTACTCAGGAGGCTGTGGCTGGAGAATTGCTTGAACCCGGGAGGCAGAAGTTGTGGTGAGCCGAGATTGCACCACTGCACTCCAGCCTGGGTGACAGAGTAAGACTCTGTCTCAATTAAAAATAATAATAATAATAATAATAATAATTAAAAAGCAGAAGGGAGGGAGAAGAGTGTTGCAACAGACAGAACAGCATGTGCAAAGGCTCAGAGGAGACAGAGCTCTTGGAGCCTTGGGGAACTGAAGATCACTGTCAGGGTCAAATGAGCATACAGGCAAGACAATCCGGCAGAGGACTCAGCAGAGCTGGGGGCACCGAGGTGCTTGACAAGGGTTTGCTGAGTCATTTAGTGGCTCAATGCTTCCTAGCACTGCCACCCACCCAAGTCCTCAGTAGGTGACAGGGCCAGGCTCGGGAAAGGGGGCCTCTGAGGAAAGCCCAGCACTCATCGGTAGACATTCAGTCCTGCCAGAACCAGGCAGGCTATTTCGGGCCACCTGCCTCAGGCTTCTGGTCATGGGTACCAGATGGCCATCTGAATTCAGAAGCTTTGGGAGTGCTTTAGATTGGAATTTTAGAAACTGTAAGCTGTTTACTGGTCCAGCAAAGGCTCCAGTGATGGAAACCAGGTGCTTGGAATTTCTTACTGCCCACCCTCACCTTCCTCCTTCATAACAAGAGGGTAATGCCACCAACCCTCAGAGGTCTGTTTGGGAACTAATGAACATATTTTCATTCATTCATTCTTTATGCAACAACCTGGGCTAGGCAGACAGCCGTGAACAAAACAGGGCTGGTCCCTGCCCTCAAGGACTGGGAGGAAGGCAAACAAATCACCCAAAAATTTACCAGTTATAAGAAGAAAATGCATATTATAGGGGAAAACACAGGGGATACAAATTCAGATTTGGAGGAATAGTTAGAAAAGACCCATAAGAGAAAAGAACATTTCGACTGAGACCTAAAAGATGAGTAAAAGTAAGAAATGTGGCCAGGTGCAATGGCTCATGGCTGTAATCCCAGCACTCTCGGAGGCCAAGGCAGGAGGATCACTTGAGCCCAGGAATTTAAGACTAGCCTGGGCAACACAGGGAAACCCCGTCTCTACAAAAAATCCAAAAATTAGCCAGGTGTAGTGGTACGTGCCTGTGGTCCCAGCTACTCAGAAGGCTGAGGCGGGAGGATCACCTGGGCCCAGGAGATCTAGACTGCAGTGAGCCATGACCACGCCACAGCACTGCAACCTGGGAGACAGAGCAAGACTCTGTCTCAACAAAAAAAAAAAAAAGAAAAAGGGAATTCATTAATTCCTTCAAATATTTATTGTTGTCTATTCTATGCCAGGCACTATTCTAGGTGCCAGGCTACACTGGTGAACAAAAAAGCCAGACATCCCATCTCAAGAAGCTTACACTGGATGGGGACAGGAGGCCATAAGCCAACAGGAGCCACACAAAAGTCCAGGCCATCCTTCCAGACAGAGGGAAGAGTCGGTTCTGAGGACCCTCCAACAGGGCAGAGGGGGAGCAGAGCTGAGGCTGCAGATGCAGGTGGGCGACAGATCCTCAGGGCAAAGAACAGTATTCCTGAAGAGTCAGGAAGCTACTGGAAGGAAACAGCACATGACATACAGGACCCTCATACAGAGGGTGCTGATGACGTGGTGGCCATGGCTGTGGGAGACGAGGGAGTCCAGGCTCCTGCTGAAACTTGAGGCTCCTGGGACTTGCTGAGCCTCCATAGCTGTGGTGGGCTGGATGTGTCCAGGGACCCAGGCAGGGCTGCCCTGGCTTCTGCCATCTTCAGCAAGTGACCAATGACCCCAAGTAGCAGTTTCTTATCTGCAAAAATGTGGGGCACCAGCAGGTTCACCGAGTCACTCAGCCTGGTGCTCAGCAAATGGGGCTGGAGTTGTGGTTACAGTGGACCCTCTGTAACCTGCTAACCCTTTTCCCAGGCCGGGCCTCCACTAAAGCACCCTCTCTCCTACACTGCAGGGCCTCCAAGGCCTGGGCTGCCACTGCCTCCTCTGCCCTCTCTGAGGGCCCCAGCCCTGTGTTTCTCCATCCCAAGCTGTTCACACTGAGATGGGGCTTTGCTATGATGACTCGGTGAAATAGCAGAGGAGAAAGTGCTTCTCTTTAGTGTCCTGCACCCCTGTCCCCCACCTTTCCTGCAAGGCAAATGATAAATGAGGACAAATATATCTGCACAATAAAATTACATCTATCTTCAATAGAGGAGTCCTTATAAAGGTCCCAAAATAAAAATAGGCAAAGGGCATGAAGAACCAATTCCCAGAACCATGTAACATGTTAACAATAAACAGGTTAGGTCGGGCGCAGTGGCTCATGCCTGTAATCCCAGCACTTTGGGAGGCCAAGACAGGAGGATCACTTGAGGCCAGGAGTTCGAGACCATCCTGGGCAACATAGCGAGACCTCATCTCTACAAAAAACAAAAAAGACCAGGCACGGTAGTTCACGCCTGTCATCCCAGACTTTGGGAGGCCAAGGCGCGTGGATCACCTGAGGTCGGGAGTTACAGACCAGCCTGACCAACATGGAGAAATCCTGTCTCTACAAAACATACAAAATTAGCCGGGTGTGGTGGTGCATGCCTGTAATCCCAGCTACTCGGGAGGCTGTGGCAGGAGAATCGCTTGAACCTGGGAGGCGGAAGTTGTGATGACCTGAGATCGCGCCATTGCACTCCAGCCTGGGCAACAAGAGTGAAACTCCATTAAAAAAAAAAAAAAACCCACAAAAATACAAAACAAACAAACAAAACCGAAGTTAACTAGTAGTCAAAAGAACGCTCGCTAAAACAAGACACCATCTTAACATCAAGGCACCCACATGCAAATACTATTCATTCAATCATTAAAAAAAAAATCTGGTCAGGTGCAGTGACTCACGCCTGCAATTCCAGCACTTTGGGATGCTGAGGCAGGCAGATCACCTGAGATCAGGAGTTTGAGACCAGCCTGGCCAACAGTGAAACCCCGTCTCTACTAAAAATACGAAAATTAGCCGGGCGTGGTGGTGCGCGCCTATAATCCCAGCTACTCGGGAGGCTAAGGCAGGAGAATGGCTTGAGCCTAGGAGGTGGAGTTTGCAGTCAGCCAAGATCACGCCACTGCACTCCAGCTTGAGGGACAGATCGAGACCCTGTCTCTGGCCATGGTTTAAACCTCAAAAGCAGAAAAAAAGAGAGAGACCCTCTCTCAGAAAAAAATCTAAAGCTACAGTGGTGACTATGACGACAGAACCCTAGCCCTCAACACTCACTGTCCAATGTGGGCACAGCCAGTATCTGAGACTTCCAATGTTCCTTCCCTTTGACCTGGTAAAATCACCTTCTAAGAATTTTTTCTAAGAAGGCTACCCGTGTGATGAGCATGAAGATTTATGGACAAGGACGAACATCACTGCATTATCTATGCAACTGAAAACTGGAAAGGACCTAAACGCTCAGCAATGCGGAAATGGCTAGAATGAATTACAACAGCCCAGTGATGTACTTTAAATCATGCTTTCTAAAAAAACGGAAAAATGAAGTGCAGAAGCAGGATATTCAACTGTATCTACAGTATCCTCACAGCTTTATTTTTATCTAGCGGTGGCTGTGAATCTAGCCAGAGAGAAGAGACGGGAAGGAAATGCACTGGCATTACACGCTGAAAACATCCCAGGTGGTGCAAATCGCTCAGCTGAGAAGTCCTGCATCCGGGATACACGTATATAGAACTCTCACAACTCAATAATGAAGGGACAAACAATTCATTTACTTATTTTTTATTTATTTTTGAGACAGAGTCTCACCTAGGCTGGAGTCCAATGGCAAGACCACAGCTCATTGCAGCCTCGACCTCCTGGGCTCAAGCAATCCTCCCACATTAGCCTCCCAGGTAGCTGGGACTACAGGCATGAGCCACCAGGCTTGGTTAATTTTTTACATTTTTTTATAGAGATGGGGTCTCACCATGTCGTCCAGGCTGGTCTCGAACTCCTGGGCTCAAATGATCTGCCCACCTTGGCTTCCCAAAGTGCTGGGATTACAATTGTGAGCCACTGCGCCTGGCTCCCCTTTTTTTTAATAGAGACTGGGTCTTGCTATGTTGCCCAGGCTGGTCGCGAACTCTTCGGCCTCCCAAAGTGCTGGGATTATAGGCATGAATCACTGTGCCCGGCTGGCTCAATTTAAAAATGGGCAAAAGAACTAAAAAGACATTTCTCCAAAGAAGATACACAAGTGTTCAGCAAGCACATAAAAAGATGCTCAACATCAGCTGGGCACGGTGGCTCATGCCTCTAATCCCAGCACTTTGGGAGGCCAAGGTGGGCGGATCACGAGTTCAGGAGATTGAGACCATCCTGGCTAACATGGTGAAATCCCGTCTCTACTAAAAACACAAAAAATTAGCCGGGCATGGTGGCGGGCGCCTGTAGTCTCAGCAACTTGGGAGGCTGAGGCAGGAGAATGGCGTGAACCTGGGAGGCGGAGCGTGCAGTGAGCCGAGATCACGCCACTGCACTCCAGCCTGGGTGACAGAGCGAGACTCCATCTCAAAAAAAAAAAAAAAAAAAAAAAAAAAGATGCTCAACATCATTAGCCATAAGGAAATGCAAATCAAAAGCACAACGAAGCCTGAGCAACCCGGTGCAAATCCATCTCTACAAAACAATTAAAAATAAGAAAATCAGCCAGGCATGGTGGCTTGTGCCTGTGGTTCTAGCTAATCTGGAGGCTGAGGCAAGAGGATCACTTGAGCCTGGGAGGTGGAGGCTGCAGTGAGCTAGGATTGCACTACTGCACTCCAGCCTGGGCGACAGAGGAAGACCTCATCTCAAAACAAACAGGCCAGGCGCGGCGGCTCACGCCTGTAATCCCAGAGCTTTGGGAGGCCGAGGCGGGTGGATCATTTGAGGTCAGGAGTTCGAGATCAGCCCAGCCAACATGGTGAAACCCTGTCTCTACTAAAAATACAAAAAAATTAGCTGGGCATGGTGGCGCATGCCTATAATCCCAGCTACTTGGGAGGCTGAGGCAGGAGAATCGCTTAAACTTGGGAGGCAAAGGTTTCAGTAAGCCAAGATCCTGCCACTGTACTCCAGCCTGGGCAACAAGAGCGAAACTCCATCTCAAAAAAAAAACAAAAACAAAAACAAAACAGCTGGAGGGGTGGCCGAGGAGAGCAGCAGGAGCCTGGACCCAAGTGCCAGGGCATCCTTGGGTAAGTGCCGCCCCTCTCTGGTTACCCCTCTACCCCTGAGATGAGGAAGGGGCTGGTGCCAGCCCTGGATTCTTTTGACTGCACTGGAAGGCAGTAAGCACAAACACCTGGACCTAACAGCTGGTGGGAGGACATTCAGTCAGATGGCCCCGCCTGTTGGTGTCTGCTCCACCCCAGGACCAGACAGGATCAGGCCACTGTCAGACTTGGGCACTCTAAGCCAGGCTCCATGAGGGCGCTGTCCCTGGGCTCTGCCAGCAACAGCCCCAACTCCATTTTAATGGAACAACATTTACTGAACACCTGCTCTGTGCCTGGAGCTGTGCAGGAGACACAGCAGGGACCGAGAAAGCCCCGGGCCTGACCCCCTGGGACTTGTCCAGCAGGGAACACAGGTCCAGGCACAGCAAGGAAGGCAGCCCTCCAGGGAAACGGAACACTGACTGTTCATTGTGATCATAGTAGGCAGAACCGGGCCGGGAATCAAGGATCCCAAGCCCGTGACAGAAGGGGATTACAGAACACAGAGTGAGAACGGAGTCATGGAAGCTTGGCTGGGTGGCCGGTCGCCCCTGACACCTGTGACACATGGGTCACAGGGAATGGGGAATTAGGTCACCTGCCACAAAGGTACACGGCAGATCAATTATCAGAACCTTGCCTGCCACCCCGTGACAGGGAGGAGGTCCTGGGATCCAATCACTCCCTAAATGGTGCGGTGTCCTACATGGAGAGATGGGAAACACTGACGCGCAGTGGGAAAGGACCCCGGGCACCATCCTGCCCCACAGAGAGGGCAAGCATCCTGGCCTATGACCCCCAGCAAGTCAACAGCAAAGACGGGCCTGTTTGCCAGTCCTGCGCTGCCATTCTCACCAGGCTGGCGGGGGGATACCAGAGGCAGGCTTTGTACTCCCCTCCCTAAAGCTCCTCCTCCTCTCTGCCCACTTCCTTTTCTGGACCAGGGACTATGCTAGGGTAGGGACTGTCTGAGCTGCTCATGGCAAGGACTAAGACCCAGCATTGCATGCCACTTCCTTCTCCACCTGCCATATTGCGCTCCTGCCCAGAGCCAGGCCCAGTGCCACGTGGTCTGGGGCACTGGGGAATACAGTGGCACCAAACCCAACCCACCACTGCCTAGTGATGCTTCCAGTCCAGGGCAAGAGTATCAGCAGGCCCGCAGATAAGCAGATCGCTGGCCACCTGACGGGGAGCCCATTAGGAGGGCCAGGAAGGAAGGGTTTGCTGGCACCTGAAAGATTAGTGAGAGCCACCTGTGTGCGTAGGTGGGGCCGGTCTTCCAGGACAGGATGTGGGGAGCTGCCTGCGTGTTCTAGGACTGAAAGGAAGCCACGATGGCTTGAACCCAGCAAGAGCATGGCAAGGTGATCTCGGTCGTGGCCGGCGATGGTGGCAAGAGCCAGGTTATACCTGGGCTTCCTAACCTGTTGCAGGGACACTAGATCAGAGGGAAAGGCAGCAGGGAGGTCACAAGTGTGATGTGAAACAGGAATAGCAAAGTCTGCTTTTTCAAGAATGCTGTGGCTGCTAGGTGGGGAGCGGGTTGGAGAGGGAGCAGGAGAGCCATTGGGAGGCCCCTCCACCTGGCATGGCAGGGACAGCAAAGTGGAGGCAAAACAGGCGCTGGTTGGCAAGGAATGAAGGAATGAATGCAGGAAAAAAGGACTCAGTGAACGAAATCTTCCTTCCCCACACCCCATGCTCCCTGACTGTCCTGAGCCCCAGTGCCTGGGTTACAAAGGCTTTGCGGCACCCGGCCTGGGTGCTCATAAGCAACCCCACTTTGCCCGGAGTCCTTAAGGTTCCTGGAGGCGTTCAGTGGTTCCACCCCTCCCAGGAGCCAGATGGACAGGATGCAGCCCTCTGCAGCACTGGTCCAGGGAGGGGAGATGGGCCCGAACAAATAACAACAGAGCGAGGAGGCGCCATGGGAACCCAGACGAGCGGAGCAGAGCTTTGTCCGGGGATTAGAGAAGGCCTTGCCCAGAAGGCAGCACGGGAGGGGGAGTTGGTCAGGAAGGGCAGGGGACTATCGAGGGGTGTGCTGGGCAAAGGCGCCTGCGTCTAGGCGTGGGAGGGGTAACGGGAATTGGTCAGGAAGGGCAGGGGACTAGCGAGGGGCGTGCTAGGCAGAGGCGCCTGTGTCTAGGAGGCTGGGCGTTCTGTGGGAAAGGCCTCCCACACCAGGCCCACGGGTGTGGACTTTGTCCTGTAGTTACAGTGGAGCCCTGGGGGCTTTCTGAAACAGGACAGAGGATCAGAACCATTCAAGCTGCCGGGCTATAACTCAGCTCCTCCTCTACTACCTGTGTGGCCTTGGCACCTCTGTGAGCCTGTTTCCTCCTCCAAGATTAACGATGCATGTAAAGAGCTTAGCCCTGTTAAGCGCTCCATAAATGGGAGCTTTGAGTACCATCACCTCCATCACCACCACCAGGAGGCATGACCCCTGCAGAGAGTCACTTCCCTGCGGCTCGCTTTCACCTTTTGGCAGCCCCACTCTCCCACCCTCCCTCCCTGTTGTCCTGGGGAACCAAGCGAGTTCAGCTGTGACAGTGCTTTGCTTTGCAAAAGGGAAGACTGCACAGGACGCGAGCAGTTCTCCACTACATCGCTGACAGCAGCTGGTGAGAGCCTCGGAGACCGTGGAGAGAGGGAGGGGTGGGTGTGAAGGTGGCACACGAGTCCGACCCCGGCGGGTCCCAAGCGCCAGCTTGCTAGAGGAGCCCGCCCACCTAACCAGGGAACACATTCCCAGCTGGAACCCAACCAGCCCTGAGGGGAGCATCCGACTGCAGGGCTCCCGACCCAGGCTTCCGCTGCGAAGTGAGATGGGCGCTGGGCAAGTCACATGAGCTGTGCGGATGTCAGCAGACACTTCCAAACCTCCACCCCCACCTTGAGGCAACCGCTCAGTACCAGCTGCCTAGAGGAAGGGAAGGGGTGAGAACAACTTCTGAGTGCCTACTGTGTACCTCCATCCACCACCAATTCATCCAGTGTGAGACCCTGCGGAGGGCCAGGCACCATGGAGGGTGCTGGGGACACAGGTGAGCCAAGACAAAGATGGGTCCTGCCTTCATGGACCTTCCTACTTAATGTACGAAACATAGCCAAGCATGACGGATCTCTCGAATTCCTTTTGGCACCCAGCCTCTGAACCACCTTCTTGCAATTAGGGAAGCCCCTCCACATCTCCCACCTCCTCTTAGCTGAAACAGCAGACCCCAGCCTCCTGTGTGGCTCCAGCCCAGGAGCCTGACGTGGGCTCAGCCCTGGAGGTGCTGTGGCGGCTATGTAACAGGAGCGGCATCAGCTCCACACTTGATGCAGGGTGTGCTCCTGCTGGCGTGGGCCCCAGGCCTGGCTCTCTGGTCTTCCCAGAGAGTCTAAAAACTTTGAGAGAGTCCTCATCTGGCAAAATGGCTTCACAAATGGGGAAAGTGGTCCAGGGAGGTCAAGGGACTTGCCCAAGGCCACACAGCCCAAGTGTGGAGGAGCCGAAATCACACTCAGGCAGATGATCCTACCCGCTGGTCATCTAGCCCCACCTGCCTAACCCTTACAGCCGGGGGAGGCAGGAACCAGTCAAGTTCAAGGCAGTGACCACCTCACTCAACTTTCCCATGTCCTCATGAGCGCCTGCAACAGCCAGCTACTGTTCCAGCTGCTTTCCAAGTAGAGGCTAATTTAATCCTCAATCCCCATACAAATGGGGACACTGAGGCAAAGAAGCTGGGTGATTTGCCCAAGGGCAGAGCTGGGACTGGCACCCAGGGGGCTCCCGTGCTGCCTCTCAGGTTACTGCCATTTCACAAACATGGAACGAGGCCCGCTGCGGGCTCCAGAGTCTCCTCCTGGAACCCTTGGGCCAGACGTGTTTTAGAATCAGAATTTTCTGGATTTTATAAGACTGATCAGACACCGATATTGCGCTAAGCCACCAGAGGGGTTTGGGATGGTCTGTAGAGTTTTCTGGATCTGGGTACTGTGAGACCTGAAGGGACTGTGGAGGTGAAGTCACTGGAGAGGTCACCGGACTTCACAGCCCACACGCCTCCCACAGCCCATGCAGGGGCAGGATGTCCCAAGCAGGCCAAGGACACGCTGGCTGGGGGAGCACGAGGGAAGGGACTCAGATCCAAGGAGAGAAGGGAAGGGGAATAACAGTCACCTCAGAGGTGCTATGGGAAACAGTGGCATCGGCAAACCTGCTGGTGGAGGGGAGGACTCAGAGGAATCTGATGAAGAAGTCAATGAAGTCAAGTGTCAGCTATCAGCCAATATGAGGCTACGCCAAGCCTACAGCCTCCGGGCTCCTGGCTCACGGCCCCTCCCTGGCCTCCCTGTCTCAGTCTCACCCTATTCATGTCACCTCCACACAGGATTCTGTTAAAAACACCCACCATGCCCCTCCTTTTTCTTTTGAGACAGGGTCTCACTCTGTCACATAGGCTGGAGGGCAGTGGTGTGATCACAGCTCACTAAAGCCTCGACCTCCTGGACTCAAGTGATCCTTCCACCTCAGCCTCCTGAGTAGCTGGGACTATAGGCACATGCCACCATGCCCGGCTGATTTTTGTATTTTTTGTAGAGACAAGGTCTCGTCATGTTGCCAAGGCTGGTCTTAAACTCCTGGGCTTAAGTGATCTTCCCGCCTGGAGCTCCTGAAGTGCTGGGATGACAGGCGTGAGCCCCCCATGCCCAGCCCAGGCCCCTTCTTAAGCCCTCTGGGGCTCCCTGCTAGCACAGCCCATAAGGCCCCACACAGCAGTCTCTCCTGCCTCCTCCAGCCTCACCTCTGACCAGCCTGCCTCTACCTCAACTAAGTCTGGCTTTTTTCTGTTCTTCAGACATACCAGGCTGGTTCTCTCTGCCTTCCACCCCTGGTGCACTCCTCCCACTGCTCCTCACCTGGCTTACTGCTGGATTTCCTTGGTGACGTCCTTTCTAGGAAGCTGCCTCTGCCCTGCCCTCCTGCACACCCTGTGGACCCTCCCTAATCTGAGTCCTCAGAAGCCTGGTTTGCTGAGAATTCTTTACTGTGTGTCTCCCTCACTTGACTGTGACCCCCACAGAAGCATGGACTGGGCCTGTCTTCTGCCCTGACTCGTAACACGTGGCACGGCCACACCATGCTGAATGCATGACTGGTTACGGGGTCACCAAGTCACTCACGCAGCAAGAATATATTGAGCGCCTATCACATACCAGACACTGAGTAGCACAGGAAGAACACGTCCCAGAGGCCAAGGGTCAGAACAGCAGGCAATGCTGAGGACAGAGGAGCAGCACAAATCTCCAGGGACTCAAGCTGTCCACGAACCACAGTGACCCCCTCCTGCGTGCCCACCAAGGCTGGGCCCTTACCCCACCTGTTTCTGTTTCTCCTCCCTGCCACAACACCGCAAAGCCAGCACTGTTGCCTCTATTTTATAAACGATTCTGGGTTATAGATGAAGAGACCGTATGGCACGTTGCACCGAATGCGTCCAAGCACTCAGCCGCCGCACAGGGGTTATTACTGCGCAGGCTTCGGCGCCAGGCTGGCTGCCTGGATTTGAATCCCAGCTCCACCACTTACCCACTGTGTGACCTCAGGAAAATTACTTTACCTCTATGGGCTCCATTTCCTCATCTACAAATTGGGGCAAACGGCACCTACCTCCTGGGGTGGCTGTGATATCTAAATGCGATAATACACAAAAGGCACTGAGACCAGTGCCTGGTACAGGCACATGGAAGGCAATGACTGGTGATGACTAAGGTCAGCCAGAAGGCAAGAATTTAACCCACCTGCCCCCATGCCCTACTGCAGCAGGTGGCCGGCTCAGCTTGAATTTCTGCAGTATTTCAATGCTCACCTGTTAATTTGCTCCAAAAAAGGCTTTGAGGTCAATGCCAGCCACCCCTGAACTGAGGTCTGAAGGCAGGCTTGGGACTGAGTGATGGATGGCGGAGCAAAGCACACAGACAGCCAAGCGAGGTTGTCAGAACCACCTGGGGAGCTTTTGTAAAAACAGGTTTCTGGCCTCCGTGCTCAGTGACTGCTCCAGCTGCAGTCCGTCCAACACAGGGCATTTGGCCCCACGGTTCTTAATCCTCTTGGAGTCGGATGCCTGTGAAGGTTCGCAGAGCCCCAGTACTCGCTCCCAGAAACAAGTGCACACGCACTCCCGCTGACGCACTGAAGGCTGGTTACCGAGTGCCAGCTGGGGGCCAGCTTCGCGTGCTCTTCCGGGAGTCAGAATGGGTGCTAAAGCCTGTCTGTAGGTCCCTGAGAAAGAGTCCTCGTCCTGGCACCAACTGGATTAACTACCACAAAAAAAGTTTCCTGTAAATCCCACCATGGGGTGTTTGATCCCAGGAAAACACCCCAGTCCTTCGGACATGTGTCCCGTGCCCGAGCCCTCCTGTGTGCTAGACTAGGGTCACAGAGGTGACTCATACACAGTCTTTGCCCTTGAAGGGGGAAATAGATGCGAGCACAGATAATCACAGGCACAAAGAATCAGGCGGCCCAACTGCATGTACAGGCACGGAGAGCGGCGAGTCACAGTGTGCAAAGGGCCTGGGAGGGCAGAGGACAGGCACCAGCACAATACCACCACTAACCTGATCATGCTCCAACAGGGCAGGGGGCTGGGGTGGTGGAGCCCCCGCTCCAGAGGAGACTCAGGCTCAGGGAGGAGCTGCAACTTGTCCAAAGTCATCAGCCAGAGTAGGCAGAAGCTGGAACTAACATGGCCAGTGTGGAATCTTGGTACCCCTGCTGCCTCTTCTACTAGTGGGCTGAGACAGGCTGATTTAGTTTTAGCTCAGAGAGATTGGACAAATTGTCCACGGTCACACAGCTTGGCAGAGACAGAGTCAGGCCTGGAGGTCAGGGACTGCTGGGGCACCCAGCCTGGAGGAGTGGGCCTCTGAGGGAAAGCAGGGACGCTGACGTGGGACACTATAGGGGAAAGAGGAGTACAAATACACAACACGGGCAGGAAACAGAAACAAAATGTTAGGGCTATAGGTGGGGGCAGAGGAGTGGTGATGACAGGAATAACAAGGGAGGCATTTGCTGGGCATTTACTATGGATCAGGCACTGTGTTATCTCACTTAATCCTCCCAATCACCCTATGAGGACATACTGCTGCATTTTAGACACAGAAAAATCGAGGCAGAGAGAACAATCGCCAAAGTCACGTGGCTGCTCAGTGGCAGGGTCTACTTGCCAACTCCAGCAGCAGGAGGTGGAGCTGGGCCCAGACGGAAATCTGAGCAGATGCATCAAAGCACCCGCCTCGACCCTGTTCCCTACTCCCCAGCAGCTCCACCACGAATGCTGAAGCAAGCCGATTCTCTAACCTGGGGCCTCTTTCCACCACTGACAGATGCATGTCTACCTGTCCAGCCTGCTTTTAGGACTGAATCTGCAGCACGGGTTTCAATAGCCAACAGTATGGCATTTCCATGCCCTAAGATCCGCATTTAAGAACACCCTGCCCCCACCCCTCCCGCTGCCTTCCAAAGCTCAGGTGGCCAGAGATGGTAGCATGCTTGGGCCCCCTCACCCTGCCCTGCAGACACCTTGACTTCATGCAAGTAGCTTCCTAGTGGGCAAACCCCCAACGCACACACACTGGAGGACTGATGGTCAGGGAGCAGGGAGTGAGTCACCGGCAGGACTGGAGGAGGGGAGATGAGTCTCCCGGACTGTGGCTGGTGTCATGTGCTCTCATCACAAGTCCCTCTCACATGCCTATCTTTCCAACCCCACAGAGTTCAGCTGGGACTGAGGAGACCAGCCGAGCCTCAGGTCATTCCTGCAGTTTGGCCTGATGGGTTCCTTGTGTAAGTCTGGCCTTGGCCTTCAGAAGAGCTGAAGGGTCTGCCACAACATGATGGGGTGCAGTGCAGCCGGCTAGCTCGCTCCCCACGGGCACCCACGTGCCCAGCCTGGCAGTGCTGAAGCGGCCTCTTTCACTCACGATTCCCAGCCTGCCTCCTCCCCGAGCTTCCCTGCCCATCTACACACACCTGGCTGTGGCTTGCTGAGGAGACCTGCCCCCAGCAGGTTCACCCTATCCTCTGACATCCTGGTGGTCTGCAGGGCAGGGATCACTGGCCCTGTTTCACAGGTGAGGAAACACAATGCTCTGCAAGAACCCATGCTTGCCAGAGGCCACAGAGCACACTGCTGCCCCACTGGCATCCCCACGCCAGGCTGCTCAGGCCCCTGACATTCAGCTACATGTCACTCTGCTAGGTGGCTCTCAGACACCACCAGGCCTCACGGGCCCACAGGCGCTCATTCAACAACTGAGTGTCCTTGAGGAAAGCGGAGAAGAGGATGGACTTCGGCCTCTGCTCTCCCATTCCAGCGCGGGAGAGAGACCACCACCAAGAAAACAAGCACACAACAGAAGAACATCAGATGGCCATTCACGTAATGAGGAAACAGCAGCCCCAGCAGGCGGAACCCCACTGTGGGAGATGGGAATCCGGATAAGCCTGGGCAGGCTCGAGACCCTCCCTCACAATCCCCCTCCTCCAGATCACCTCATCTCCAGGAATCCCCAAACCCTGGGCCCCTGCAGGGCCTGAGGGAGCGCTCACCCTCAGGTAGACACCCCCCACAGCTCCCACCCAGCTGGGCCACCACTGTAGCCCCAGGGGTGAGGCTCTGCTGAAGGAGACCCCTGCACTGGGGTGCCCCCAGTGCTGCTTCCTCCTCACCCAGGGGCGCTCCTCCATCCCCTGGCCTAGGCAGCGCTCCATCTCTAGCACGGCACAACAGCTTCCGGATAACTGAGTCTCCCCCCTTCAGACCTGTCAGCTCTTCTGTTACCCCTTGGCCTTGGGGTCACGCCACCCTTCCACTAGATCCACAGCTCAAATGACACCCCCTGTCCCTCCCCACAGCTTATGAGATTGATGCCAACAAATCTCCTACCTCTGTTCCAAGACCAAGCAACCCCTCCCTGCAGTCCTCCAGCCCCAGACCCTCTGGGCCTCTCACTTGGGCCTCCCCTTAGACCCACTTTCTGTACCACGATTCCTCTTCACCCTGGCGAACCCTCCACCTCCCACAGCCCCATGGCCAGTGAACCACTCCATCGTCCTCCCCAGCATGGAGCCTAACCCCTGCTCCTTGCTGTTCCCAGGCCCTTGGGTTTTCTGTCCTGCAAATCCCTTTGTCCAAACTCACCAACTTCACCAATGACCCCTCCCCTGCCCAGGCCCAAGATCATCCAACTCCTCACTGCCAAGCCAACTCCTCAAGCCCTCTTCCCAAACAGGATGGACCAATTCTTCCAGTCCAGTCCATGTCATCACCTCTGCAGCTCAGACGCACGGACTCCTCGAGAGTGTGAGTCCCAACCAGACCTTACTGCCCCTCTCTCAACCGCTGGAATGAGAGACTCCCCCAGCCTGGAGAGTGTTACCCACTCTACCCCTTACCCAGGACAGACCAACCGGCACCCCTCCTCTAAACTCCTCCCAGCCAGGCTCCAACTGCCCCTCTTTTCTTGACAGATAGCCTTCTGCCTCTCCAGTTCTTTCACTGCCTCTTCAAGACTGCACGTGAAAACAAACAAACAAACAAAAAACAAATCTGCCTGGATGACAGCTGCTATTTATGTGGCAGAAATTTATGAGGACTATCTTACTTCATCTTCACAACTACCCCATGGTAAAAATTAGCACCTCCATTTGCAGAGAAAGAAACAGAGGCTTGGAGAGGAAAAGTGGCTTACTGAATGAAAGCCAAACCTGTTCTGGGAATCTGCAGACCAGAAACTTTACCCCCCAAAGCCCAATCTGTGCCAGACTCTCTTGCTGCCCTCACCCCTGACCCTTCAGCCCACAAACTGACCATCTTCCCCCTCGCACCTCACTCCAGGCCCACGCATTGACTGCCATCTCTCCCCTCTCCTGGAAGCCTCTGAAGCAGCCACATCCAGGCCCCACCCCATGCATGAACTCCTCCACACCAGCCCAAGATGACCAACACTGTCTTAATAACAATGACTGCCATCGAGAACACTCACCCTGGCCAATTCCTTTCCATATGTGACTTCATCCAGTCCTCTCCTAAATTCCGTGGCAAGAGTATTGCCACCTACTTCACAGATGGGAAGACTGAGGCTCAGGAGTTAGGTAACCAGCCCGAGGTCTCAAAGGATCTGACCTGGAGCCTCTGCTCTTGAAACACCCTGCTCTGCCTCTCCAGGTCTTTCCCCTTCCTGCTCTGGACTGGATATCACGCAATAGCCAGGGGGCATTCTGACTGTGCCCGGGTCCCAAACTAACCACCTATCCCTGGGGCCTAGAGCCCAAGGACTTGGCTGGCTCCTAGTGCCAAAACTCTTTTTTTTTTTTTTTTTTTTAAGACCGGGTCTCTGTCACCCAAGCTGGAGTTCAGTGGCGCAATCACAGTTCACTGCACTATCGACCTCCTGGGCTCAAATGATCCTCCCACTTCAGCCTCCTGAGTTGCTGGGACTACAGGCGTGCACCACCACACCTGGCTAATTTTCGTATATTTTGCAGAGACGCGGTTTCACCTTGTTGCCCAAGCTGGTCTTGAACTCCTGGGCTCAGGTGATCTGCCCACCTTGGCCTGACAAAGTGCTGGGGTTGCAGGCATGAACCATGGCGTCCGGCCCAAAAGTCTTAATTTAACCACTGCCTCTTTAAGAATAACTAGCCAGCCGGGCACGGTGGCTCATGCCGGTAATCCCAGCACTTTGGAAGGCTTAAGTGGGCAGATCACCTGAGGTCGGGAGTTCGAGACCAGCCTGGCCAACATGGTGAAACCCCCAACTCTACTAAAAATACAAACATTTTTAGCCAGGTGTGATGACAGGTGCCTGTAATCCCAGATACTGAGGAGGCTGAGGCAGGAGAATTGGCCTGGGCGACAGAGGGAGACTCCGTCTAAAAAATTATAATAAGTAGCCAAACTGTCATTCATGATGGACTCCCTGTGTGTTCAGTTTCCAGTTACCATGTTTCCCACCCTCACATCAAAGCCACCAATTCCTCCATTGTCCACAGACTGGCAATAGTTTCTCCCCTTGCCCAGGGCCGGCAGATCAGCTTCTACAGAACCACGGCCACCACAGCCAGTCTGATCCCTCACTTCATGGGCTCCACCCCAGGAGAACTGACAGACTTCTCCAGCACAAAATGGACTCAACACTGCCCTGCATGTCCCAAGCGACTTTCCACTTTCCCAGCCCTATGGCTCCAACACACTCCTTTCAGCTCCAACACTGACCTGACCCTCTCCAGTGCGCTGGCCCTCTCTCCCAACACTTCAAGTAGCCAACTTTTTCATCTCTCTCACCTGCTACTGGCCAGCAACTCCAATTTCTGACTTGATAACATCCCCCAATTCTTTTTTTTTTTTTCTTTGAGCCGGAGTTTTGCTCTTGTCACCCAGGCTGGAGTACAATGTCGTGATCTTAGCTCACTGCAACCTCCACCTCCCGGGTTCAAACGATTCTCCCTGCCTCAGCCTCTTGAGTAGATGGGATTACAGGTGTGCACCACTATGCCCGGCCAATTTCTGTATTTTTAGTAGAGACGGGGTTTCCCCATGTTGGCCAGGCTGGTTTTAAACTCCTGACCTCAGGTGATCCACCCACCTTGGCCTCCCAAAGTGCTGGGATTACACGCCTGAGCCAATGCACCCGGCCATCCCCCAATTCTTTCTCAGGAAGGAACAAGAGGACCCTTCCGTAGCCATGTCCCAAACATCCTCTGCTCCTGAATGACTGACAGCCTTCCTTCTGCTTCTCTTTTTTTTGGAGGAGGAGGCGGCGGTAGGCGTTGGCTTTTCTTCTTAATACCACATTGCAGCAGGCGGCGGTGGCTCACACCTGTAATCCCAACACTCTGGGAGGCCAAGGAGGGAGGACAGCTTGAACCCAGAAGTCCGAGACCAGCCTGGGCAATGTAGTGAGACCTTGTCTCAATAAAAAAGAAAACATAAAAACCACACTGCCTCTTTCTCCCTCACCCAACCACAAATTGACCACCACCTCTGCTCCTCTTCTGGGACCTTATCTTGACTCCTTTTTACCAAGTCCTCTATAGCCACAGTCCAAGTTTATAGTCTCCCTCTTTCCAGCCAAGAAAGTGGCCAACACGACCACTCCTTGCCCCAAGGCTTGCAGACCAGCAACTTAACCTCTTTTTACCCCCATAGACCCATCAAACTCTTTCAACTGCCCTTTCAGGCCCAGTGTTGACCCGCTCCTCCTCTCAACTGCTCCTTCTCTCCTTCTCTGGTGGAACTACGAACGCAAAGGCTGCCACACTCTACATCTGACAAAACACCAAACTTTCTTTAATTGCTCATCGTTTTAAACCCTAAAACGATCACCATCTTTGTCTCGGGTGGGTGGGGTGCGGCAGAAACCAGATACTTTTCACCTTCCCAACTCCATAGCCACCCCCTTTCTAACAGACTACGGTTCTAAACTGACGACTGTCCCCTTATTCACCATTAGGTGCAATCTATTGAACGCCACCTCGAGCCGGGCCCTGCACCGATCCCTCCCGACTCCCGGGTCCCTCTCGAGCCCGCCCCCGCTTCACCCGCGGTAGCTACCATGTCTCCAGGGGTCTTTGGGCTCCACTGCTCCAGACACGATATCCTCGTCGGACGGGAATGTGACGCGCTTGGCTGCAGCCTTGAGGCGCCCATCGGCGGGGGGCGACGCGGGGCTGGGAGACCCGGCCTCAGCTGGGGCCTCTTCAATGTCGCCGTCCGCGCCCGGCACGGGCGGCGCCTCCTGCGGCGCGATCTCCATAGCCGCCGCCGCCTCCTCACGGGGGCCCCGGGGACATGCCCCGGGCCCCGGATTTGTCTCTCCGGGTCCGCCCGCCGTCCCGGGGCATGGGCTCCGCCGCCGCTTCAGGCGCCGCCTCCGTCCGCTCTCCTAGTGGTCGTAGTCGTCGCCGCCGGGAGCCCAAGCGCGCCTCCGCCGAGCCCCGCGCGCGCCTGCCCGTTCGCAGTCACACTTTCGCTCGAGGCTGGCGAGCCCGCCGCTTACTATAAGAAGCAGAAAATCGATTTCAGCGACTTGCACGTAGAGTTGTCCCGCGGGTGACATGAAGAGAGAAACAAAGGGCAGGAAGGGCCACGGAAAAAAGAAACGTGAGCAGCGAATCTGCAGAGCCGGAACTGCAGACTATGAGGGGCGGGGCGAAGTAGACGCCGTCTCCAAGAGCAGCGCGCAAGCGCGAAGCTGAGCCCACGCCTTCCTGCCGGAGTCCAAATAACGAATATTCAGCTCCCGCACATTCGTCAAGAGCCCAGGGAATGGAGTGCATAGAACTGAAAACACCTGGCGGGGCGCGGCGGCACACGCCTATAATCCCAGCACTTTGGAAGGCTGAGGCGGGAAGATCGCTTGAGTCCAGGAGTTCGAGACCAGCCTGGGCAACATAGCAAGGCCCCGTCTTTACAAAAAATTTAAAAATTAGCAGGGTCTGGTTACAGGAGCCTGTAGTTCCAGCTACTTGGGAGGTGGGAAGATCGCTTGAGCCCGGTAGGTTGAGGCTGCACTGAGCTATGATCGCGCCCCTGCACTCCGACCTGGTAGACAGAGCCAGACCCTGTCTCAACGAAAGGAAAGAAATGGGCCGGGCGCGGTGGCTCACGCCTGTAATCCCAGCACTTTGGAAGGCCGACACGGGCGGATCACGAGGTTAGGAGATCGAGACCATCCTGGCTAACACGGTGAAACCCCGTCTCTACTAAAAATACAAAAAATTAGCCGGGCGTGGTGGCGGGCGCCTGTAGTCCCAGCTACTCGGGAGCCTGAGGCACGAGAATGGTGTGAACCCGGGAGGCGGAGCTTTTAGTGAGCCGAGATCGTGCCACTGCACTCCAGCCTGGGCGACAGAGCAAGACTCCGTTCCCCCCCCCCCAAAAAAAACAAAGGAAATAAATGAAAACATTGAGGCTAGACTAACTGATGAAGAGTGGTAACGGCATGAAGAAGTCGAAAAGAAAGGCGGATAGGAGCTGCATTCAATATATGAGTGCAGTTGATGGATGCTGACAGGGATACTCTGGAGACGAAGTCTCGGCCCCTTCGCTAGTCTCTAGTCCTCCATTTGCTCGCTGCAGTTACATCAACAGCTCTCTGTATCGGGGTAGAGTTGCATAAAATACAACTTAAATTACAATGCTAAAATAAATATGAGCCCATGAGCGGTATCATAGGCCTGATTTTAAAAAACAAAACCTAGGAGAAGGTAGAAATTCCAAAGGCGAGAGACGAATCTGCCAACCTAAATCCTGGGTGACAAGGCTGGTGGATCACCGAGGCAAGAAAGAACCAGCGTGAGCTCAAGCCACACCCCTAGGCTCAGACCCAACGCTTGACATTCGCCGCCGCACTTTCGCCACGCTTGCCGAAGCGCACCCGGCTAACTAGAGGAGGCGGGGCTGAAACCATAAAAGGGAACTGGGGCGGAGCGAGCTGCGTCGTCGCCAAGGCAACTCGAGAGCTAAGTCCGGGCCTCGGCGGAGCCGGCGCTGCGAATGGACTGATGGCCGCTGAGGCTGCTCCTGGCGCGGTTCATCATCGGCCGCCGCACTTTCGCGACTGAGACGAAACGACACTCACCTTTACTTAATGGAAGGCTTCGCTTACATCCTGAACTTAAAGGAACTACAGAAAGGGACAGAAACTGCTTTCTTTTTAAACAATGCGCTGAAAGGTTACTAGTGATAGGAGGCTTAGTGAAGCGCGTGATGTGAACGGCCACGCTGCAAGGCTGGAGAGAAAAGAGGAGGGAGTGAAGTTGCACCCTGATCGCGAATCCTCGGCCTTTTATCAGGGGCGCCGCCACTCGGGGTCCGACCATTCGCCTCCAACGAGGGGACAGCGAATCTGCTGTCGTGTGCAGTCCACAGCAACCACAGGTGGGGCAACAGGAGGAGCGCTTGGGCACGACCACGTGACCCAGCACGAGCCACCGCCCGCCCCAAAATGAAATCAAATCCTAATCTCCCAATCCCGGCATGCCGGTCACTCCAGCCTTTCCAGGAGACTTGCGGCCGTGCAGCCCCTACACCTTTATCTGGACTCCTGTCGTACTTGGCCCAGCTCCACTGGATTCAGCCCTTGGATAACCACCCTACCAGCCCCTAAAGATGACTCCATCCCCGTCGGTATAGTTAATTAAAGAAAAACAGGAGTCGAATTTTCCTGGGGTAACTGGTTCTTTAGCAGGAGGGGAGCACTGGGGAGTATCTTCAGGGTGGCTGGACTTTGCAGCCTCTTTAATAACTTCCCCCTGTGCAGGTTGTATCCTTTATCACCCCACCCCGATGCCCCGGTCTTCAGGAAATGGCAGCAGGCCCATATTTCTGTAGGGTTCAGAGTTCTGTGAGGTAGAGCATTCCTTCCAATGGGATCTTAGAATTCCTAGAGTTGCAGAATTTTACTGACTAGACCCAGGAGGTCTCAGGAGTCCAGACTTGCTTAAAGCTTGGCTCAAAATTCCAAGGGAGCTCATAACTCCATGGGGCCCAGAGTTCCTGGCTCGGGAACATTGGGAGGCCTGGGATACAGTGCCTTAGCCTCAAGCAGAAAAGTGAACACAATATCTTTATGGCTTGAAGGTATATGAAATAATGTCACTACATCGGAGCAGCGCCTCTGCTTGCACACCTATGGGAGTCTGCAGCTGTGACACGTAGAAGTTGGCCACATCCAGGTCGGTGGCTCCAAAGTGGGCGGCCACACGCACACCCTCGTGCAACGTGAAGCTCACCTGATGACCCACCATGGCCAGCAGGCTGCGGAGGTAACGCTCCCGAAGGGCGGCTCGTGCCCGCTGCTCCTGGGATTCCAGGGATTCTTGAGCTATGGGACACTCCTGGATTTCAGGAACCTCTGGCCTCAAGGGGGCTCTGCGTCCATCAGGGGCAAAGCCACGGCTGAAGCCATCAGGGCCCCGGGGCAGCCGGAGCACAGGCACGGGAATGTTCACTGGAGTTTGCATTGTCTTGGCTGTTGAGTGAAGAAAAAGAGCAGGAAGTCATTACATGGTAAGCATGGGGCTAATGGAGGAGGGAGGAGTGGAAGCAGAGGCTGGTCTACCAGGCAGCTCCACTGCACCTGCCCCAGACTGATCCACCCTCCTAAAATCTGTGCCATCGTCCCCCAATGGCTTGGATCAGAAACAAAAGTGTCACATGCACAAAAACATGAGCCCCGTGAAGGCAAGGACCTTTGTCTGCTTTTATAATGTTTTTATCTCAACTTATAGGCAATAAATATTTGCCAAAAGATGAACCTGGCCAGGCATGGTGGCTCATGCCTGTAATCCCAGCCCTTTGGGAGGCCAAGGCAGGAGGATCACTTTGAAGCTGGGAGTTTGAGACCAGCCTGGGCAATATAGCGAGACCCCATTTCTAAAAATATATATATATATTTTACATTAGCTGGGCTACTCAGGAGGCTGAGGGAGAAGGATTAGTTGAGCCCAGGAGATGGAGGCTGCAGTGAGCTGTAATTGTGCAACTGCACTCCAGCTTGGGTGACAGAGTGAGACACTGTCTCTAAAAAAAAGAATAAACCCCAGCTTTCTCTCACACACAACCCACCCAATCCATCAGGAAATTCTATCTTCTAGATAGATTCCCACTCACACATGAGCTAGCTTGAAAGGGCTCCCAGTGGCCAAATCTGGAATTATTTGAACAATACAATAATGATAGTTACAGATTATAACCCACTGGATAAAACAGAAATCCAGAATCCATACCAATAATAAATAAATGAATAAATAAGGAAGAGAAGGAAAATATAATCCTTACTGTAGACTGGCAAGTAAATAAATATAAAAGGAATAGATGCAAAAATGTGTGGATAGGGCCGGGTGCGGTGGCTCACACCTGTAATCCCAACACTTTGGGAGGCCAAGGTGGGCGAATCACTTGAGGTCAGGAATTCGAGACCAGCCTGGTCAACATGGCGAAACCCCGCCTCTACCAAAAATACAAAAATTAGCCGGGTGTGGTGTCATGCGCCTGTAGTCCCAGCTACTCGGGAGGTTAAGGCAGGAGAATCATTTGAACCCAAAAGGCGGAGGCTGCAGTGAGCAGAGATCGCACCACAGCACTCTAGCCTGGGCGACAGAGTGAGACTCTGTGTCAAAAAAAAGAAAAAAAAAAAAAAGCATGGATGGGAGTTTGATGAAGTATAAGGTATCTACATAGTCTTAACAGACTTATAAGATATTCATTCACTGTAAAGGGCAAACACAAATTTATACTGGAGGAACCTGGTATGCACCCCCTTAACTTAGTGATCAAAGCCAACATCTCCAGGAATGGGACACTAAGAAGGCAGGGCACCACTTCTGTGCTATTCCTTTTCTTTTTTTTTTAAATTTTAAAGAGACAGGGTCTCACTATGTTGCCGAGGCTGGTCTTGAACTTCTGGCCTCAAGTGATCTTCCAGCCTCTGGGCCAAACAAGGACAACAGGGATAGGCATGGTGGCTCATGCCTATAATCCCAGCACCTCAGGAGGCCAAGGTGAGAGGATTGCTTGCGTTCAGGAGTTCAAGAGCAGCCTGGGCAACATGGTAAGACCTCGTCTCTACTAAAAATAAAAAACATTAGCCAGGCTTGACAATGTACTCGTGGAAGTCCCAGCTACTCAGAAGACTGAGGTAAGAGAATCACTGGAGCCCTGGAAGGTTGAAGCTGCAGTGAGCTATGATCGCGCCACTGCACTCCACGCCTGGGCAAGAGTGAGACTTTGTCTTAGAAAAAACAAAAACAAAAACAGCACAACTAACCTGGGCTCTTCAAAAATATTAAAGTCATAAAAGACAAAGAAAGGCTGAGAAAAAAATTGTATAAGGCTGGGAGCAGTGGCTCACACCTGTAATCCCAGCACTTTGGGAGGCCGAGGTGGGCAGATCACTTGAGGTCAGGAGTTCGAGACCAGCCTGGCCAACATGGTGAAACCCCGTCTCTACGAAAAATACAAAAATTAGCCAAGCATCGTGGCGGGCACCTGTAATCCCAGCTACTCAGGAGGCCGAGGCAGGAGAGTCACTTGAACTTGGGAAGCAGAGGTTGCAGTGAGCCGAGATTGTGCCACAGTACTCCAGCCTGGGCGACAGAGCAAGACTCTGTCTCAAAAAAAAAAAAAAAAAAAAATTATATATCTATATATACACACACACACATATTTATTTATTCACAACCTAACACTTCTCACCTCCTCCACTGCCAGCATCCTGCTGCAGCCACAGACACTTCCTGCCTGGAGTACTGTAGTCAACTCCTCACTGGGTCCCTGGCTTCCACCTTCACCCCCCGCCGTCTGCACCCCAACACCCTGTTAATGCCTGAGTCAGATCATATCCCTCCTCTGCTCGGAGCCCTCTTGTGGCTTCTGTCTTAGCTCTGGATCCTGCCGGCACCCTCGTGGTGTACCACGCTTGCTCTCCCCACCCCAGCCACACAGGCCTCCTCGCTGATCCTCAGGCGCGATGCCTGGCAATCCCTTCTTGGGCTCTTGCACTTTCGGTTCCCTGTATCTGCCTGTATCTCCTTTCCCTCCGTGAGTTTCAAGGTGGCCACCTTGCTTTTCCCACTGCTGGATCTCCAGCCCCCAGAAACTGCCTGCCATAGAGACCAATGAGAATTCATGAATGAGCTGGGCATGGCGGCGCATGCCTATAATCCTAGCACTTTAGGGGCTGAGGCTGGAGGATCACTAGAGGTCAGGAGTTCGAGAGCAGCCTGGCCAACATAGTAAAACCCCGTCTGTACTAAAATACAAAAATCAGCCGGACGTGGTGGTGCGTGCCTGTAATCCCAGCTACTTGGGGAGCCTGAGGCATGAGAATCACTTGAACCTGGGAGGCAGAGGTTGCAGTGAGCAGAGATTGTGCCACTGTACTCCAGCCTGGGCAACAGAGCAATACTCTATCTCAAAAACAAACAAACATTGGCTGGGCGCGGTGGCTCACGCCTGTAATCCCAGCACTTTGGGAGGCCAAAGCAGGTGGATCACGAGATCAAGAGTTCAAGACCAGCCTGATCAACATGGTGAAACCCCGTCTCTACTAAGAATACAAAAATTAGCTGGGCATGGTGGCACGTGCCTGTAATCCCAGCTACTCATGAGGCTGAGGCAGGAGAATCGCTTGCACCAGGGAGGCAGGGGTTGCAGTAAGCGGAGATCTCGCCACTGCACTCCAGCCTGGGCGACAGAGCAAGACTCATCTCGAAAAAAACAAACAAACAAAAAACAAAATGAATGAAGAGTGGAGATCCCAGGCCGGTTTAGCTGTGTGACATCAGTAAGAGACAGTTTTCTCTTCCATTGTATGGAAAAATAGCCCCAATTGCTGCCTATGCTGTTATCAGGATTCAACAGGCTCCTGCCAGACAGGGCCTGGCACATTCTAGGTTCTCCATAATAGTGAACTGCTCTTATTGTTAGTATTGCTGTGTGACCTGGGGTAAATGGCTTGACTAATCTGTGCCTCTGTTTCCCCATCTGTAAAACAGAGCCCTAACTCACAGGGCGGGCATGGGGACTAAATTACCTAACTAACCTACCATGTTTGGCACATGTCTGGGACATATGAAGCGCTATGCTATGATGTTGAATGTGTATAGGGAAATGCTGGCCTTGTGGGTGCAGACCTGAGAGAGGAGGACCTAGGTTTTAGCAGCTGCACCACTCCCTGTGGCTTGGTCCTCTCCTCTCTAAACCTAGTGAGGACTAACTGAGCTGAGTGACAAGTGTTGGGTACCCAAGACCCTGGGGCCAGGCACAGAAGGGAGGTGATTGAAATTGTCCTGTTTCTTTTTTTTCCTTTTTTGGAGACAGAGTCTCACTCTGTCACCCAGGCCGGAGTGCAGTGGTGCCACCTCGGCTCACTGCAACCTCCGCCTCCCAGGTTCAAGAGATTCTTGTGTGGCCGGGCGTGGTGGCTCACGCCTGTAATACCAGCACTTTGGGAGGCCAAGGCAGGCGGATCACGAGGTCAGGAGATCGAGACCATCCTGGCTAACAAGGTGAAACCCCATCTCTATTAAAAATACAAAAAATTAGCCGGGCGTGGTGGCAGTCGCCTGTAGTCCCAGCTACTCGGGAGGCTGAGGCAGGAGAATGGCGTGAACCCGGGAGGCGGAGCTTGCAGTGAGCCGAGACCACGCCACTGCACTCCAGCCTGGGCGACAGAGCGAGACTCCGTCTCAAAAAAAAAAAAAAAAAAAAAAGAGATTCTTGTGCCTCAGTCTCCCGAGAAGCTGCGACTACAGACACACACCACCATGCCCAGCTACTTTTTGTATTTTTAGTAGAGACGGGGTTTCACCATGTTGGTCAGGCTGGTCTCGAACTCCTGACCGCAAGTGATCCCCCCCATCTCAGCCTCCCAAAGTGGTGGGATTACAGGCGTGAGCCACTGTGCCTGGACTAACTTGTCCTTTTTCTTATTAGGCTCTTCCTGTCTCTGCACCTGAACTGTGAGCCCCTTGCAAGACAGGACCCTGCAGATAGACCAAGGATGTGAACCAGGGCTACTCAGTCTGGACACTATTGACATTTGGGGCTGGATAATTATCTGCTATGTTGTGGGGGCTGTCCAACGCATAGGTGTAGGGTTTGAGCAGCATCCTAGCCTCTGCCTCCTATTAATAGATGCCAGTAGCATCCCATCTTCAAGTTGTGACAGCCAAAAATGTCACCACTGGTGAACAGTGAATTGGTGAATGTGAATTGCATCTCAATACAGTTTTTTTTTAAAGTCTCCATGAATTGCCAAACGTCTCCTGATGGCCCCAAATGAAACACTGATGCAGACAAACAGGTCACAAAGAGGGAGGAAGGAATAAAGATGGCTATAGAAGACATGAACATAGGCTGGGCACAGTGGCTCCCGCCTGTAAACCCAGAACTTTGGGAGGCCGAGGCAGGCGGATCACCTGAGGTCAGGAGTTTGAGACCAACCTGGTCAACACGGTGAAACCCTGTCTGTACTAAGAAATACAAAAATTAGCCGGGTGTTGGCCGGGCACTGTGGCTCACGCCTGTAATTCCAGCACTTTGAGAGGCCGAGGTGGGCGGATCACCTGAGGTCAGGAGTTCGAGACCAGCCTGACCAACATGGAGAGACCCTGCCTCTACTAAAAATACAAAATTAGCCTGATGGTGCATTTCTGTAATTAGTGGTGGTGCATGCCTGTAATCCCAGCTACTTGGAAGGCTGAAGCAGGAGAATCACTTGAACTCAGGAGGCAGAGGTTGTGGTGAGCCGAGACTGCGCCATTGCGCTCCAGCCTAGGCAACAAGAGTGAAACTCTGTCTCAAAAAATAAATAAATAAATAAAATTAGCTGGGCTGGGCATGGTGGCAGGCTCCTGTAATCCCGCCTACTCAGGAGGCTGAGGCAGGAGACTCTCTTGAACCCGGGAGGCAGAGGTTGCAGTGAGCTGAGATATTGTGCCACTGCACTCCAGTCTGGGTGACAGACTGGGACTCCATCTCAAAAACAAACAAACGCCCCAAAAATTAGCCAGGCATGGTGGCACACACCTGTAATCCCAACTACTCAGGAGGCTGAGGCATAAGAATCGCTTGAACCCGTGAGCCAGAGGCTGCAGTGAGCTGAGGTCATGCCACTGCACTCCAGCCTGGACAACACAGCGAGACTCTGTCTCAAAATAAATAAATAAATAAATAAAATTTTTAATTAATTAATTTTATTTTATTTTATAGAGATGAAGTCGCACTATATTGCCCAGGCTGGTCTCCAACCTGGGCTCAAGTGATCCTCTTGCCTCAGCCTCCCAAAGTGCTGGGATTACAGGTCTAAGCCACCATGCCCAGCCACTAAATTTTAATTTCTTTTTTTTTTTTTTTTTTTTGTGAGATGGAGTCTCGCTCTTGTCGCCCAGGCAGGAGTGCAGTGGCGCGATCTTGGCTCACTACAACGTCCGCCTCCCGGGTTCAAGCGATTCTCGTCACTCAGCCTCCCAAGTAGCTGGGATTACAGGTGCCCGCGACCACGCCCAGCTGATATTTTTATTTTCAGTAGAGACGGGGTTTCCCCATGTTGGCCAGGCTGGTCTTGAACTCCTTACCTCAGGTGATCCACCCGCCTTGGCCTCCCAAAGTGCTAGTATTACAGGCGTGAGCCACCGTGCCCGGCCTAAATTTTAATTTCAGAAAGCAAGAAGCAGCTGGGCACGAGGTGGCTCACACCTGTAATTCCAGAACTTTGGGAGGCTGAGGCAGGTGGATCACTTGAGCCCAGGAATTTGAGACCAGCTTGGGCAACATAGCAAAATCTCGTCTCCAGAAAAATAGAAAAATTAGCTGGGCAAAGGGTGCGCTCCTGTAGTCCCAGCTACTCAGGAGGCTGAGGTGGGAAGATCTAGTGAGCCGGAGGAGGCTGAGGCTGCAGTGAGATGTGATTGCACCACTGCACTCCAGCCTGGGAAGAGTGAGACCCTGTCTCAAACAAAAAAAAAAAAAAAAAGAAGAAGAATTGGAAAAGAAAATGTGAAAAAGAGCTCTCCCTGGGAGGCATCTAAACCTCATCACCCACTCTGCATAATTAGCTGCCAAATCTTACTGATCTCACATGCCCATAGGTGGCCCAAATAGAATCCTCCTTGGCAAAATTGTTTTGGGGATGGAGTCTCACTCTATCCCCCAGGCTGGAGTGCAGTGGTGCAATCTTGGCTCATTGCAACCTCTGCCTCCTGGGTTCAAGCAATTCTCCTGCCTCAGCCTCCTGAGTAGCTGGGATTACAGGTGCGCGCCACCATGCCTGGCTAATTTTTGTATTTTAGTAGAGACAGGGTTTCACCATGTTGGCCAGGCTGGTCTACATCTCCTGGTCTCAGGTGACCCACCCCCAGTTCAGCTTCCCAAAGTGCCGGGATTACAGGCGTGAGCTACCGCGCCCAGCGGGCAACATATTTTCAATTTTAACTTTATTTTATTTTTCTTCTTGGCAAAATACGTAGCAGAGGTCTGCGAACCTTCTCTGTAAGTATTTTACTGTCACTGCTCAACTCTGCCACAGTAGCACAACAGCAGCCATAGACAATATGGAAACAAATGAACATGGCTGTTCTCCAACAAAACCTTACTTACTGGGACACTGAAATTTGAATTTTATATCATTTTTATGCACCAAAGAAAAGTTTTCTAGCCAGGTGCGGTGGCTCACAACTATAATCCCAGCACCTTGGGAGACTGAGGCTGGAGAATTGCTTTAGCGTAGGAGTTCAAGACCAGCCTGAGCAATATAGCAAAACCCCATCTCTACAAAAAAAAAAAAAAATTAGCTGGGCATGGGTAGTGTGCGACTAGAGTCCCAGCTACTAAGGAGACCGAGGTGAGGGGATCGCTTGAGCCTGGTAGGTGGAGGCTGCAGTGAGCCATAACTGTGCCACTGTACTCCAGCCTGGGTGACAGAGTATGAGACCCTGTCTCAAAAAAAAAAAAATTCACTCATCCACATTATCTAGCATTGTTAGCACATCATCTGAGTGCCTGCTCTGTGCATGACCCACATTGGGCGGTCTTGGAAACACGTCTAGGACTGAGAGCCCAGTTCCGCCTTTGTGGGCTCACAGTCCAATAGGGGACACAGACCTGTCCTTAGGCAGTGATGACCCAAAGTGAGTAGGGCTGGAATGAAGGAGTCCAGAGGAGACACCTGACCCAGCCTGGGGGATAGAGGGTAGTTTCAAGGGAGCCCAGGAAAGATCCCTATGATAAGATTACGTTTGAGCATAGACCTGAATGAAATTAGGAATGGAGCCATGTGGAGATTCCAGTCAGAAGGAAGAGCAAAATGCAAAGATCATGGAAAGGGTGGCTTTGGGGCGTAGCAAGGCCAGTGTGGAGGAGGTGGGGGCAGGGACAGAGAGAGTGCCTTGTGGGCTGTGATGACAATTTGGGTCTCTACTCTGAGACTGAAGCCACTGGACAGTTCTGAGTGAAGGATGGGCAGAATCTGGCTTAAGGTCCTCAGGATCCTCTGCCTGCTGCATGGACAATAAACGAGATTGAAGGGAGACACTAGGAACGCAATGAGGAGGTCACTGTAGTGGTCCAGGTGGAAGAAGATGGCGTCTAGTATGGGCTGGGGACAATGGGAATGGGGAGAAGTGGTCAGATTAGGCTATGTTTGAAAGGTCGAGGCTGGGCGCAGTAGGTCACGCCTGTAATCCCAGCACTTTTGAAGGCTGAGGTGGGTAGATCGCCTGAGGTCAGGATGAGACCAGCCTGGTCAACATGGTGAAACCTCTCTCTACTAAAAATACAAAAGTTAGCTGGGTGTGGTGGTGCGTGCCTGTAATCCCAGCTACTCGGGAGGCTGAGGCAGAAGAATCGCTTGAACCCGGGAAGCGGAGGTTGAAGTGAGCGGAGATCGTGCCATTGCATTCCAGCATGGATGACAGAGTGAGACTCCATCTCAAAACAACAAAAACAAACAAAAAAAGAAAGGTCAAGAGCCCTCGGTGATGGACAGGATAAGGGATATATAATTTGAGGGAAAGAGCAGCCAAGGGAGACTCCAAGGTTTTTTTTTTTTTTCCTGACAGGGAAGACCACGTGAATGGAATTAAGGGATAGTTGCATTTTCTAATTTTTTTTTTTTTTTTAAGACGGAGTCTCACTCTTGTCGCCCAGGCTGGAGTACAGTGGCATGATCTCAACTCACTGCAACCTCCGCCTCCCGGGTTCAAGCAATTCTCCTGCCTCAGCCTCCCAAGTAACTAGGACTACAGGCGCGCACCACTGCACATGGCTAATTTTGTATTTTTAGTAGAGACGCGGTTTGGCCACGTTGGCCAGGCTGGTCTCAAACTCCTGATCTGCCTGCTTCAGCCTCCCAAAGTGCTGGGATTACAGGCATGAGCCACCGTGCCCGGCCTTGCATTTTCTAATTTTTTAAAAAGCACATTTACTTATTTATTTACTTTGAGGTGAGGTCTCGCTGTATTGCCCACGCTAATCTTGAACTCCTGGACTCAAGATATCCTCCCACCTCAGCCTTCCGAGAAGCTGGGATTACAGGCCCACGCCAACACGCCCTACTTGCATTTTTTATTTTCTCTGACCACTGTCACTCCAATTTAGTCAGGCCTCACCAGCCCCCAGGGTCTTTCCTGAGCCTAGATTAACACTTGAGTTTCAAGAGAAACCCCCTAGTCTCTAGGGTGAGTACTTACTAAATGACTTAGATAGGATTAGAGTGGCCAAAGAATTCTGTTAAATCCCTGGATAAAATGAAATTAAGGGAGGGCCAGTATAGGGCCTTGTTTTCTCCATCAGGAAAAAAAAAAAAAAAAACAAAAAACAAGGGAGATTTGGTCATATTGATGCAATCCCCATTTTTGTAAAGTGGCCAGTGAAGCTGGCAGGTCAAATCTTTCCTCGGGCTGGGTGCAGTGGTTCACACCTGTAATCCCAGCACTTTGGGAGACTGAGGGAGGCAGATCACCTGATGTCAGGAGTTTAAGACCAGCCTGGCTAACATGGTGAAACCCTATCTCTACTAAAAATACAAAAAAAATTAGCTGGATGTGGTGGCACGCATCTGTAATCCCAGCTACGCAGGAGGCTGAGGCAGGAGAATCCCTTGAACCAGGGAGACGGAGGTTGCAGTGAGCGGAGATCACGCCTCTGCACCCCAGCCTGGGCCACAGAGTGAGACTCTGTTTCAAAAAAAAAAAAAAAAAAATCATTTCCTTGGTGCAAGCTGGAGGGTGGAGGAAGAGGGAGCAAACTCTGGTCCTCACCCGTGCCCCATGTAGAAAGGCAGACTGTGGAGCCAAGGTGTGACCTGATAAGAAACTGGTTTAAGAAAGATCACACAGGGTGTGCCCAGGAGGGTAGAGGCAGGCGTTATCCATTGTCCCTGGTGACCTGGCCCCAGAGGCCTTTATCCTTTCAGTCTCCAAGGCAAGGATTTCCGAAGGTTTCAGGGAAAAATGCCCAAGCCCATCCCCCACGACTTGAAAAACTAGTCTGTTAGATTCAAGAGCCCAACACTTAGGTCAATGGCAGGGGCAGGGGTTTCACAGACCTCCCTCCTGGTGGCCCCGGTGCTCCAGAGAGGAGATCAGCTCAGTGGACAAACATTTGGCCAACTCTTCACAATTGCCAGGGTGTGGAACCAGCTGAGTTGTCAACAGAGAAGCCGCCAGACCTAATTAATTAACCAAGGTGTTGACGTGTCCACAGACACACACACACATACAGACATCATCGGCTGCTGAATCTTGATGCAAATTAGCTAAATGGGGCCACCCGAGAGGGTCAGAACCCCAAGCACAGAATCTCTCCCCTCCCCTTCTCCCCTGGGGCCGGTCAGTTTCCTTTCAATTCCGCCCTGACCACCCATTGCTCTCCTTTTCTTATACTAAGTAGGTCCTCCCGGCCCCCAGGCGTCCACTCCCCACACCGCCCTGGGCGTTCGGACTGGACCTTCTTCCCACCTCCAGGCTCAGACTGAGCGAGCGATTCCGCTCCAGGTAAAGCGGGATGACTGCCACCGATGCTTCTGTTATCGTGGCCATTTATTATTTTCCGGAGGGGAAGTTTTTCTCCTTCTCCCTTCTCCTCACCCCACCCGCGTGGGGCATTCCCGCTGCCGGCGATCGGGATCAAACAGTCCCTGATAGGAGCGTCTGGGGACCAGAACGTCCCTCCAGCCGGCGCTGCAGGCGCGGTCCTACCTCTTTCCGTCACTCAGGGCGTTGCACTGGGGTGAGCGTCCAGAGCTGGGGCCGGGGAGAGGGAACCTGCTGGCGACCCCCCACCACCTTGTACTCACCGAGGTCCGCGGCTACTGGTGTCCCCACTTCCGCCGGCGCCCCCGCTGCAGAGGCCCGGGCAGGCCGCAAGCCGCGGAGCCTGGGTTCCGCCCGCGCCGCCGCCACTGCCCCACGTGGTCGCGGGCTGGCTCGCAGGCTTGGAAGCCAGCACAGCCCGGGTCGCCACCTGGCCCGCGGCTTTGCGGGGCACTTGGGACCGATCTTCCTGCCTGCGAGTTGGGGGCGTCTGGGATGCCCATTTTAGGCAGGAAGAAACTGAGGTTCAGAGAGGGGAAGACTTCCTCCCTGCTGGGTTAAGGGCAGAGCTCGGTCTTTGCATCCCCATCCCCCTACACATACCCACTCCTAACCCCTTGCTTCCAGTGGGAACCCCCGCTCCTCTACAGGAAACCTGGAGATCATGGTTTCAGATGCCGCATACTAAGAAAGTAGCTGGGCTGGATCAGAGGCGGTCATTTTGTCCTCCAGCTCTCCCTGCAGTCCCATTTTACAAAGGGGGAAACTGAGGCCTTGAATGGGGAATATGAACCTCCCTATTCCAGGCCCAGTCAGAATTCACTTTCTCCTTGCGGGGTCCTCTTTACGCAGGGATCCTGTGGGCCTTTGCTTTCCACTAGATCACCAAGGCCTAGTGCCAGGTACACAATTTGGTGCTCTGCAAATATCTGTTGAAAGAATATCATCAGACACATAGTAGGTGCGCAATAAATATTTGTTGACTTAACTATGAACGAGTAGGGGTTGTATTTATGAACAAGACAGACTCCCATCCTGCCTCCTAGAACCTACGTTCTAGTGGGGGTAGAAGGGACAGAATAGGGTAAAATGAGCAAATATGTAAACAAGATCCTTCAGGGTTTGATCAAAGTGATGTATAAAGAATAAAATAGGCCGGGCACGGTGGCTCACGCCTGTAATTCCAGCACTTTGGGAGGCTGAGGCGGGTGGATCACCTGAGGTCAGGAGTTCGAGACCAGCCTGGCCAACATGGTGAAACCCTGTCTCTACTAAAAATAGAAAAATTAGCCGGGCATCTGTAATCCCAGCTACTCCGGAGGCTCAGGCAGGAGAATCACTTGAACCCGGGAGGCGGAGGTTGCAGTGAGCTGAGGTCGTGCCACTGCACTCCAGCCTGGGCAACAAGAGTGAAACTCCATCTCAAAAAAAAAAAAAAAAAAAAAGAGTAAAATAAGGGCAATGGGATAGTGGGTGGCTGGGTTGCCATGGAACTTAAAATTGGGTGGTCTGAGGCTGAGTGCAGTGTCTCACACCTGTAATCTCAGCACTTTGGGATGCTGAAGCAGGAGGAGCGCTTCAAGCCAAGAGTTTCAGACCAACCAGGGCAACAAAGCGAGTCCCTGTCTCTATTTAAAAATAATTTTTTTTGAAAAATTAAAAATTACAAAAAAAAAAAGGGTGATCAGAGGAGGCGGCAGTGAAGAAGAAACCACCTCAGATAACCCTCTAGTTCCAACCTGCCCTACCTCCTTTGACAGATGGAGAAAGTGAGATCCAAGAGGGAACTGGGGACAGATGGAGGTCATGGAGTGTAATTTGCAAGGCCTTCAGCAGGGTGGGGCTACTTTAGATACTGTTGGTCAGGGCCCTCTGCTCTCAGGAGGACAATGGAACCCAGACCTGAATAACAATGTGCAGAACTCCAAGAGATCAGCATCTGAAATCAGCATCTGGGCTGAGGACAGCTGGGGGAGGACAGGTTCTTGCCCTGACCTCAGGGGGCTTGCATTGGGTGGGGGAGAGGACAGTCCACAAGCCGTTCTATACTGTCGTGCAGTCGGTGCCAGGAAGAAAAGAATACTCATCAGGGATTGAGGGTGGGGCAGGGTGTCGATGCCACTTCAAACAGTGAGCAGACAGAACTGCTTAGGGGAGGGAAGTTCAAGGAGGCGGAGTGGAGGCAGGTGAGCTGCTTGGCTATTTGGTTTTAATGGCGACTTCTGGTCTAGGAACAGAGTCGATGTGTATGATTACAGTCCTCCTCTGCTCAAAACCCTCCTAAGGCTCCGGTCTCAGGAAAACCAAAAGACCTTAAAGCGATCAAAAGATTGCTTGGATCTGCCCCCATATTTTCACTGAACTCAATCCCCAACCCGTATTGCCTCTCCCTTTCCTTGTAATTCCTCAATGCCCAGGCCCACTGGCTGGGCTTCCTTCCCTCCAGCCTCAGCTCCACCATGCCCTTTCCCATCATAGGGGAGAAAATTGAATCCCTCAACCCCAGTAACCCTCTCCGCCTTTCCAGCTTTCTTTTGCTCCATGGCACTGGTCATCATGAAGGGCCATCTATATTTTACGTAATTATGTTTATAGTGTCTTCCCCCACCGTCTGAACTCCGTGCAAACAAAGATTATCTTCTGTTTATTCCCTCCTGTATTCTCAGGGCTTCAAACAGAGCCTGGCGCACAGGAGGCACTCAGTGAATGCTTGCAAAATGAATTTTTATTGTAATGCATTTAATGAAATAGCCCAGATTACTATCAGGCACCTAATAAGAAACGTGACCGACTATTTTTCTCGCTTGGGGGTGCGTGTGGGCATGCCGTGTCTCAGTTTCACCCGCCCTAAAACGGGATCAGGGATAGCTGTTTCAATGCCTTGTGGGAACTCGGTGTGATTAAATTTGGTCACTAAGCCAAACGCACGGGACACTGCCTAGATTGAGTTAGGCCGCCGTCAGGGCCCCAGCAGGGCGGCTCGGTCCCCTCCCATGAGCCCCGCCCTGGTAGGCGGAGCCACGGGCCCGGCCAGCACGTGTAAGAGTTCGCGGCGGGTCGCCGCAGTCACTCACCTGAGCGCGCACGGTCCGCGCGTCCTCCGCTCGTGCGTCCTCCGCCCGCCCGCCTGCCTGCCTGCCCGCCCGCTCGCTCGCCCGGCCCGCGACTCATGTCCCGCCGCAAGGCCGGCAGCGCGCCCCGCCGAGTAGAGCCCGCGCCCGCCGCCAACCCAGACGACGAGATGGAAATGCAGGACCTCGTCATCGAACTCAAGCCCGAGCCAGACGCGCAGCCCCAACAGGCCCCAAGGCTGGGGCCCTTCTCCCCGAAGGAGGTGTCCTCGGCGGGGCGGTTCGGCGGCGAACCCCACCACTCCCCTGGCCCCATGCCCGCCGGGGCCGCCCTCCTCGCCCTCGGCCCGCGGAACCCGTGGACCCTGTGGACGCCGTTGACCCCGAACTATCCCGGTGAGCACCCCGGGCCCTGGGCCCAGCCTCCCTTACCTTTGACCCTCGGGTGGGACCCTTCCCTTTGGGCATGGGCCCCTCGCCCTGCCTTATCTCCTTCGCCCCGTCCTGCCCCTCAGGCCCCCTTCTGACCTTCGGTTTCCCCTCTCCTTCAGCACCCTCAGCCCCCATCCTGGCCCCACCCCACGCTCACCACCCGCTTCCTCCCTGCAGACCGCCAGCCCTGGACCGACAAACACCCAGATCTGTTGACCTGCGGCCGCTGCCTGCAGACCTTCCCGTTGGAGGCCATCACTGCCTTCATGGACCACAAGAAGCTGGGCTGTCAGCTCTTCAGAGGCCCCAGCCGCGGCCAGGGCTCAGGTGAGTAAAGCCGGGTGCAGTCCCCCTCTCAAGTTCGAGGGCTGGGCTTCCTGCTGGAAAGGGGCTGGGCTGGACGGCAGGGCACTGAGCACTACTTCCCCTTTCTCGCTCCCCATCGGGTGCAGCCTAGGCGTGGCCAGGGCCTGCCCGTCCTAGGGCAGGGACCAGTGGTGGCGGTGGAGGGGGGGCGGGGGGGGACTGGGCAGGGAAGGAGGGCCGCCTACAGGGTGTGGCCAGCCCCAGAAGACTAGCCCGGGATTTTGCCCCCCCCAACACACACCCCAACCTGGTTTCACTTCTCCTTCCCCTTGGCCAGAAATAACTGGCCAGGTGGCTGGACCAGGGTGGCAGTAGGAGGGGACCTCTAGGGAGGGCAGCGGCCGGGGGGAGGGGGAGTGGAGGCCAGCTGGAATGGGGAGGTTGCCACCCCCTCCTGTCTCTCTCTGTCAATTCTGATTGAGGTGCTAGTACAGCTGAGTGTTCAGAGCCAAGGAAGGGGCTTCTGGCTTCCCTCGGTGATGGAATCTCCCAGCCCCGCGTGCTGGGAATCCCCTGGTTTGAGCGAGCTCCCGGGTGCTGGACACCCGGGTTCCTTCTCTTGGGAGGGAATTAAAAGCCTTCACATGGGGCTTGACCCTCGGTGAGCTTTTGGTCAGTGTTGGCTGCAGGGCTTAATCCAAACCTAGTTTCCAGCCCCCTGGCCCTTGCCCTTCTGAGACTTTTGAGAAGTGGAATTATTTAGGGTTGGGCCAGGGAGGGTCTGGTGGTGGGAAAGAGGAGGGGCTTGTGACTGATTGAATCAGCTTTAGAGCTGGAGCATGGAGAGTGGCCTGGAGGAGCGAGCGAGGGGCTGTGATGGAATCGCTGGAACAAAACACTACAGGGCTTGGAGAATCATGGGCACCTTGGTTTCACAGGCTCTGCTGTTTGAGCGCTTATGTGGACCAAAGCTCTCAACCATTCCCCAAGCGAGGTCACAACCACCCTTGAAAGGGAGGGGATCTCTAGGGTCCCTGAATTCTAGCAACTGAGGCACACAGAGGACTATGTCTTGCCCAAGGTCACACAATTAGGGAGCAGAGAAGTCTGAATTTGAATGCAGGCCTGTGCTCTTGACCCAGGACTGGTTGTATCACAAAGGTTGTCCCATCCAAGACTCTAGAATTTGAAAAATGGAAAGGCTAGTTCACCTAGGAAGTGTCCACTGAGAGTACCCCGAAGGTCCAGATAGAAATCCAAATTCAGGTTTGGGGGCTCAATTTGAGATCCATGCAGAGGGTGGGGGACCCAGGTCACTACCACCTCTTTACTAGGTGGCCGCTAAGCTTTCTCTGTAGCTACCCCATTATTTTGAGGTGGAGTCTTACTCTGTCACCCAGGCTGGAGTGCTGTGGTGCAATCTCAGCTCACTGCAACCTCCGCCTCCCAGGTTCAAGTGATTCTCCTGCCTCAGCCCTCCAAGTAGCTGGGACTACAGGCGTGCACCACCATGGCCAGCTAATTTTTGTATTTTTGGTAGAGACAGGGTTTCACCATGTTGACCAGGCTGGTGTCTCAAACTCCTGACCTCAGGTGGTCCACCTGCCTTGGCCTCCTGAAGTGCTGGGATTACAGGCATGAGCCACCATGCCCAGATATCTCAATTACTTTAAAAATTATTTTTATTAAACCAAAAAAAATTTTTTTTTTTGAAACAGAGTCTCGCTTTTGTCACCCAGGCTGGAGTGCAGTGGTGGGATCTCGGCTCACTGCAACCTCCGCCTCCTGGGTTCAAGCGATTCTCCTGCCTTAACCTCCCAAGTGGCCGGGATTACAGGCGCGCACCACCACACCCGGCTATTTTTTATTTTTACTAGAGACAGGGTTTCATCATGTTGGCCAGGCTGGTCTCAAATCCCTGACCTCAAGAGATCAACCCGCCTCAGCCTCCCAAAGTGCTGGGATGACAGGTGTGAGCCACCGTGCCCGGCCTAAACCAAAAATCTTATTCAAAAGCCTCTGCTCCCAGCCAGGTATGGTGGCTCACGCCTATAATCCCAGCACTTTGAGGGGCTGAGGCGGAAGGATTACTTGAGGCCATTAAGTTAAAGAATAGCCTGGGCGGCCGGGTGCGGTGGCTCAAACCTGTAATCCCAGCACTTTGGGAGGCTGAGGCGGGCAGATCATGAGGTCAGGAGATCGCGACCATCCTGGCTAACACGGTGAAACCCTGTGGCGTGGTGGCTGAGGCAGGAGAATGGCGTGAACCCCGGAGGCAGAGCTTGCAGTGAGCCGAGATCGCGCCACTGCACTGCAGCCTGGGCGACAGAGCAAGGCTCCGTCTCAAAAAAAAAAAAAAATAGCCTGGGCAACATAGCAGGACCCCATCTCTTTAAAAAATACTAAATTAAAAATTTAAAGCAAAAAAAAAAAAGCAAGCAAGCCTCTGTTCTGCCCTCTCCCCCTCCCCCAGTAGTCTGGATTGAAATCCCAGCTTCACCCCTTCCAAGCTGTGCAACCCTGGGGAAATGCCTCTCTGTGCCTCAGTTCTCCTGTCTGGAAAATGGAGATCTTATTTTCCTGTCCTGAGGGAAAGCCGGGCTATGAGCCATGGCTCAGCACCTAGCATGTAGGAAGCGCTTACTGAGTTAACATAACTTTTTAAAAGATTTTCAAACACATGGCCCAGCACAGTGGCTCATGCCTATAATCCCAGCACTTTGGGAGGCCGAGGTGGGTGGATCACTTGAGGCCAAGAGTTCGAGACCAGCCTGGCCAACACGGTGAAACCCCCATCTCTACTAATTAGCCAGGCATGGTGGCGGGCGCCTGTAATCCCAGCTACTCTAGAGGCTGAGGCATGAGAATAGCTTGAATCCAGGAGGTGGAGGTTGCAGTGAGCTGAGATCGTGCCACTGCACCCCAGCCTGGGCGACAGTGAGACTGTCTAAAAAAAAATGTTTTCAGGTACTTAGCACCCACTCCACAGATTTTTCGTGTCCACCCCTCCTCTGAGCGTCAGCTTCCTGGTCCTTCCAGGGTGTGTGTGTCTTGTTACTGCCAAGTCCTTTGCCCCTGCAGGAGTGCCTATCCCACAGAAGGTGTCCAGCTGGCAGCTGTCCGCACTAACACTCTGCCTCTTTTTCTTACCAGAACGAGAGGAGCTGAAGGCCTTGAGCTGCCTGCGCTGTGGCAAACAGTTCACAGTGGCCTGGAAGCTGCTGCGTCACGCCCAGTGGGACCACGGACTGTCCATCTACCAGACAGAATCAGAGGCCCCGGAGGCCCCGCTCCTGGGCCTGGCCGAGGTGGCTGCAGCCGTGTCGGCAGTGGTGGGGCCAGCAGCTGAGGCCAAGAGCCCCCGTGCAAGTGGCAGCGGCCTCACCCGGCGGAGCCCCACCTGTCCTGTGTGCAAGAAGACCCTCAGCTCCTTCAGCAACCTCAAAGTGCACATGCGCTCACACACAGGCGAGCGGCCCTATGCTTGCGACCAGTGTCCCTACGCCTGCGCCCAGAGCAGCAAGCTCAACCGCCACAAGAAGACCCACCGGCAGGTGCCGCCCCAGAGCCCCCTCATGGCCGACACCAGCCAGGAGCAGGCCTCTGCAGCCCCTCCGGAGCCGGCTGTCCATGCTGCTGCCCCCACCAGCACCCTTCCATGCAGCGGTGGTGAGGGGGCTGGAGCCGCCGCCACAGCAGGTGTCCAGGAACCCGGGGCTCCTGGCAGTGGGGCTCAAGCCGGCCCTGGTGGAGACACTTGGGGAGCCATCACCACGGAACAAAGAACTGACCCTGCAAACAGCCAGAAGGCATCACCCAAAAAGATGCCCAAGTCAGGGGGCAAGAGCCGCGGGCCCGGGGGCAGCTGTGAGTTCTGCGGGAAGCATTTTACCAACAGCAGCAACCTGACGGTGCACCGGCGCTCACACACCGGGGAGCGCCCCTACACCTGTGAGTTCTGCAACTACGCCTGCGCCCAGAGCAGTAAGCTCAACCGCCACCGCCGCATGCACGGCATGACGCCTGGCAGCACCCGCTTCGAGTGCCCCCACTGCCATGTGCCCTTCGGCCTGCGAGCCACCCTGGACAAACACCTGCGGCAGAAGCACCCTGAGGCGGCCGGCGAGGCCTGAGCCCAGGAAAGCCCCCCTCACTGTCCCTGGTACCGCTGCCAACACCCATTGACCTCCTCGTTTTTGCCCGCCTTCTCCAAGTAAATTTTCCCTTTTATTTACACCCGTCTGGACTCTGGCTTTCTTGGGGTGCATGAGGTGGGGCAGGAGGCTTCCCCTCCGTGGGGTGGACGGCTGGACAGACCGGTTTGGAGTGAGGGGGTGAGGGAACGGCCAGCCCCCAGTGCCTGGGGCGCAGCAGGACTGGCACAGAAAGCTGCGCTCCCAGTTCCTAGTGCGGGCGAGGCCAGGGCAGGGGCTGAGGCGAGGGCGGGGAGAGGCCCGGACCTGTCGCCAGAGGCCCTGGGCAAAGGGGCCCATGTGGGACATGCTGGGCCGACACCCTATGTCCACATCTGCGGGCAGGTCTGGGCCCTCTCCCTTGGGACTGTGCCCTGGCCTCCTGAGCAGGCCTCACTGAGCCATGGCAGGTTCTGATGAACAGGGGCCTGCCACTTAGCCATCAGATGGGGGCAAGATGTCCCACACAGGCAGCACTGGCATCTGGCCTGTAAACCCAAGCGCCCTCCCAGCTGGCTCTGCTGGCCCATGGGCCCTGGGGTGGGAGAGCCCTGCACCAACCACACAGATGACACTGAGACAGGTGACGGGAATTAAATAACTTTTGACTTTATTTCACTAGAGATAAAACCAGCAGCATCACAGCTTGAGCCCCTTACCCACCCCCTTGTCCTCCCCACCCCCCACTCTTCTGCCTAATGTCGGTAATGGGGGCTTCGGGATCGGGACCTTGAGCGCCTGGAAAGAGAAAGGGAGGGGCCGTGAGGATGGGGCATACACACATCAACACACCTGGGGCCGTGGATGCTTCAGTGATCGGGGCACTTGTCTGTGGAGGGAAGGATGTTCCCCAAGGGATGAGACCAGCCCCTCCAACTGGAGGTGGGTACAGGGTGAGGCTGGAGGAATGACAGCCAGGACCTCCCATCAAAGGACAAGTGTTACTTCCAAGAAAGTGGAGGGTCATGGGCTTCCTTACCTTCGAGAAGAGCTGTATTCTCGACCTGGAAAGAAAACAACAGGTGAAGAGCGAGCAAACATCCAGGGCCAGGGCCTCTTCCTTGACCTGGGGTGAGGTCCTCAAAACTGAACTTCAGGGGTTGTCTCCAAATGAGGGGACATTTCCAGAGAGTCCAGTGGCTGCCATCTGTGCCCCTCACCAGCCCATGCCGGAATGAGCACTTCTAATTGCTGCAATCACCTTGTGACTAAAGCAATCTGTGTGTGTGTGTGTGTACGTATGTGTGTCACCATGTTGGTCAGGCTGGTCTCGAACTCCTGACCTCAGGTGATTGATCCACCCACCTCAGCCTCCCAAAGTGCTGGGATTACAGGCGTGAGCCACCGCGCCCGGCTGTACTATGGTTTTTTTGGTAACCCTGCTTGACACTTTTCTTTAAAGCCCCAGAGCCCTGCAGCCTGGTGGGGACACTCACTGTATCGGGGGGAGGGTGAGCGGCTCTGCCGGCTGTACTGGCGTTCCCACTCTTCTCTCTCCTTCTCTCGGCGTTCCCGCTCCCTGCGAAGGCATGGCATGAGCATCTGGCCGGGAACACTGGACACACTGAACTCAGGGAGGGCAGGTGCTTCCAACACCCTACTCCGAGGAAGACAGTAAACCAAGGGGGCCGGTACTGCCACCAATCCCCGCTTGGAAAGGGAGCCCCAGGTTCAGAGGGACCCCAGCTGGCGGGGCTGACTGGAATCCCAGCCCCTTCCTAGGAAAGCCTGGGGAACAGAGGGAGGCAGGATAGTCCCATCATTTCCTGCCGCACTGGGGCACCTGCACACAGTGAGTGTTGAAATGGTCTCCGTCACAGTGGCCAGGCTTGGCAACCCAATGGCTACGTCTACTGGGTGCCTCCTCCGTGCCTGGCCTTGATCTTGTCAAATCCTCCCAACAGCCTGTGAGGTGGGACAGTGACTGTATCTCCATTTAGGAGATAAGCAAACTGAGGCTGGGACAGGAGAAAGACCCATGGCGGTGGGTGAGTGGGGAAGGGGTATCAGGAACAGCTTGCCAGGCCAAAAAAACAGCAAAGGTGACTGGCACTTGGAGGCTGGAAGAGCTGGGAGGAGGTCGCGGTGGCGGGAGGCAGGTCGAAATGGTGGGAGGAAATTCAGGGAGAGGAGCAAGAGAGGCAGCTGGGCACAGCCCCGAGGGCCAGGCAGGGATCTCTGCCTTTCATCCACCCACAGGGAGCTGGGCAGGGCTTGAGCCAGCAGCCCATGGTGGGAAGGCCAGGCAGGCCAGGAGGTGTGGCCATGGGACAGGGAGGGGCAAGGTCTTACTTCATGCGGATCTTGCGGGCCATGGCTCGAAGCTCGTCTTCCCGCTCCTGCAGCAGACAGGGCTATGAGGACGTGGCCAGGCCAGCACCCACCCGTCACCCCAGCCCTCCCTTTCCCACTTCACCTGCCGCTCATGCTCCTGCTGGATCATCTTTTCTTGTGCCGCCTTCTTATCCGCCTTGACTGTAGAGAGAAAGAACAGGGTGGCTGAGGGGTTCCCTTAAGAGCCCCACTCTCTTTTTTCTTTTTTTTTTTTTTTGAGACAGAGTCTCGCTCTGTCGCCCAGGCTGGAGTGCAGTGGCGTGATCTTGGCTCACTGCAGGCTCCGCCCCCCGGGTTCGCGCCATCTCCTGCCTCAGCCTCCTGAGTAGCTGGGACTACAGGCGCCCACCAACATGCCTGGCTAATTTTTTGTAGTTTTAGAGAGACGGGGTTTCACCGTGTTAATGGTCTCGATCTCCTGACCTCGTGATCCGCCCACCTCGGCCTCCCAAAGTGCTGGGATTACAGGTGTGAGCCACCGTGCCCGCTAAGAGCCCCACTCTCTAAAATGAGGAAGCTGAGCTCAGACAGGTCAACCTGACTGCAGAGGCCCCAGCATAGCGGCAGCGGAGCTGATGCAAACCCATTCCTCCCCAGAGCACCTCCGTGCCTGCGTGGCCTCTCTAGGGAAGGGCCAGGCCTCCCAAAGTGGTGCTGAGTCTCCTTGCTCCCACTGCCAAGGGAAAGAAGAGCTGTGAAACCCTGGAGGGACAGGGCAGAACATACACTGCCTGTTCAGCGCCTTCTGCATCCTCAGTTTCAGCTTCTCCTGAGGCGTCAGCTTGGGCTGGGGAGGGGGGAGAAGAGGCGGGAGAGGGGGTGGGTGTCCCAGAGCTCCCACAACCCACCTCAGCCAAAAGCCTGGGGCTTTGTGCGGGGGGGGGGTGGGGGGGGGAGAACGACGTGGGGAGGAGGGGCAGGCTGTGGACAGCCCTGAGGCTCCCAGAGGTTCAGTGACAGGTGGAGCCCCAGTGTACAGTGAGGAGGGGAGAGGGACATGGTTCTCACAGGGGCAGACCCTTCCCCTCCCCTCCCTGTCCCTGGGGCTGGATCTCCCAGCCCACCCGGGCCCCCCTGCAGGCCCACCGGGCCCAGCTCTTGGGCACTGCTGCTGACGGGAATTAGACGGGCGAGTTCCAAATTCTTACTGACTTTGGCAGCTCCTGTCTCTTTACCAGCGGCAGGTTCGGTCCTGGGTGGGGGCAGGGCCAGAGGACATGGTTGGGAGGGGGAAAGGGCAGCTGCCACCTCTGACCCCAGCCTCAGCACTGCCCTCAGACCAGGTAGCCAAGGCATGGGCCTCAGATGCCCCAGGGTGCAACCATGTCCCTCTCAGACCCCACAGAACCTGTAAGACAGGGACCTGTCCCCCTCTGACCCTCACCCAGGACAAGGTTCTAATTGTGCAGATCCTCCAGGATTTGGTGTGTCCTCCTCAGACCCCCCAGGCCAGGGCTGTGTCCCCCTGAAATCCACCCTCCCAGGCCAGGGCCATACACCACCCCCCAGACCTCCCAGGGTAGGGCTAAGTTCCCCTCAAAAAGAAAACAGTGATGTTCACCCTCCCCACCCGAGATTGGCAGCCCTCTTCCTCCAGACCCGCCCCGCTCACTTTTTCAGCTTCTCGCCCACAGCAGGGGACGCGGCCGGCCTGGTCAGCTTCTCTCTTGCGGGTGATGGCGAGGGGCTCTGGCTGCGGCTGCGGCTGCGGCTGCGGCTCTGGCTGGGGCTGGGGCTATGGCTGCGGCTGCGAGTCAGGCTGCGACTGCGGGACGGGCTGAGGGACCAGCTGCTGCGGCTGCGGCTACTGCTGTGGTGCCTGAGGCCCCGGCCGCCCCGCCTGTAGCGGTCCCCTGAGTGGGAGCGGCTCCTGGGGATGCAGCAGGGCGGGAGGAGGACTGTGAGGCTCCAGGGACCCCAACCGCACCCCACCCTGGGTCCGGATCCACAGTCCTCCTTCCTGCAAGGCCCAGGGTGACAGGCTCGACTCTCCTCTCCTGCTACTCTCCCTCCAAAATGTCCCAGAGCGGCATTCCGGCCTCCCTCCGGCTACAGAGATGGCGCTCTAGATACACTCAGCCTAAGGGCAGTCCTGCCATCATGAGCCCTGCCTGGCCCACGTCACCTCTCCCTCACTAGACACCCGCTTGCTAACTTCCCGGGAGGTGAGCTCTGGGAGGGATGGCTGGCTCCCCCTTTATGAGCCGTGTCCAGCTCAGGCACAACAGTGTTCCACGGTGACCTCATCTACACCCTCACCCACCACCTCATCCTGCTTGTGTCCAGGGTCTCGACAATAGTGGGGACCACCCCTTGTCCTCCACCAGTCTCAGCACAGACCCACAAGTTCCAGTCTGGGGATGCGGAACCCCATCCTCTCCCTGCTCAGGACACTGGTGGGACTCTCCACCCACTGCCCACTCTCAGGCTGGCATGCAAGATGTGCCCAGGTCCCACCTGTCCCCCAAGCCTTTCTCCTGTCATTGCTCTGGGTAAGCTACAAGGAATATATGACCTGGAAGCCAATTCTGGGCCACACGCTGACTCTGCTTGGGCTCTTTTTTTTTTTTTTTTTTTTTTTTTTGAGACAGTCTCTCTCTGTCGCCCAGGCTGGAGTGCAGTGGTGCAATAGCTGGGCTCACTGCAACCTCTGCCTCCTGGGTTCAAGCAATTCTCCTGCCTCAGCCTCCTGAATAGCTGGGATTACAGATGTGCACAACCACACCCGGCTAATTTTTGAATTGCGTTTTTATAAAATAAAAATTTGTTGTCATTATTAAGAAAACAAGGGCCAGGCGCGGTGGCTCACGCCTGTAATCCCAGCACTTTGGGAGGCAAAGGTGGGTGGATCATGAGGTCAGGAGTTCAAGACCAGCCTGGCCAACACAGTGAAACCCCGTCTCTACTAGAAATACAAAAATTAGCCAGGTGTGGTGGCGCATGCCTGTAATCCCAGCTACTTGGGAGGCTGCGGCGGGAGAATCACTTGAACCCAGGAGGAGGAGGTGCAGTGAGCCGAGATTGTGCCACTGCACTCCAGCCTGAGTGACACAGTGAGACTCTGTCTCAAAAAAAAAAGTAAAGGAAACAAGAGCTATCCTCTAAAAATCCAGACCCTCAACTTCTCCTGAGAACTAGAAAGACTGGGTGACACTAGACCTGCTGCTGAGCGGTCAACGCCCCGACTGGAGGGAACATGTGCTTGCCAGGTCAGCAGGATCTCTACCTGGCCCCTCTACTTTACCTGCCAGACCCTGAAGGCAGCTGACATGGCGATCAGTGCTACAATAACGCAGGTAATGATGCTGACGATATTAACGGCACTTAGCCAGCACCAGCCCTGTCCTAAGCACCTTACATGGGTTTACCTGTTACACCTCTAACAGCTCAGAGAAGCGGATGCTATTACCGCGATTTTACAGAATTAGAGGCCCAGGGACTCTACACTCAGGCAGGTGCCCTGCAGTCTATGCTCCTACCAACCCAGCGTCGCTGCCCTTCCCAGGGCAGCCCTGACCCCAACAGGCAAGGGGACCGGAAGGGGGTGGACCAGTCCCCAGGTGACTTTATTTTCTAAACCATCCCTAGAGCTAGCCTCTCACCATGTCGTCTCCAAAATGAAATGTCTTTTTTTTTTTTTTTTCTTGAGACGCAGTCTCACTCTGTAGCCCAAGCTGGGGTGCAGTGGCACAATCTCGGCTCACTGCAACCTCCGCCTGCGGGGCTGAAACGATTCTCGTGCCTCAGCCTCCTGCATAGCTGGGACTACATGCGCGTGCCACCACGCCCAGCTAATTTTTTTTTTTTTTTTTTTTTTTGAGACGGAATCTCACTCTGTCACCAGGCTAGAGTGCGGTGGCACGATTTCAGCTCATTGCAACCTCTGCTTCCCGGTTTCAAGCGATTCTCCTGCCTCAGCCTCTCAAGTAGCTGGGACTACAGGCGTGTGCCACCACACCCAGCTAATTTTTTTTTCAGTAGAGACGGGGTTTCACCATGTTGCCCAGGGTGGTCTCGAACTCCTGAGCTCAGGAGATCCGCCTGCCTCGGCCTCCCAAAGTGCTGGGATTACAGGTGTGAGCCACCACGCCAGGCCAAAGAGCTGTCTTGATTTTTTCCACCCGCTTCGCTTCCCCATCCGCTCCTGGCCACACAGGAACGCGCCCCTCCCCCTCCGCAAGGGGTTTCCCAGCCCTCAAGGCCCGGACCCGTCCCTTCAAGCTACAGAAAACCCTGGAGCGTCCATGCGCTTTCTACTCCCCTCCACCTGGAACCCCTGACAGCAAAAACAGTCTCCTGAGGAGAGAGAGATGCACAGTCTCCTCTCCACACCCTGTCGTGGAAAACAGCGGCTGGGATCCACCTCCACTGCCACCAGAACGCGCACGCAAACACCCATGCCTTGCCCTTTCCAACCAAGGGCTTCCTGCGGAAGAGCAGTGGCCTGTGCCTGTCCCCTTAGATGGGGTGTTCTCTGAGCTGGACGGCCAGGTTTCCTCCCTCTGAGCACCTTCTCCCCAGGATCGGAGACCGCGCCCCCCCAGCCCCTCCCACCTCCACGCCCAGCCACACACACCTGCTTCTGCGCCGGGGCCCGTAACCACCACGCCGGGCGGGCGAGCGGGAGTACCGGTGTCCGTCTCGGGAGCCCCCACCTGAGTGCCGCCGGCCACGGCTACGGGACCGGGAATAGCGCCGGGAGCGGGAGCGGGAGCGGGACCAGGAGCGGGACCGGGAGCGGGCGTGGCGGCCGGAACGGTAGTAGCCCCCACCACGGCGAGAGCGGGAGCTGGAGCGAGAGCTGGAGCGGGAGCTGGAGGTCCTCGAGGCAGAAGAGGAGGAGGAGGAGGAGGAGGAGCGGCGGCTGCAGGCGGGGCACGGAGGGCCGGTCAGCGCAGGCCTGAGCCGCGGCCCCCCTCTGCCCCGGGTACCCCCCATGGTGACCGGGGCGTAGGGCGGGCGGCGTGAGCGTTACCGACCGGGCGCTGGCATTACGTCCCGGGGCGGGGCCGCCAGGCTGGGGAGGTGCGGGGGGCTTCCCTGTGGTGACTCCTGATGCTGCTGCGGCAGCAGCGGCTGCGGCTGCCTCCTCATCGCTGCCCCCAAAACTGGTGATGAACGTGATCTTCTCCTCGCGGCCCGGGGTCGGGGAGCGGGAGCGGGAGCGGGACTCTGAGCTGGACTCCGAGGGTGACCTGCGGGTAGGGAGGAGGAGGCTCACTAGCTCAGGCTCCCGGAGCCTCTTCGGGAACAGCACACACAGCAGATCAACAGCAGCGCCAGCGCGGGCCACAGCGACCCGGGAAACCAGGCGGGTGGATGGAGCCTGGAGGGCAGTGGAGACCCAGCTCTGGACAAGGACTTGACTCACAACCATGCAGCCTTCGCTAAATAACCAGGAAGGACAATGACACACAACTGCTCTGATTTTATGTGGCTATGAAAAATGGATGAGCAGGCCGGGCGCGGTGGCTCACACCTGTAATCCCAGCACTGTGGGAGGCCGAGGCAGGCCGATCACTTGAGACCAGGAGTTTGAGACCAGCCTGGCCAACAAGGCAAAACCCTGTCTCTACAAAAAATACAAAAAAAATTTGCCGAGCATGGTGGCGCGCACCTGTAATTCCAGCTACTCAGGAGGCTGAGGGCACGAGAACTGCTTGAACCTGGGAGGCAGAGGTTGCAGTGAGTCCAGGTCACGCCACTGCACACCAGCTTGGGCAACAGAGTGAGACTCCGTCTCAAAAAAAAAAAAAAAAAAAAAAAAAAAGATAAGCAGATCTCTGTACAAAACACAGAAAAGTTTTACTCAAAAGATACATGGATAATCTGGGAGGAAAAAGCAAGTTCTAAAACACTGAGTGTGGTGCAATTCTATTTTAGTAAAATAAAAACAAAGTGGCCAGGTGTGATGGCTCATGCCTGTAATCCCAGCACTTTGGAAGGCCCAGGTGGGAGGACTGCTTGAGGCCAGAACTTCAAAACCAGCCTGGTCAACATGGTGAGCCCCATCTCAATATTTTAAAGAAAAAAAAAACAAACGTGTTTTTTAATATATAAAATTTTAAAAATAAAAAGAAAGTATCTGATATTCCTGACACTCCCATGTATGGAGCACTAACCTACACCTTTTATTTCCCCAGAAGCCATTCAACACCTTATCTCATCTAACCTCGACCCACAGCCCCATGAGGAAGATCCCATTCCCACCCCCATTCCGAAGAGGGAACTGGGCTTCAGAGAGCTATGGAGCTTGGATGAGGGGGACTGGGATCAGACTGAGCTTGGTCCCTCACAAAATCCCTTCTCCAACCACTCTTTCATCCACGAGACAACGACCTGTGCCCAGCGGTGCTACTGAGTGCCCGTTATTTCCCACTGGCCACTTCTGGAAATTGAGATTAAAGTGACTTGATTTCTCAGTCACACTGTTTTGCCATATTTGGTCATTTTTACCACAAGGCTGCACTGTATTTAAATCAGAAAAATAAAATAAAGAAGCTTCAAAGATAAAGAAAATTTTATTGGCCGGGCGTGGTGGCTCACGCCTGTAATCCCAGCACTTTGGGAGGCTGAGGTGGGTGGATCACGAGGTCAGGAGATTGAGACCATCCTGGCTAACACGGTGAAACCCTACTAAACTCTACTAAAAATACAAAAAATTAGCCAGGCCTGGTGGCGGGCACCTGTAGTCCCAGCTACTCAGGAGGCTGAGGCAGGAGAATGGCGTGAACCTGGGAGGCGGAGCTTGTAGTGAGCCAAGATCGTGCCACTGCACTCCAGCCTGGGCGACATAGCGAGACTCCGTCTCAAAAAAAAAATTTTATTTAAAACTGGGAAAACAAGACAGTGATCTGGAAAACACAAAAATGATTCAGACCCAGAACATATCATGCAGTCTGTGATCTTGGGGTGGCCTAGCAGGGTGAACCTCCCATCCCCTCCTCAGCACCCCTGTCCCCATCAGGAGGCTCCCTGTCTGCTATTCCCTGGTCCTCCAGAGCAACTTACCGCTTATAGGGGTCATAGGTGGGGCTGTCTCGGCGGGCATAGCTACAGAGAAAAGAATGGGGTGGGACAAATTAGGGCTTAAGATCTCAGCAGTCATGAATTTGGGATAAGCCCGCCAACCTGAGGACCCAAAGCTAGGTACCTGGCACAGTGAGGGGGCTGCTGACCAGGTTGGGGGCCTCCCCTTAATTCCTCCACCCACCCCCACCTCAGATCTGTCCAAAGCATGAACTTAAGCCCCACCCTACAATGTCCTAGACCCATCATGACTCTGAGGAACTTGGACTTCAGCAGCTCTGGTTCTGCTTGGCCTCCTGACCCTAGAATGAAAGCATCCCTCCTCCCAATCCTTGTCTCTGGCTCTCACTGGGTCCGGGCTTACTAATGATGATGATGATGATGATGATGATAAGATTAAAATAGGCTGGGTGCGGTGGCTCACGCCTGTAATCCCAGCACTCTGGGAGGCTGAGGTGGGAGGATCACTTGAACCCAGGAGTTTGAGACCAGCCTGGGCAACACCGCAAAACCCCATCTCTACTAAGTATTTTTTATTTTAATTAGCTGGGCGTGGTGACGCATACCAGTAATCTCAGCTACTAAGGAGACTGAGGTAGGAGGATCGCCTAAGCCTAGGAATTTGAGGCTGCAGTGAGTCGTGATTACACCACTGCACTCCAGCCTGGGTGACAGAATAAGACCCTGTCTCTGGGGGAAGAAAAAAAAAAGAGAGACTATCACAGCTGAGGAAACTGAGGCCCAGAGAGGTGAAGTCACTTGTCCAGCATTACGTAGCTCATAAAGGAGGAAACTGGGATCCAAACCCAGGCCCTATGGCCACCCAGCCTGGGCGTTCCTGCACTACCCTCTGTGTGCCTCTGTGCCACCGCTGACAGCAATGACGATTGGTGCTATTCTTTAAGGAATGTTTCCGATACCAACCGCTGAACCTACAAGTTGTTTAAGCCTTACAGGAACTCTCAGTCACTCTCCTTTAAGAGATGTGGCAAAAAGAGGCATGGGTTTGCACAGGGCCTCTCCTCAAGGCCTCCTGACCCAGGCTGGGCTTTCCTCTCCAAGCCAGCCTGCCTCATCCAAACCTGTCCCAAGACCTCCCTGTGGGGACTGCCCAGCCCTCTCTCCAGGTAGGTGATAATGCCTTGTTTTCCAAAGGAAAAAATTGAAGCTCAGAGAGTTCGGGAAGTCACTTGTCCAAACTCCGACACAGGAAGAAGCCAAGCAGCAGAACTGGGTGAGAGTCCAGGGCAAAGCCTGTGCCCTCTCTGCCGCCTTGGTGAGAGCCTTATGCCGCCTGTGCATGGGCTCCTGGGAGTCTGGCAAGGGCCCCCAGTCCAGTAGGGTGAGGGGAGGGGCTGGCAAGGAAAGGAGTCCACATGGCCCTCAAGGCCGTTCCTACCTCTAAACCTTCACGATGGCCATGCATCGCCCCACTAGAAAGACTCCTTTCTCAAGTCAAATGCCTGCCTCCAAAGAGCTTTCTCAGGCCCTAAGCCCCTGCTCTCCTCCCCCAGATGCCAGCAGGGTGGGGGTTCAGGGAGAAGCCCTACCTGGGTGGGCTGATCTTGCGACCCCTCAGCCGCTTCTCCCGAAACTCTCTCCGCTGGCGTCGAGAGCGGCGTCCCTGGAGTAGGGTGGGTGCCAGGTTGGTGAGGGGGTGCCCTCCCTGTGACACACCCCTGTCCCCTTCCACTCCAGCCCAGACCTCACCGAGTACATGGCCTTCTCCTCCTCAAGAGCCTTGGCATGCTTGATGGCCTCTGCCTCCTCCTTGTCTTTCCGGAGCATCCTATAGAGGTGGGTGAGAATTAGGGTGGAGGATGGGGCAGGCCACAGGGTAAGGAGGACACAGACTGAGTCATCAGAGAAAGTGAGGGACCTGAGTCACCCCACGCCAGCCTGAGGTATCTTTCATTCAATGCCACTTATCAAGCACCCTCTGTGTGCCAGGTGCTATCTTAGGTATCAAGAACTGAGCACTGAAAAAAAAAAACAGAAATCCTCACCTGCACGGGCTTACATTCTAGGGGAGAAGATAATGAGCAAGGGAATAAAATGTGTGGTCCATTAGATGGTAGAGCAAAGGCAGAGGAAGCTGCAGTTTTCAAGAGGGAGCTCAGGGAAGCCACACAAAACAGGGTATCTAGAGAAAAACCTGGGGGAGCAAGCTGCAGACGTCCAAAGCGAACAGCAGACAGAGTGGCCCAGGGGCTGGCCCAGGCCTCTGCACTTGAGGAGCAAGGAGACTGTGCAGGCTGGGCAGCGGGGGATGGTGGCGGTTGAGAGGACCAGATGGGTAAGACCTTTCGGCCATGGTGAGGACACTGGATGTTCCTGAGGGAGGTGGGAGCCACAAAGGGCTCTGGGCAGAGGGTGCCATGCTCAGGCTCCGTTTCTGGTTCACTGCCCAGTGAGCTGGGACCATTCTGTGTGGTCTTGTGAGCTCAGCAGGGGGTGTGGCTCAGGGTAGAGGTACAACCAGCAACTGCCAGGATAAATAACCAGGGAATGAAGCCTCTCCACTAGAGGGCGCTGTCCCCCAGCCTAGGAATCCCCAGAGCTTCGAAGAGTCAGATTCGCCCCAGGTCGCACTAAGTAGGGCAGGCTGGGTGACTTGGGTGCAGCCTGTTTCTGCACAGATGAAGTGGGGCCACGACCACCATAGGCTCAGGGACCTGCATGTGTAAAGTCCTGGGCCCAGGGCCAGGCACACAAATGCTCACAAACAGGATGGCTGTCAATACCGGGAGTAATAGTGAGATGCCAGGGTGGGGCCCACAGAATGGGTAGGGGTGTCAGCAGGCAGGCCTCACCTGACGAAGTCACCGTCGGCCATGCCATAAGTCGTGGCCTGTTTGTTGAGATCTGCCACCTGCTCCTGGTTCAATTCATCCACGTCCACCTCCACGTCTGCACCAAGAGAAAGGCTGTCAGGAGCCACGGCCGAGCGAGAGGACAGGGGAGAAGGGGCAGTGCTCCAGGAGGCGGGGATGATGGGGCGCCCGCCAGACTGAGGGATTCTTCAGGAAGGGATGGCATCAAGTCTGGCTCATCTTGGCATGCCCTAGGCTGGCACTGGGCTTGCCAGAGGTGAGCACAACACACAGTGGACAGAGGCAGCTCGGGGACAGGGCTTGAAGGGGCAGATGAACGGAGGGAGGGAAAGAGAAGGGAGAGATGGACGGATGGGTGCAGGGATGGATGAAGGGATGCAGGGATGGATGGATGGATGAATGGAATGGAGGCAAGGAAGGAAGGAGGGATGGGTGGATGGAGGGAGGGAGGAATGGATGAGTGAGGCGTGTGGTGGGGTTGACGTGAGAGGGAGGACTGAACAGGGGCGGAAAGATGGCGGCTGGAGATCACGGTGGGTGGCAGGCAGGGTGTGGGTCACAGGTGTTTGGAAGCAGGGCGTGTGATAAGCCAGAGGAAGGAGGGCTGGGCGGAGGTCAATGTGTGGCTCCACAGAGTGTGAATAAAGAGCCAGCTACTGGGCTGAGCGCGGTGGCTCACGTCTGTAATCCCAGCACTTTGGGAGGCCGAGGCAAGTGGATCACGAGGTCAGGAGTTCAAGACCAGCCTGACCAATATGGTGAAACCCCCGTCTCTACTAAAAGTACAAAAATTAGCTGGGCGTGGTGGCGTGTGCCTTTAGTCTCAGCTACTTGGGAAGCTGAGGCAGGAGAATCACTTGAACCCAGGAGGTGGAGGTTGCAGTGAGCCAAGATCATGCCACTGCACTCCAGCCCGGTAACAGAGCAAGACTCCATCTCAAAAATAAATAAATAAATAAATAAAAAGAGCCAGTTGCTGGAGTAAGAACCAGGATGAGAAAAACAGAGAGACTTGGGGGTGGTTTGATCAGTGGGAATCCAGAGGGGAGGTGAATGGCAGAGAGGAGGGTGAACAGATGCCTGGCGGATGGGGGCTGACTCTGTAAGAGGATGAACACTTGTTTTCCAGAGGAGGGAAGAGAGCAGGAGAGAGGGGCAAAGGCAGAGAGAGGCCGGCCCAAGTGGAGGAGAATGGAGCCAACACCTAGGAGGGGAAAAGATCATAGAAATAGCACCCTAGAAATGAGAGATGAGTGAGGCAGAGGAAGGCCGGAACGGAGGAGGACAGGAGTGAGACAGGGGCAGCAGGAGGCTGGTGTGCCCTGGGGCGGGGTAGGGAGAGAGACACGGTTCGTAAGCACGGGGTGCCCCACAGAGGGTGAGGGACGAGACACAGAAACGATGCCCAGGGACTGCAGGTGGGGAGGGCAGAGAGGGGACCCCACCGATGTCGGGGATGACCTCATCTTCGTCCGAGTTGCTCTCCTCCTCGGCCGCTGACTCCTCCTCCTCTGGCTTTTCTGCCGCCTTCTCTACCTCGGCCACCGTGCTGTCCTCGTAGGTATAACCGATGGAAGCCTTCTTCTCTGCCAGCCTGAGAAAGGGGAGCTGGTAAGCCAGGGCCGTGCCCAGTGGAGATGAGGGCCCCAGGCTAGCCCCACACACCAGTCTCGAGTGCCACGGCCCCCTCCCCTCAGGCTCTCCCTCAGCCTAGGACCCTCTGCTCCTGCCCACACCCAGCTCCTCCCTCTTCCTCCACATCTGAGCTCTAGGGCCCCACCTGCCAAGAAGTCCTTGACTGGTACCCTAGGGTGGGTCAGCACTGTCCTGAGCTCCCCAGCCCTGCCTTTGTTGGGTCATCTCTGTTGGGGAAGGTCTGTCTCCCGCCTAGACCATGAGTCCCACAAGGGCACAGCCCAGAGTCCTCCTGAGCAGCCAGGTGCCCCAGCTTTGCCCTGAACAGAGCAGGGCCTGAGCAGGATCCTGAGGCTGGGGCCGTGGACGAGGGCTGAAGTCTCCAAGAAGCTCCCAGTACAGTCCCATGGGACCCCTCCCAGTGGAGGAAGGCGGCAAGCAGTCAGGGGTAGCAGGAGGGAAGGTGTCACTGAGGGAGCTGCCCAGCCCCGAGCCAGGGCTCCAGGCTACCGTGCACCAGGGCAACAGCAGCTGGCCTGGAGGAGAGCTAAGCCCTGCAGAGGGAATAGCGTGTGTGAGGGCGGGAGGCCTGCACTCATCAGACTGAGGTGGAGAAGAGAGAAGTGAGACTGCTCGGCCACTGCTCCTCAGAGGCAGCTGCTCCAGGATAAGGCCCGGGTCTCCCCAGCTACTCCTTGAGGGACGCGGCTTTAAGAAGCCTCTCTCCAGAGTGACATCAGCTAGGGCTGACTGCAAGCTCACTACATGGCAGGTGCTGGAATAGGTACTTCACAAGCCCCATCTCCTGCATGCCTCCCAACTCCAGGCAGTAGGGCCTCCTGCCAGCCCCATTTTACAGGGAAGCACAGCAAGGCTCAGACAATTCCCACTCAGGGCCTCACAGCCAGGACTCAAACCCAGGGCTGTCTCACCACAGGGCCTGCACCTCCCACCACTTCCCAAGCTGAAAATGTAACGCAGAGCCCTCGGCAAGCCGGGGCCCCCTGACAGGGCTTCTTCCTCTACACAGTTATTAATTGAGCACTGACTGTGTGCTGAACACCATCCTTGGTTTCGGGGAGACCCTGGTGGACAGGATGGAAGAGGCCATGCCTGGCTGGGGCTCCCAGCCCTCCTGCCTCCTCAACCCCCTGCACCCCAGACCCCGACTCACTTCTTCTTCTCATCTTCGCTGGGTCTCTGGAGGCCTCCGTACAACTCATCAATGTAGATCTGGTACAGGCACTGCTCCTCTGAGACTGCAGCAAACAAGAGACCCCAGGTCAGAGTGGGTTGGGGACACTAGGAATTCAGTGGGGGAACACAAGGGTGCGGTGGGGCAGGAAGACAGGTGCAACCCCAGTGCACCTTGGGGGGCAGTCACCACTTCCAGATAATCAAACTATGTCTGGTGGGACACAAGCAACTGCAGCAGAGCCTTGGACACACGACCTTGGTCAAGGGACTTAACACATCTGTGCCTCAGTTTCCTTTTCCGTAAAATGGGACCACGGGCAGAGTGAGTGCCTGGCCTGGTACTTGGGCACTCTACCACCATTCTCACTGTTTCTGGAGGCCTCTGGCTGGACCCTTCAGAACCATAACCTGCTCCTGAGTGCCACACGCCATTCTGACTGCACAGGTCACTCCACTGCATGCCTCTCTGTGGCTCATTTTAAGTTAGGTGTGGGCTGGGATGACCTGGGCTCTCCTGCACCCCCAACACCCAGCCTGGGGGACTCAACAATGTACCAGAGCCTTCCTGATCTTCCCTGCAGTGAGACACGTGTCCCTGACTCGCTGTGGGACAGTGGGTTGTAAGTCCCCTTCCTTCCTTCCCTCCCTAGGCCTCAGTTTTTCTTTTCTTATTTTTTTAAGACAGAGTTTCACTCTTGTTGCACAGGCTGGAGTGCAATGGCGCGATCTTGGCTCACCGCAACCTCCGCCTCCCAGGTTCAAGCGATTCTCCTGCCTCAGCCTCCCCAGTAGCTGGGATTACAGGCAGGCGCCACCGTGCCTGGCTAATTTTGTACTTTTAGTACAGACAGGGTTTCTCCATATTGGTCAGGCTGGTCTCGAACTCCCGACCTCAGGTGATCCACCGCCTCAACCTCCCAAAGTGCTGAGATTATATGCATGAGCCACCGTGCCCGGCTGGCCTCAGCTTTTCTATCTGGAACAAGAGGTGGGCAGGCTGGCAGGCCAGAAGGGGATGTAGCACGGCCCTTCCTTGTTCTAGCAGATACCCCAATTTCTACTTGTTGTCTCCAAAGCCCAAGAGAGGCCCTGCTGACCCTGTCTTGCACAAGCGCCCTCGCTCTCCCTGCTCCAGCCACACGGGCCTTCTCTCTGCCCCTCCAGTGTGCTCACAGTCCTGGCTGACACAGGGCTTTGCACAGGCTGCTCTCGGCCTGGAATCCTGTGGCCTATCCGTGCCTCCCAGGGAGCTTCTATCCAGGACTTCTGTCCTATTTTTCTCAGAGAATGGCACACTGTCTGTCACATCACCTTGGTTTGCAATTGGCATCACTGACATTGATTATGGAGCTGCTGCCCTCTCCCCTACCATTGCCACACCGCAGGTGTTCAATGACTGTTTGTGGAAGTGAATGAATAAATGCAGAGTGAGGCGAAACTAAGGGGAACCCTGGCTCTACCACCAGGAAGCCATGTGGCCTGGAATGATGGCAAAAACAGTATCAATTATAACACATGTCCCTGATTCTAAGGCCTCAGTGATCACTAGAATTTTGGCAGCCTCTGATTTTAGAAAATCAAAAAAGCATCTATCTTAGAAATAAACAAATACTGGACTAGCAAACCCACATGGAGGGCTGACTGTGCCAGGCTCGGTGCTGGGGTTTTATACACATCATCTCACTCAACTCTTACAACCACCCCACGCAACAAAATCAACACCACCACCCTTCTCGAGGAGGAAGCCGAGACCTGCCAGGTGGTAAGGGACAAACCCAGCAGAGAACTCCATCCTTCCCTTAACTCCACAGGGAATCCCAAGAAAGGGAATCTCAAGTCCTTCTTGGTAGGTGAGTTAGGAGCTTTCCATCAACAGGGAGCAGTGGTTAAGGACACGTGGAGAATCCCAGCTCCTTGGACAGGGTGTTCCCCCTCGACATTCTTGTCTGTAACATGGGGTGATGGCCAGGCGCGGTGGCTCACGCCTGTAATCCCAGCACTTTGGGAGGCCGAGGCGGGTGGATCACGAGGTCAGGAGTTCAAGACCAGCCTGGCCAAGATGGTGAAATCCCCGTCTCTACTAAAACTACAAAACTTAGCCGGGCATGGTGGCATGCGCCGGTAATCCCAGCTACTTGGGAGGCTGAGGCAGGAGAATCACTTGAACCCAGGAGGTGGAGGTTGCAGTGAGCTGAGATTGCGCCACTGCATGCCAGCCTGGGCAACAGAGTAAGACTCAATCTCAAAAAAAACAAAAAACCCCAAAACGGGGTGTCACCCCTACCTTGCTAGGTGGTTGTGCAGATGTAATGATAATACAGACAAAAAAGCCCAAGTCTGTTGGGATCCAAACCTCCCTGGGCAAGCCCAGAGCAGCGAGAAGTTTCCCTGAGCCTCTGTTTCCTCATTTGGAAAATGACAATGGTGATAAGGCTGGGCTGGGAGAAAATTCCTGGACATACATGAACACTTGGCAAATTGTCAAATGCTGGCAAATATTCATTTAAATCAAGGAGAAATTTCCTTTTTAGAGCTCACAATCTGATCTGTGCGGGCAGAGTAAAATACACAGAGGTAAAAAATCTGTTCCTGGCTGGGCATAGTGTTTCATGTCTATAATCCCAGCAATTTGGGAGGCCAAGGCAGGAGGATCACTTGAGCCCAGGAGTTCAGACCAGCCTGGACAACACAGTGAGACCCCATCTTTCTAAATGCTTTTAAAAACGTATTCTTGGCTGGGCGTGGTGGCTCACACCTGTAATCCAGCACTTTGGGAGGCCAAGGTGAGCAGATCACCTGAGGTCAAGAGTTCGAGACCAGCCTGGCCAATATGGCGAAACCCCGTCTCTACTAAAAATACAAAAAACTAACTGGGGGTGGTGGCGGGCACCTGTAATCCCAGCTACTCAGGAGGCTGAGGCAGGATAATCACTTGAACCCAGGAGGCAGAGGTTGCAGTGAGCTGAGATCACACCACTGCACTCCAGCCTGGGCAACAAGAACGAAACTCCGCCTCAAATAAATAAATAAATAAAAATAAAAACATATTCTTGCTATTTTCTCTATTTTTTAAAGAAAAACGGACCACAGAGTCAGAAGGCATGGTATATGGACGTGACTCTGCTGGGAACAACCCATTCGGCAGACATCCCCTATACCAAATCTAGAAGGGGAAAGAGATGCAGGCAAAGTGAGTCTATCGTAGAGCTGGAGCCGGAACCCAAGGCCCTTTAGTAGAAAGTATGTGGATAAAACTTTTCTTCCCAAACCTATCTAGGTCTTCCAGGCTCCAGGCTCAAACCCCACACCCCACGTCCCCCCACAGATCACTCACTGCCGGCAAAGTCGTTCTGCACCAGGCCTCTGTAGCGCTCGTAGTTACACTTCCGTTCGTCCGACTCCTGTTCTGGGGAGCTTTAGGGAAGGGCGAGACCTTGAAATCAGAGAGAAGGAGTGGATCCCCCCCCAAGCCAGCAGGAAGGGAAATGAGGCATCCCCCTCAGGCTCAGGGCGGTACCAAATAGGAACGGCTCCTAGGAAGGTGACAGGTAGGCTGGGAAAAGAACAGGGGCTCCTGGGTATGACGCTGTGCCTGGCAACCCCCTGGGAGGTGGCTTACATGGTGGTGAGCAGAGGGGGGGTGTAGTCGGGGATGTGGTCCAGGTGGGCACGGACATCGAATCGGTCAATCATGTTGTTGGTGTCCCCCTGCCAGGGCATCCTGAAGTGGGAGGGGAGCAAGAAAGCAAGAACCTCAGGGTCCATACTGCCCAGGACACAAAGCACCTGCTCCCTGCCAGCTGAGGCTTAGAAGCCTGGCCCTCAGCCTGCTTTGGTCCCCATGCCATGACCCTCACCTCAACCCCCAGCTCTCAGTCCCTTCTGTTGCAAGCCTCCCTGAATCCACATTCAGGCTCCTGGGACCTGAAACAGGCCAGTCATCTGACTGCCCCTGGGGACACCAGGGCCCCATTTCTCACAACCAAGCAATAGTGGGGAACTTGAACCAGGTCCTAGAGGGTATTTGAGGGGCGGGCCCCAGGCACCCTGAGCCAGCTCGGGTCTGGCAACCTACTCTCTGCTTCCTCTGGGCCTCTGGCCCTGGCTCCACCCATTTCTAAGTCCTCCAACCATGACTGCTACTCTGGGGCCTCCACCCCAACCCCTGCTCATTGTTCTTACACCCTGTGACTATCACCTTCATATGCGGGTCACACCTTCCCTGCCTCTGAGTCCCCAAAGGTCTGTCCATACTTCAGTCTCTGCTCCACACTCTACACCACCCCAGGTCCGTTTTGACTCCCAGACTTCAGACACTCCCCTGCCTTCCATATCAGTCTTACATATTAACAGGGCTCTCAGCGGCCAGGGCGACTGCAGAATCCAGGTGCACCTTGCAAGCTCGGCCATGTACCTGCAGGAACTGGGCTGGGTCCTTCTTCTGCAGGGGTAAACAGGACTGAGGTCACCACCCAACAGAGCTCCAAACCCCACCCCCTCACACACAACCGAGCTTAGCAGCAAGCTCACTTCTTTTTTTTTTTGAGATGGAGCCTCACTCTGTCGCCCAGGCTGGAGTGCAATGGTGCTGTCTCGGCTCACTGCAAGCTCTGCTTCCCAGGTTCACGCCATTCTCCTGCCTCAGCTTTCTGAGTAGCTGGGACTACAGGCGCCCGCCACCATGCCCGACTAATTTTTTGTGTTTTTAGTAGAGACAGGGTTTCACTGTGTTAGCCAGGATGGTCTCGATCTCCTTACCTCGTGATCCACCCGCCTCAGCCTCCCAAAGTGCTGGGATTACAGGCATGAGTCACCGCGCCCGGCCTGCAGCAAGCTCACTTCTAAGGTCAAGTGGGCCATACCTCAGAGGTGAACCAACCTGCTAACCTTCAGAAATAAGGGAATTGGCTAGGCATGGTGGCTCACGCCTGTAATCTCAACACTTTGGGAGGCCAAGGCAGGCAGGTCATCTGAAGTCAGGAGTTCCAGACCAACATGGCGAAACCCAGGCTCTACTAAAAATACAAAAAATTAGCTGGGCGTGGTGACACATGCCTGTAATCCCAGCTACTTGGGAGCCTGAGGCAGGAGAATCGCTTGAACCTGGGAGGCAGAAGTTGCAGTGAGCTGAGATTGTGTCACCGCACTCTAGCCTGGGCAACAGAGCAAGACTCCATCTCAAAAAGAGAAAAAAAAAGAAATTGAAGAAATAAGCTATTGGTTCCTCTCGAGGTGGTGGCTCAATCTTCTGCATAGCCAGTACGAAGACCTCGCTCTCTAAAATATCAGCCCCCTTAACTCTTCACCTCCCATCCTCCGGGCCGTTCATTTAGAGACTGGTGTGGACACTTCAGCCTGGACCAGACTGCATCCGCACATGGGAAGATGACCAACATCATTAGCCATCAGGGAAATGCCAATCAGAACCACAAGATACCACTTCACCCACACTAGGCTGGCTGACATGGAAAGGACAGACTGTAACAAGCAGTGGGTCGGGCATAGTGGCTCACGCCGGTAATCCCAGCACTTTGGGAGGCCGAGGCAGGCGGATCACCTGAGGTCAGGAGTTCGAGACCAGCCTGGCCAACATGGTGAAACCCTGTCTCTACTAAAAATACAAAAAAATTAGCCAGCCATGGTGGCAGGCGCCTGTAATCCCAGCTATTTGGGAGGCTGAGGCAAGAGAATCGCTTGAACCCAGGAGGTGGAGGTAGGTTGCAATAAGCAGAGATCCCACCAGTGCACTCCAGCCTGGGGGACAAGAGCGAGACTCCATCTCCAAAAACAAAAAACAAAACAAAACAAAACAAAACACAAGTAGTGACAAGAATATAGAGAAATCAGGATCTTCAACTGGAGTGCAATGGTGCGATATCAGCTCACTGCAACCTCCACCTCCCAGGTTCAAGCGATTCTCCTGCCTCAGCCTCCTGAGTAGCTGGGATTACAGGCATGCGCCACCATGCCCAGCTAATTTTGTATTTTTAGTAGAGATGGGGTTTCTCCATGTTGGTCTGGCTGGTCTTGAACTCTCGACCTCAGGTGATCCGCCTGCCTTGGCCTCCCAAAGTGCTGGGATTACAGGCATGAGCCACTATGCCTGGCCTACTACTTGTTATAGTCTGTCCTTTCCATGTCAGCCAGCCTAGTGTGGGTGAAGTGGTATCTTGTGGTTCTGACTGGCATTTCCCTGATGGCTAATGATGTTGGTCATCTTTCAATGTGTGGATGCAGTCTGGTCCAGGCTGGGCTCTGCCTCCAGGAGATTTGCTGACACATGTTGGGCCGCACCCCACCCCCCACCCCACTCCCAACCACTCAGCCCTCACAGGTGCTGGCCTGTCCCTCTCTGATTTCTTCCCTCCCCTACTCTGCTCCAGGCACACAGGCCCTCGCCTCACGCCATTCCTTGGGCATTCCAGACATGCCCCGTGCTTCTGCTCGGACCTCTGTGCTTCTGCTCCCCCGCTTATTTCAGATCTCCTCCTAAAAGCCGTCCTCAGTGACTCTATCTAAATAGCTCCCCACTTATCTACCCCAGCTCCTTCACTCTGTGGCTTTATTGAGAAGTAATTCATATACCACACAATTCACTCACTTAACTCCACTTGTTTTCTTTTGAGCACCCGCTACCACCTGCCACTGGACCTAATATTCATTCATCACCTTTCTCCCATGTTAGAACGTAACTCCCAGGAGGCAGGGCTCTGTTTTGGCTGCTATATCCCTAAAGCCTAGAACAGGGCCTGGCCCACAGCAGGCGCTTGAGAACACCCAATGAAGGAAAGACAGGAATAATCCTTACTAACAGATGAAGACTCTGAGCCCCTTCAGGAAAAAAACACCAGCTCCAAGTTTCCAAGCTCCTGCACATCCTCACTCTGTCTCCATCTCAGCCCTCAGCCAGCAGATGAGAAGGTGCAGTCCGGGCTGAAGGAGCTGAGTCACTCACCAGGACCACAGCTAATACCTGGCTAGTTTCAACCCCGCACTCACTATGTGCCAGGTGCTGGGCTGCTGTGACTCTCATTTCACACCTAAAGAAACTGAGTCTAAGGAACACTCAAGACCACAGGCCCAGCGAGGTGGCGCTGCTGGAGTCCAGCTACTCATGCTGCACCTCGCCTGCCTCCCTCGATTCCTTAGCTGATTCCTCAGCTGGGGCCACACAGCGCACCCAGCTCCCTCTGCCCTGGGACAAGCCAGCCAAGTCCAAGGCCAAGATCCCATCATACTCCTGAGGCTGCTCCAGGCCAAATGCCCAGTTCCCACAGCCAGGACTCATGGGACACTGTTTGCAGGACAGAATTTGGCAGGTACAGGGAAGCTACTGGCAGGGTCAGCTTCACAGAAAGGAATAAGCACTGAGCCGGGAGTAAACACCAGGAGTCCAGAGCCTGGTTCTGTTGGGAGATTCTGGAAAAGTCAATGAACCCTACTAAAAACCAGGCACTGTTTTATGTGCACTGTCTCACTCGAATGTCCCAACCATGGAAGAAACATACTATTCTTTTTCTTTTTTTGAAACAGAGTCTCGCTCTGTCACCCAGGCTGGAGTGCAATGGCGCGATCTCGGCTCACTGCAACCTCTGCCTCCCAAGTTCAAGGGATTCTCCTGCCTCAGCTTCCCGAGTAGCTGGGATTACAGGTGCCCGCCACCACGCTTGGCTAATTTTGGTATTTTTAGTAGAGACAGGGCTTCACCATGTTGGCCAGGCTGGTCGCTAACTCCTGACCTCGTGATCCGCCTGCCTCGGCCTCCCAAAGTGCTGGGATTACAGGCATGAGCCACCACGCCCAGCTGGTACTATTCTTATGCCCATGTTACAGATGAGTAAACTGAGGCTCAAAGCCATGGGGTCCACCTGCCTGACATTAGGAATAAGCAGAACTAGGATTCAAACCCAGATGGGCCTGGCTACAAAATCTGCTTCTTTTTATTTATTTGCTTTTTAAGAGTAATTTTTTGTTTGTCTGTTTTGAGACAAGAGTTTCACTCTTGTTGCCCAGGCTGGAGTGCAATGGCATGATCTCGGCTCACTGCAACCTCCGCCTCCCAGGTTCAAGCGATTCTCCTGCCTCAGCCTCCCGAGTACAGGCATGCACCAAAATGCCTGGCTAATTTTTTGTATTTTTAGTAGAGACGGGATTTCACCATGTTGGCCAGGCTGGTCTCGAACTCCTGACCTCGTGATCCACCCGCCTCGGCCTCCCAAAGTGCTGGGATTACAGGCATGAGCCACCACGCCCAGCAGGTACTATTCTTATGCCCATGTTACAGATGAGTAAACTGAGGCTCAAAGCCATGGGGTCCACCTGCCTGACATTAGGAATAAGCAGAACTAGGATTTGAACCCAGATGGGCCTGACTACAAAATCTGCTTCTTTTTATTTATTTGCTTTTTAAGAGTAATTTTTTGTTTGTTTGTTTTGAGACAAGAGTTTCACTCTTGTTGCCCAGGCTGGAGTGCAATGGCATGATCTCGGCTCACTGCAACCTCCGCCTCCCAGGTTCAAGCGATTCTCCTGCCTCAGCCTCCCGAGTACAGGCATGCACCAACCTGCCTGGCTAATTTTTTGTATTTTTAGTAGAGATGGGATTTCACCACGTTGGCCAGGCTGGTCTTCAACTCCTGACCTCAGGTGATCTGCCTGCCTCAGCCACCCAAAATGCTGGGATTACAGGTGTGAGCCACCACATCTGGCCAAGAATAATTTTTTTATTGTGGTAGAAAACATTTACCATCTTAACATTTTTAAGTGTACAGTACAGTAGTAGTAACTACATCCACCCTGTGGTGCAACAGAGCTTTAGAACTTTTTAAATCTTACAAAACTGAAACAAAACTGAACTTCCCCTTTCCTCCTCCCCCCATCCCTGTCAACCTGCACTGTATTTTCTTTTTCTGAGGGTTTGACTTTTCTTTTAGGTTTTTTTTTCTTTACCAAAAATACAGAAGGTTTCACGAATTTTTGTGTCATCCTTGCACAGTGGCCATGCTAATCCCCGTATCGTTCCAATTTTAGTATATGTGCTGCCGAAGTGAGCTCCCTTCCTCCCTTCCTCTCTCTCTCTGTTTTTTTTTTTTTTTTTTTTGAGATGGAGTCTTGCTCTGTCACCCAGGCTGGAGTACAGTGGTGTGATCACAGTTCACTGCAGCCTGGAACTCCTGGGCTCAAGCAAGGTTTAACTATTTTAGATACTTATCAGCGGATCATACAATACTGTCTTTTTGCGACTGGCTTATTTCACTTAGCATAACATCTTCAGGGCTCATCGATATTGTAGCATAGGACAGGATTTCTTTCTTTTTTAAGATTGAATAATATTGCGTTATGTGTAGAGACCACATTTTCTTTCTCGATGTATCCCTCAATGGACATTTAGCTTGCGTCCACCTCTTGGCTATTGCTAATAATGCTGTAATGAACATAAGTGTATAAGTACCTCTTCAAGATCCAAAATCCACTTTTTTTTTTGGAGACAGAGTTTTGCTCTTGTTGTCCAGGCTGGGCTGCAATGGCGTGATCTAGGCTAACCACAATCTCTGCCTCCCGGGTTCAAGCGATTCTCCTGCCTCAGCCTCCCAGGTAGCTGGAACTGCAGGCATGTGCCACAACGCCCAGCTAATTTTGTATTTTTAGTAGAGATGACGTTTCTCCATGTTGGTCAGGCTGGTCTCAAACTCCTGACCTCAGGTGATCTGCTCACCTCAGCCTCCCAAAGTGTTGGGATTACAGGCGTGAGCTACCGCGCCCGGCCCAAAACCAACTCTTAACCACTGGATTATCCTGTCTCTAGGATCAGATTGTGTCAGAGGAGTTCATGAAGTTACTCATTCATTCATTCATTCATTCAACTGTTAAGCAGACCTTGTGCTAGGGTATGGCAGTAACTGAGATAGCCCTGGCCCTGCCCTCATGGGCTCACAGTCCAGTGTGGGACACAGACTTGTCCCCATACAAGGACAACCTAGAGTGGACAGCGCTGAGATGGGGGCCCACAGGGGGAACACCTGACCCAGACTTGGGGGTCAGTCTGGAGCTTCCTGGAGGAGGCGACGCCTGAGCTGCGACCTGTTTACTTCTTATTTCCGTATCAACAGAGGATTCTGTTTCTTTATCCAAACCACTGATTAAAAAGGAAAGTTGACAAGGACAGAAGCAATGACAGAACCGGAGTCTGCTTGGGACTGAAGACAGGGAGAGAAAGCAGGCACCAACGACAAATCAGGAAGACAGAAACCAACTGCATCTGGACATACTCATTCAGCCTGCCACAATCTACCGCAGCTTCACTGACACTCGCTCCACAGCCTCTGCTCTCGGCCCAAGGCTGAGATGAGAGTCCCCTCCTCAAAGCAGCCATCAGCCACGGCCCAGCCATACTCCACAGCTTGGCAGCCCAGATCGGAATGCAGGTCACGTTCACATACAGGGACAAAGGCCGCTTGTACAGGCCTGCACCACAAAGCACCCATAGACATTGGTTCTTTGAGCTCTTCCCCATTATCCAGTGAGAGGGGTTGGTCGTCACCACTGTCCTGAGGGGGAATACAATGCAGCAAGCTTCCCTGCTAACAGGGAGGGGGCCTGGAGTCTCAGCTCCAGCCTTCCTTCCTCTGCACCATCCCTCCACCTGGATCCAAACTCCAGTTCTATCAGCAACAGTAATGTCAATAACAAGAGCTAATATTTACTGAGCGATAGCGACGCTGGCCAGGCTGCTCTCAGTGGTCCATGTGTCCAACACTCCAACAACATCGAAGGACATGCTCTTGTCTCCACTGTTAGTGGCAAACCATTAATTGGCAACCAACATCTATTCCCTTTGCTACAACAGTAACAGAACTCCAAATATATCTGGTCAGGGCGACCCAAAATAAAGTCTACACCTCTTAGCCTTCCTCACGGCTGTTCATAAGACTACTTCCTGGTCAGCAGGGGAGGAGTGGAAATGTTACGGGAAAACATCCCGAAACTTTTTTTTTAAAGACAGGGTCTTATTCTCCCACTCAGGCTGGAGTGCAGTGGTACAATCACAGCTCACTGCAGCCTCCACCTCCTGGGTTCAAGAGATTCTCCCACCTCAGCCTCTTGAGGAGCTGGGACCACAGATGCACGCCATCATGCCCGGCTAATTTTTGTATATTTTGGTATAGACGGGGTTTCACCATGTTGTCCAGGCTGTTCTCGAACTCCTGGGCTCAAGCAGTCCTCCTGCCTCGGCCTCCCGAAGTGCTGGGATTACAGGCGTGAGCCACTGCACCTGGCCTAGAAACTTTCTCAACAAATGGCATGAGCGCTTTGCCCCTTTTCCTCCCTTTTTCCTCCCTGCTGGATAGAATGAAGACATGATGGCCAGAGCCTCTTAGACCTCGATGCAACACTAGGAAGAGAAGCTGTGCCCAGGAGAACAAAACAGAAGCGGCTTAGGTCCCCGAGCTAACTGGTTACCTCTTGGCTTTTCTGTGGCTAAGAAATAAACATCTATCTTGTTTAAGCCACTGACGGATGCTCTAGGTTTGTTAGAGCCAAAGCTGATTGTCCATGTGACATCCTTTCACATGTGGAAGAGGAAATGGGCTCAGGGAGGCAGTCACTTGCCCACGTCACACTATAGATAAGTGGGATCGCTAGAATTTGAACCCAGAGCCCCATGACTCCCAAATTCTAAGGACTAACCATGATGGGATCTCACCTCCTGGCTGTGTTGCCTTGGGCAAGTCACCTCACCTTTCTTTTTTGAGACAGGGTCTCACTCTGTCACCCAGGTTCCAGTGCAGTGGTGCAATCACAGCTCACTGTAGCCCCACCCTCCCAGGTCTCATCTTGCCTCAGCCTCCCAAGTAGCTGGGACCACAGGCGCATGCCACCAAACCTGGCTAATTTTTTTTTATTATTTTTTGCAGAGATGGGGTCTTGCTATGCCTCATCTTTTTGAACCTCTATTTCTGCATGATAAGGCGCAGGTGAAAAGCTTAGAGAGGTTAAGGGTCAGAGACTGGGTTATAGTGCCAGCTCTGCCCTCATGCTATGTGACTGTAAGCCACGTATCTCCGTGCTCCAGTTTTGTCCTCTGTAAAATGGAAATAGTAAGAACCACCTCCTAGTCTTGGGTGTGGCTTTGATGAAGCGGAGACACAAGCCAAGTAGTTAGCACAGTGGTTACCACAGAACTGCCCAACAGCGTTAGCTGTTATCGTGGCATCACCTTTAACACAGGCATGATCAATACCTACCTCGCAGGCCTGTTCAGAGGACTACTATGCCAAGCTGGTGAGCACTGGGTCTGGCGCACCATGGGCCCTTAATAAATGGCAGCTAGGCTGGGTGTGGTGGCTCACGCCTATAATCCCAGCGCTTTGGGAAGCCAAGGCAGGCGGATCACTTGCAGTCAGGAGTTTGAGACCAGCCTGGCCAATATGGTGAAACCCTGTCTCTACTAAAAATACAAAAATTAGCCGGGCGTGGTGGTGGGCACCTATAGTCTCAGCTGCTTGGGAGGCTAAGGCAGGAGAATTGCTTGAACCCGGGAGGCGGAGGTTGCACTGAGCCGAGATCGTGCCACTGCACTCCAGCCTGGGCGACAGAGCCAGACTCCATCTCAAAAAAAAAAAAGGTAGCTATTCATTCCTGAGTGCTGTGTTCCTAGGCCACTTCTGGGGCCTCAACTATGACCAACAGAGACCCAGGCCTTGCCTTGATGATCACATCTTTCTGACACTATCGGAGATGAGTTCTCCCTTTAGCCCCGTGGTTCCTTCCTGGGTGGCAGAGGTAAGCAAGGAGCTCTCAGAGCTTCCTCTTCTCTGCTGAGTGGAAGTAAGAGCGGTCTCTGTCTCACAGGTGACTGTGGGGATTCAAAAAAAATCCTGCATCTCTCACATGGCCTGGGGGTGCCTGCGAAGGATCAATTAAATGGTTAATTACTATTGTTAATATTGTTTTATTCATCTATTCTTTCAAACCATATTTGATGGACCCAACCCTAGGGTACAAACGTGACCCAAATATAATTAGTCCCCAGTCTCACAGAGCTGGGTATGTGCATATACGTATGAATGGAAAAAATTTTTTTTTTTTTTTTTTTTTTTGGGACGGAGTCTCGCTCTGTCGCCCAGGCTGGAGTGCAGTGGCACTATCTCGGCTCACTGCAAGCTCTGTCTCCCGGGTTCATGCCATTCTCCTGCCTCAGCCTCCCGAGTAGCTGGGAGTACAGGTGCCCACCACCACGCCCAGCTAATTTTTTGTATTTGTAGTAGAGACGGGACACACACACACACACACACACACACACACACACACACACAAAGTATTCCTTATCTGAAGTGCTTGGGATCAGAGGTGCTTCAGATTTTTTCAGATTTTGGAATATTTGTCTATTCATAATGAGATATCTTAGGGATGGCACCCAAGTCCAAAGACCAAATTCATTTATACTTTATAAGCACAGCCTGAAGGTAATTGTATACAATATTTTAAATAATTTTGTGCATGAAACAAAGTTTGTGTAAAGTACTTATATGTGAAACTTTCCACTTATAGTGGGGCATCATGTCAGTATGCAGAAAGTTTCAGATTTTGGAGCTAGCCGGGCGTGGTGGCTCACGCCTGTAATCCCAGCACTTTGGGAGGCCGAGGCAAGCAAATCACTTGAGGTCGGGAGTTCAAGACTAGCCTGACCAACATGGTGAAACCCTGTCTCTACCAAAAGTGCAAAAATTAGCCAGGCATAGTGGCACATGCCTGTAATTCCAGCTACTCAGGAGGTTGAGTGAGGCAGGAGAATAGCTTGAACCTGGGGGGTGGACGTTACAGTGAGCTGACATCATGCCACTGCACTCCAGCCTGGGCGACTAAGCAAGACTCTGCCTCAAAAAAAAAAAAAGATTTTGGAGCATTTCGGATTTTGAATTAGGGATGTTCAACCTGTGTATGCGTATGTGTGTGCGTGTGTGTATACATACATACACACACATATATATATATATATAAATTTTTTTTTTGAGATGGAGTCTCACTCTGTTGCCCAGGCTGGAGAGCAATGCAACCTATGCCTCCCGGGTTCAAGCAATTCTCCTGCCTCAGCCTCCCGAGTAGCTGGGATTACCATTTACTCCTGTATTACTGCCCCAGCCTCTTCCCTGGTCTGCTGGCCTCCAGTCCTGGCTCCTCCAGTCTGTCCTCCCTAGAAGAGTCCAGGAGGCCTTTCTAAAGCACAAAACTGACCCTGTCCCTTCATTGCTCAGAGCACCTCTATGGCTCCTAAGTGCCCTTGAGAGAAAGCCCAGGCTCCTCACCACCTCCAGCTAATTTCTGTATTTTTAGTAGAGACGAGGTTTCATCATGTTAGCCAGGCTGGTCTCAAACTCTTGACCTGAGGTGATCCACCTGCCTTGGCCCCCAAAATGCTGGGATTACAGGCGTGAGCCACCACACCAGGCCCATGTATGTGTATCTTAAGTGTGTTAAATTCCACAAAGGGGAAGGAAAGGGAGCTATGATTATGGCATTTTTAGAGGACACCTGACTGAGCTTGGGAAACAAGACTTCTCTGAGGACTGAGATCTGACAGATAAGCAGTAGTTAACCAGGTATGGGAAGAGCTCATACAAAGGTCCTGTGGCTGGGGAGCGCTTGGGTCAGTGGAGGAATAGCAAGGAGGCCAAAATGACTTGTGCAAAGGAACAAGGCAGAGTGTGGGGTGGTGTGAGTCTGGAGGAAGGGCAAAGGCCAGGCCATGCAGGACCCTAAAGGCCACAGTGAGGAGCCTGGGCTTTCTCTCAAGGGCACTTAGGAGGCATAGAGGTGCTCTGAGCAACGAAGGGACAGGGTCAGTTTTGTGCTTTAGAAAGGCCTCTTGGACTCTTCTAGGAAGGACAGACTGGAGGAGCCAGGACTGGAGGCCAGCAGACCAGGGAGGAGGCTGGGGCAGTAATACAGGAATAACTGGGAAAGGTCTATATAAATGTCATCTGACAGGAACACTGAACCTAGAAAACAGGTGCCATTTCAAGCTGGGATCCCAAGGATACACAGGAGTTAAATAGGTGAGGGGGGGTAATATAGGCCAAAGCCCTGTGGTGGCAGAAATAGAAGGCCAGTGGAGCTGTCCGAGTATGAAGCTGAGTGGTCAGACCACAAGGGTCTTTTAGGCCAGGGATAGTTTGGTCTTCCCCGCAAAAACAACTGAAGCATCAGACAGGAGAGGGAAGTGGTCAGGTTTCACTTAATATTCACTCCTTTTTTTTTGAGACAGTCTTTTTTTTTTTTTTTTTGAGACAGAGTCTCGCTGTCGCCCAGGCTGGAGTGCAATGGTGCTATCTCAGCTCACTGCAGGCTCCGCTCTGCCCCCCTCCCCGGTTCACACCATTCTCCTGCCTCAGCCTCCCGAGTAGCTGGGACTACAGGCACCCGCCACCTCACCTGGCTAATTTTTTGTATTTTAATAGAGATGGGGTTTCACCGTGTTAGCCAGGACGGTCTCGATCTCTTGACCTTGTGATCTGTCCACCTCGGCCTCCCAAAGTGCTGGGATTACAGGCGTTGAGTCTTGCTCTGTCACCCAGGCTGGAGTTCAGTGGCACAATCTCCATGCACTACAGCCTCCTCCTCCCGGGCTCAAGCAATTCTCGTGCGTCAGCCTCCCAAGTAGCTGGGACTACATGCACACACCACTAAGCCTGGCTAATTTTTGTATCTTTAGTAGAGATGGGGTTTCACCCTTTTGGCCAGGCTGGTCTCGAACTCGTGACCTCAGGTGATCCACTTGGGATTACAGGCGTGAGCCACTGTGCCAGGCCAACTTAATACTCACTCCTATTGTGTGCCAAGCCAAATCTCAAGAGTGGCTGAGCTCTTCTGGGAATGGGGAACACAGCAATAAGCGAAACAGACATTCTGGAGGTGGCCAGTCTAACGTCAGGACTGCTCTGAGGGTTACAGAGACTTCCCTTTTTCTTGCTAACACCGGATCGGCACTGGGAGGCCACACCAAACGACACAGTATGCTACAACAAACAGAAGCCCTTGGGATCCCACCAATGATTATCCTCAAGAAAAGATTAATGAATATACTCCTGAGGAAATGAGCCTCTTGTCTTGACATACTTCCAAGCCCAGATTTTACCAGGATGACCAGCTGTGCCCCCCAACCCAGGGTCCCTCACCCCAGACAAAAGGCCAGTTACTCACGATCTTTTCATAATACTCCCGTCTCCGCTCCGCCCTCTTCTTGTAGTCGACCATCATGCCTCGAAGCTTCCGCTCATGCTTCCGAGCCTCGTGCCACATTGTGGTGAGGCCAAGCCTGGGGCCTCAACCTGAGGGATGAAGGGACCAGGAAAGTCAGATGGTCTGTGAAACCCGTATGGGCAGAATCAAAGTCATCTAACAAGTTGGTGGCAGAGTCGATCCCAAACAACACATCTCTTAGCTTCAGGGAGCAGAAGTGAAGCTGCAGAACAGTATGCCAGATGTTCAAGTCCATCCCTAACAACTTCGATCTAGAAGCTTGGGCATTCTGAAAAACCCTCAGGTGATTCTGAGGTGAGCATCACTGGGAAAGGGGTGTCCTAGATTCCACGCGCTGGAGTCGGGAATGAAAGGTTTTGAAACATCAGCAGTGTTTGAAGTAGGGTCAGAAGGCAAACCCTGAGCACTTAAGGCTGGAGCTCAAGAGAAAGAGAAGAACTGAAAAGGCTCCCACTAGGGGCCATGCGTGGGGTTGGGTATGAGTCTGGGTGGTAGAGGGATAAGGAGAATAAGGATGAAGGCAGGTGGAGGAAATCGGAGAAAGCTTTTAAGGGAACAGTGCAGTTGTATGAAGGTGGAGGTCGAGGACAGGTGAAGGGCGTGGCGGAAGATGAAGATGCTAGAGGGAGTGGGAACACGGGGAGGGAGTGTTGCAAGGAGACCAGAGTGAAGCTGAGGTCTAAAGATGGGATCTAGATGGCGGGGTGGGGAGAGCATCCAAAGAAAAAGAGCGTAGAGCCTGAGAGAGGCGGAGCTGGCTGACAGGAGGGCGTGGGCTGAGCTTGGGGGCAGGGCTTGCGGGAAAGGGCGGAGACCGAAGGTTTGGACGGGGCTTGTGGATCGCGTCGCGGCCTGAGGATTTGGGCTGGGTTTTTTTTTTGTTGTTTTTTTTTTTGACAAGGGGGCGGGGCCTGTGATAAGCTGCTGGGCCGAAGGCCGAGTTCGACGCGGCAACTTCTGGCCCACAGCCGGGGCACGGGCTCGGCCTGAGGCCCGTCAGGCCTAATGGGGTGAGGGACGAGCGATCCTCGGGGCCGGGACGCAGCAGAAGCCCACAGCAGCATGGGGAGAGCCTGAGGAAAGGGAGAAGCTGGGCTGAGGCCTGCCCGAAAACCGGGAGGTCGAGCCGCAGCCTGCACTCACCGGCTGGTCGCCGCCTCCCACCGCTGCGCTCGCGCGCGGCCCGCACCGGAAGCGGAAATGAAAGGCCGCGCTAGGGGGAGGGGGCGGAGCATGGTGGAGGGCCGCGCAGCGCACTTCCGCCGACGAGAGAGGCGGGTCCTAGAGTCGAGAGGGGCGGGATCCCGAGGAAGAAGTGGGAGAGCGGAGAAGGGAAGAGCTTGGATGCTTTATCTTTTTATCTTTTTTATTTTATTTATTTATTTAATTTTATTTTTTTGAGACGGAGTCTCTCTTTGTCTCCCAGGCTAGAAGGCAGTGGCGCGATCTAGGCTCACTGCAACCTTTGCCTCCTGGGTTTCAGCTATTCTCCCACCTCAGCCTCCCGAGTAGCTGGGACTACAAGCGCGCGCCACCAAGCCCGGCTAATTTTTGTATTTTTAGTAGAGATGGGGTTTCACCATTTTGGTTAGGCTGGTCTCAAACTCCTGACCTCAGGTGATCCACCTGCCTCGGCCTCCCAAAGTGCTGGGATTACAGCCATGAGCCACCATGCCCGGTCTCATTTTTTATTTTCATTTTCATTTTTTATTTTTTTGAGACACAGCCTCGCGCTGTCGCCCAAGCTGGAGTGCAGTGGTGCGGTCTTGGCTCACTGCAACGTCCACCTCCTGGGCTCAAGCGATCCTCCCACCTCAGCCTCTAGAGTAGCTGGGATTACAGGCGCGCAGCACCACGCCCGGCTAATTTTTGTATTTTTTGTAGAGACTAGGTTTCGTCATGTTGCCCAGGCTGGTCTCAAACTCGTGAGCTCAAGCGATCCTCCTGCTTTGGCCTCCCAAAGTGCTGGGATGACAGGCCTGAGCCCCCAGCCTGGAGGCTTTCTTTGCTACTAAGGGACTAGGGCGTTTCCCAAGCCCAGAACAGACGAAACCCCGGAGGCTCAAAAACTCATCTTTATTGGGAAGACTCTGAACAACCAACCTACCCCCCACCTTCAAGTCTGGGGAGGGAGGGCCAGGAATCTGCCCCCTCCTCCCATATGTACAATCTTTTCCGAATCCTACTGGAGAAGGTGCCCCCACATGTGGGGACAGAGGCAGCTGTAACAAGCTAGTGCACGGGAGCCATGTCCCTTTTCCTCTCCGGACTCAGTTTCCTCATCTGTAAAATGGGCTCAAGGGGAAACCCGTGCAACGGAGCTTCTCGCCAAGGCTGAATATGTCCACTTCAGAAGCATGAGGAAGGGCCAAGGGGATGGGGGTGCTAGACATCCTGGTTGGGATTGCACGGCTCCTCCACCTCCCTCCCCACCCAGTGCCCCTCCTCTGGCATCGCGGGGCTACGTGGCTTCAGGCCCCGGGGATAGGAGGCCGCCCCCAAAGGCCGCCTCGCGGTAATGATTGGGGAACATGTTGCTGCCCACAAGGCTGGCGGTGCCTCCATCCCCGGGGCCCGGGGCCTGGTACGAGTCCAGTGTCAGTGGTTCAGGGCCGGGGGTCTCCCCAACCACGGCCCCGGCACCTCCGCTGCACACAACAGCGCTAGCGTGTGGCGGTGCCGGGGGCAGCAGGTCCAGCATGGTGAAGAGTGTGGGGGCCGTAGGGTCGTAGGCAAAGCCATCGTCCAGGAGGTCAGGCCCGCCAGGGGGCTCCAGGCCGGGCAGGGACACGGTGCCAGAGAAGAAGTCAGGGTCTGGCAGCAGGGCTGACGGCGGGAGGAACGGGCCTACGGGGATGAAGACAAGAGAAGTGTAGTGTGATTTAGGGCTAACTTCTGATCAGGCCCTAAATCAAATGCCCTACTCCCTGCAAAATGTGATATCAAGGTGGCCTTTTTTTTTTTTTTTCTGAGATGGAGTCTCATTCTGTCACCCTGGCTGGAGTGCAATGACGTGCTCTTGGCTCACTGCAACCTCTGCCTCCCCAGTTCAAGTTGATTCCCCTGCCTCAGTCTCCTGAGTAGCTGGAACTACAGGCCAGGCATGTGCCATGCCCAGCTAATTCTTATCTTTTTAGTAGAGACGGGGTTTCACCATGTTTGCCAGGCTGGTCTCGAACTCCTGACCTCAGGTGATCCACCTGCTTCGGCCTCCCAAAGTGCTGGGATTACAGGTGTGAGCCACCAAGCCTGGCCTTAGGTGCCCTCTTAATCCCAAGGAGAATCCGTGTGGGACTATCACCATTCTCAGATAATAAGTAAATTGAAGGCCAAGCGTGGTGGTTCACACCTGTAATCCCAGCACAACGTGACGAGACCCTGTCTCTACAAAAAAATTATTTAAAAGTTAGCTGGGTGTGGTGGTGCCCGCCTGTAGTCCCAGCTACCTGGCAGTCTGAGGCAGGAGGATTGCTTGAGCCCAGTTTGAGGCTGCAGCGAAGTATGATCACACCACTGCACTCCAGCCTGGGCAACAGAGCAAGACCTTATCTCTAAAAATAATTAATAATAAGTAAACTAAGGCACTGAGGGAAAGTAAATGGAAGGCTCACACAGCTGTTGTGGAACTGGGGTTGAAACCATGCTCCTACACAGCTGTGGAGAGTTTTCCCTGAGAGTGAGAAAGGAGAAGAGGTTCCAAAGCCCCCCAACATACAGAGACAACCCAAAAAGTGAAATCTCCAGACCATGGGAGACACAAGTTGGGAAGTCACCAGTCCCAAAATTGTCAGAAAAAATAAATGTCATTCTCAGGCATAATGGGGACTTAAGAAAAAATAACAATCAAATCAAAAAGTTTCATTATAAGAGGGATTCTCAGGCCAGGCATGGTGGCTCACGCCTGTAATCCCAGCACTTTGGCAGGCCGAGGCGGGCAGATTACCTGAGGTCAGAAGTTCAAGACCAGCCCGGCCAACATGGCGAAACCCCTTCTCTCCCAAAAATACAAAAATTAGCAGGGCATGGTGGTGGGCACCTGTAATCCCAGCTACTCAGGAGGCTGAGGCAGGAGAATCACTTGAACCTGGGAGGTGGACATTGCAGTGAGCTGAGATTGTGCCACTGCACTCCAGCCTAGGCAACAGGGCAAGACTATCTCAAAAAAAAAGAGGGACTCTCTTTTTGGAACAAGACAAACCTTAGAGACACAAGGGACTATTTTCTAGCCTTCCTTGCAGCCTGATGTGATCATGTGACTAAGGTCTGCTAACTGGAACGTGGGCGTAATGGCTGGAGCTACAACAGCCACCTTGCACCATGAGTTGGCGAACTGAAAATGGCAGAAGCCTCGGTCTCTCGATGATCATGCAGTCACCAGACCATCCCTGGAACACCTACCTATGGACTGTTTTTTGTTTCTTGTTTTTGAGACGGAGTCTTGCTCTGTTGACAGGCTGGAACACAGTGGCACCATCTTGGCTCACTGCAGCCTCCACCTTTTGGGTTCAAATGATTCTCCTGCCTCAGCCTCCCAAGTAGCTGGGACTACAGGCATGTGCCACCACATCCAGCTAATTTTTGTGTTTTTAGTAGAGATGGAGTTTCACCATGTTGGCCAGGATGGTCTCTCTCTCTTCACCTCGTGATCTACCTGCCTTGGCCTCCCAAAGTGCTGGGATTACAGGCGTAAGCCACAGTGCCAGGCCTGTTTTGTTGTTGTTGTTGTTGTTGTTTTGAGAAGGGTCTCATTCTGTTGCTCAGGCTAAAGTGCAGTGGTGCAATCTTGGCTCACTGCAACCTTCACCTCCTGGGTTCAAGTGATTTGTCTGCCTCAGCCTCCAAGTAGCTGGGACTACAGGTGTGCACCACCACACTCGGCTAATTTTTGTATTTTTAGTAGAAACAGGGTTTTACCACGTTGGCCAGGCTGGTCTCAAACTCCTGGACTGAAGCAGTCCACCTGCCTCAGCCTCCCAAAGTGCTGAGATTACAGGCATGAGCCACTTTCAGTCCCTACAGACTATGTATGTGAGACAAGAAATAACGTTCTATCCTGTTGAAGCCCCTGTTATTTTGGGTTTTGCTGTAAATGCAGTTAAATGTGATCATAGGTGGGATGCAGTGGCTCATGCCTGTAATCCCAGCACTTTGGGAGGCTGAGGCAAGCAGATCACCTGAGGTCAGGAGTTCAGGACCAGCCTGGCCAATGTGGTAAAACACCGTCTCTACTAAAAAATACAAAAATTAGCCAGGTGTGGTGGTGTATGCCTTTAGTCCCAGCTACTTGGGAGCCTGAAGCAGGAGAATCGCTTGAACTCAGGAGGCAGAAGTTGCAGTGAGCTGAGATCATGCCACTGCACTGCAGTCTGGGCGACAGAGCGAGACTCCATCTCCAAAAAAAAAAAAAAAGAAAGAAGAAATAGATCAAATTTTAAAACACCACTGAGCTAAGTATGTACTGGGCCTTTTCAAAGGAGTCCCTGAGGCTCTGAGAGGTAGAACAACTTAATGAAGTTCACATAGCAAGGAAATGGCCCAGAAGAGATCAGAACTTCCATTCTGTCTCCAAAGCCCTCATTCTTTCTACTCTATGTTGCTGGCTAAGTGCTGAGTGACTCGCCTTGTGGCTGCTCTTGGAGGGCGTGAAGAGGCCAGAAAAGCAGGGCTGCCACTTACCCTCTGCCCACCCAGGGGACAGGGGCTTATGTGTAGCTGGGACCCACCTGAGCCGTGGTTGGGCAGGAAGTGGTCCAGGATGGCCGGCTTTTTCTTCCGCCGTTTGCTCTCGATGCCATGGGGGTCTGAGGGAAGGCAGAGATGAGGACCCCTGTTCCCCGACAGCCCTTCCTCCCCAGCCTGGGGTGGGACAGGGCAGTGGGGTCAGCTGTCCCCTCCCCAGAACCTGGGGATGGGGGTGGAAAGGGGCAGAGGGCACACACCAGAGCTGTTCAGCTCCCCAAGGACGTCGGGCATCCCCCGTTTCCGCTTCTTGTCCACGCCGTAGCTGTCTGTTAAGGAGATACCAGGGACACACAAGAAGTAATTCATCAATAATAATTAATTCCTTTATTTATTTATTTATTTATTTATTTTTAGAGACAGTCTTGCTCTGTTGACCAGGCTGGAGTGCAGTGGCACGGTCTTGGCTCACTGCAACCTCTGCCTGCCAGGTTCAAGTGATTCTCCTGCCTCAGCTTCCCAAGTAGGAGGGATTACAGGTGTGCGCCACCACGCCCAGCTAATTTTTGTATTTTTTTAGTAGAGATGGGATTTCACTATATGTTGGCCAGTCTGGTCTTGAACTCCTGACCTCAAGTGATCTGCCTGCCTTGGCCTCCCGAAGTGTTGGGATTACAGGTGTGAGCTGCTGTGCCAGGCCTATTTTTTTTTTTTTTAAAGATGGAGTCTTGGCTGGGCGTGGTGGCTCACTCCTGCAATCCCAGCACTTTGGGAGGCTGAAGTGGGCGGATCACCTGAGGTCAGGAGTCCGAGACCAGCCTGACCAACACGGCGAAACCCGGTCTCTACTAAAAATACTAAAATTAGCCGGGCATGGTGGCGGGTGCCTGTAGTGAGTCTTGCTCTGTTGCCCAGGCTGGAGTGCAATGGCACAATCTTGGCTCACTGCAACCTCTGCCTCCCGGGTTCAAGCAATTCTCCTGCCTCAGCCTCCCGAGTAGCTGGGACTATAGGCGCCCACCACCACGCCCGGCTAATTTTTGTATTTTTAGTAGAGACGGGGTTTCGCCATGTTGTTCAGGCTGGTCTCGAACTCCTAACCTCAGGTGATCCGCCTGCCTCAGCCTCCCACAGTGCTGTGATTACAGGCATGAGCCACTGCGCCCGGCCTACACACTGGCCTCTTTGTTGTTCCTGGAGCACCCCAGGCACAATCCGGCCTCAGGACCTTTGCACCTGCTGTTCCAGCTGTTTAAAGCACTCTTCCTCCACTCTCACTATTTCCCTAGAAAACTTCCCTGCTTAGTCATCCTCCTGTCCTCAGCTCAGCTGTCCCCTCCTCCAAGAAGCATTCCCTGACACCTACAGCTGGGTCAGGTACCCCCTCTGGGCAATGTGAGCCCTTGAGCACTTCATTCCAGTCCTGCCCACTCTGGTCATCACTCTGTAGGGACAGGCTGTCCCCTATCCTCAGGACTATAAGCCTCATGAGGACACAGCTAGGGGCCGTGCTGGTCACTGCTGTGTCTCTAGCAATACCGAGCACAGGCCCGGGCATGTGCAGGATGCTGAGGGGAGGAAAGATTAAATACTCTCCAAATGTCACAGGACAGCTACTATTATTTCCATTTTGCACAGAAGAATGAGGCTCAGAGAGGCCAAGGTCACACAACCAGTAAGCAGCAGAGCCAGGATCTGAACACTGTCTTTGTAGCTCTGAGCCTGCATTCTAGTTCTGCCTCTTTCCCATCCCCACTGGGGTCTCCCCAAGGCCAAAGACCTAGTCTCCGAGGTGGTGGGTCACCCTGGGTTGCTGTAGTTACCATGGTCGCGAGGCAGGTACGTGAAAGGCAATGGCTCGCTGCAGACCCCATCGGTGAGCCGCTGCAGGAAGACGTTGACTGTCACGGGCTCGACAATCTCCAGGTCCTCGTAGGGCGGCGTCTTGAACACAATGGCAATCTGGCGGTGCACGTCGGCCTGGGAGAAGTCAGCCCGACCTTCCCAGGAGGCCCTGCTGAACACCACTGATATGTCCTCTGGCAGGAAACGGGGGACATCAGCTAAGCCAGGACATCTGGACCACTGTGCTCCCAACTTGCCCAGCCTCCCCTAAAATCAAGACTAATATTCCCCCTTTTTAAAATTTTTTTTTTTTGAGAGTCTTGCTCTGTTGCCCAGGCTGGAGTGCAATGGCGCGATCTCAGCTCACTGCAACCTCTGCCTCCCGGGTTCAAGCAATTCTCCTGCCTCAGCCTCCGGAATAGCTGGGATTACAGGCATATGCCACCACGCCCGGCTAATTTTATTTTTGGTTTTTTTTTGTTTGTGTGTTTTTGAGATGGAGTCTCACTCTGCCTCCAGGCTGAAGTGCAGTGGCATGATCTCGGCTCACTGCAACCTCCAACTCCCTGGTTCAAGTAATTCTCCTGCCTCAGTCTCCCGAGTAGCTGGGATTATAGGCATGTGCAACCACGCCCAGCTAATGTTTGTATTTTTAATAGAGACGGGGTTTCACCACGTTGGCCAGGATGGTCTCGCTCTCCTGACCTCGTGATCTGCCCGCCTTGGCCTCCCAAAGTGCTGGGATTACAGATGTAAGCCACCAAACCCGGCCTTGTTTTATGTATTTTTATATATATTATCTCATTTAATCCTTATAACAATTTAAGAGGTAGGTAGAATTAATATCCCCCTTGCCAGGCACGGTGGCTCACGCCCATAATCCCAGCACTTTGGGAGGCCGAGGCAGGCGGATCACGAGGTCAGGAGATCGAGACTACCCCGGCTAACATGGTGAAACCCCGTCTCTACTAAAAATACAAAAAAATTAGCCGGGCATGGTGGCAGGCGCCTGTAGTCCCAGCTACTCAGGAGGCTGAGGCAGGAGAATGGCGTGAACCCGGGAGGCGGAGCTTGCAGTGAGCCAAGATCGCACCACTGCACTCCAGCCTGGGGGACAGAGCAAGACTCCGCCTCAAACAAACAAACAAAAGAATTAATATCCCCCTCATGTCCAGGGATCCTCAAGATCACCCTCAGGTGGTTCAGTAAGAGGACTCACAAGACAGCATACAGTCATACTCACAGCTATGATCTGTTATGGCAAAAGGATACCAGGCACAGTCAGCAGAGAAAAAAGGTGCCTGTCCAGGCATAGTGGCCCACACCTGTAATCCCAGCCCTTTGGGAGGCTAAAGCTGGCAGATCACTTGAGGCCAGGAGTTCAAGACCAGACTGGCCAACACAGCAAGACCTTGTCTCTACAAGAAAATTAAAAAATTAGCCAGGCATGGTGGCGCACGCCTGTGGTCCCAGCTATTTAAGAGACAGAGCGAGAGCCTGGTTCTTAAAAAAAAAAACAAAAACGGAAACTGAGGCTTGAAAGTGTTGAGACATCACACAACTGGTAGCGGAAGAGTCAGGATTCATGATGCTACTCTGCCTGCTATTTATTTTTCTTGTCTTACTGCATCGCCCGTCATCACAGTACCTCCATGTACTGAGACTTTATATGTGTCAGTTACATATAGATTGCCTCTAAGTCACACAACAACTCTATGAAGAAGGTACTATTAGGTACCGTATTGTATAAAGACGAAAATGAAGGCACAGAGAGGTGAAGTCACTTGTCCAAGGTCACACAGCTGGCAAGTGTTAGAGCCAAGATGGAAACCCAGGAAGGCTAGAACTCTTCACTACCAACTCTGTTATAACTTGGGGAAGTTACTAGATATCTCTGGAACCAGTTTCTTCACTTTACTTTATTCTATTTTGAGACAGAGTCTCGCTCTATTGCCCAGGCTGCAGTGCGGTGGCACCATCATAGCTCACTGTAACCTCCAACTCCTGCACTTAAGCAATCCTCCTACCTCAGCCTCCCAAGTGCTGGGACTACAGGCACATGCCCCAACATGCCTGGCTATTTTATTTCATTTTTTGAGACAGAGTCTCACTGTGTTGCCCAGGCTGGTGTGCAATGGCATGATCTCGGCTCACTGCAACCTCTGCCTCCCAGGTTCAAGTGATTCTCGTGCCTCAGCCTCCCAAGTAGCTGGAATTACAGGTGTGTTCCACCACACCCAGCTAATTTTTATATTTTTAGTAGAGACAGGGTTTCACCATGTTGGCCATGCTGGTTTTGAACTCCTGACCATAAGTGATTCGCCCACCTTGGCCTCCCAAAGTATTGGGATTACAGGTGTGAGCCACCACAGCCGGCCTAATGCCTGGCTATTTTTTAATTAAAAAGAACTTTTTTTTGTAGAGATGGGGGCTTGCTATGTTGCCCAGACTGGACTCAAACTCCTGGGCTCAAGTGATCCTCCCACCTCAGCCTCCCAAAGTGCTAGAATTACAGGCATGAGCCACCAGCCCAGCCGGTTTGTTTTTGGTTTTGATTTTTTGAGACAGGGTCTGTCTCTGTCGCCCTGGCTGGAGAGCAGTGGTGCAATCTTGGCTCACTGCAGCCTCCGCCTCCCGGGCTCAAGTGATCCTCCCACCTCAGCCTCTCAAGTAACTGGGACTACAGGTGCACACTACCACACCTGCTAAATTTTTTATTTTTTGTAGAGACAGGGTTTCACCATGTTGCCCAGGCTGGTCTCGAACTCCTGAGTTCAAGTGATCTGCCCGCCTCAGCCTCCAAAACTGTGCTAGGATTACAGGCATGAGCTGCTGTGCCCAGCTGTCTTTTTCTTTTCTTTCTTTTTTTCTTTTTTTTGAGACAGAGCTTTGCTCTGTGGCCCAGGCTGGAGTGCAGAGGCGTGATCTCGGCTCACTGAAACCTCTGCCTCCCAGGTTCAAGCGATTCTCCTGCCTCAGCCTCCCGAGTAGCTGGGATTACAGGTGTATGCCACCACAACCAGCTCATTTTTGTGTTTTTTAGTAGAGATGGGGTTTCACCATGTTGGGAGGCTGGTGTCGAACTCCTGACCTCAGGTGATCCGCCCACCTTGGCCTCCCAAAGTGCTGGGATTGCAGGCATGAGCCACTGCGCCCAGCCCTCATTTTTGTATTTTTAGTAGATATGGGTTTTCACCATGTTGCCCAGGCTGGTCTCGAACTCCTGAGCTCAAGTGATCCACCCACCTCAGCCTCCCAAATTGCTGGGATTACAGGCTTGAGCCACGGTGACCAGCTGTCTTTTTTTTTTAAAAGCCTGTTTGAGGAAGGGCCATTTGAACAGAGATGAATGAAGTGGAGTTGCTTCTCCTGTCCTATTTGCTTTACCCATAGCGCTTATCAGAACCACCGTAAAGCGTTCATTTATGCAATTCCACCCTTAACATCAGAGTCCTCTGGACATGTCGTGAGCTCTGTGATGGCACCGCCTAGCTTGCAGCATGGGTCACCACAGACGAGTCTCTGTCGTCCTACGCAGACGGGTGAGAAGGCGACTCAGGGAGTGAATGAACCCATCAGCTGTGTCTGACTGCAAAGACAGTGTTCTGGACCCTTGCACTCTGGTGCCCTGGTTAACCAGCTCTTTCTCATCCTTTCATCTTCCCGGGCTCCCTGGCTACCCCTCCAAGTTGCCAGACCCCGCTCTGCCCAAGCTTGCTGCCCCAGGCCCCTCACCTTTCTGCACCTTGTCGCAGAGCAAGTAGAGCTCCTCGCCACCGGTGCACGGCCCGCTTTCCTTGTTAATTCGGCAAATCCGCAGCTCTGATGTGTTTGTGGATTCTGGGAAGGAGCAAGAGGAAGAAGTGTATTAAAAAAAATCCCGAGAATTCAGTCACCAAAGCCTTACTGGGCACCCAGTGGGTGCCATCCCCGGGGCCCTGGAGACGTAGGGAATTGAAAAGGCAGGGCATCTGATCCTCATGGAACCCATAGTCCAGGTGGAGAAAGAAGTCACTCGGACAGAAGGGGTTAACGAACAATCGCCAGCCCTCAAGCTGAAGCCCGGTGAGTGTCTGTCCAAAACGAAGATCTTTTGCCGGGCATGGTGGCTCACGCCTGTAATCCCAGCTCTTTGGGAGGCCGAGGCAGGTGGATCACTTGAGGTCAGGAGTTTGAGACCAGCCTGGCCAACATGGTGAAACCCTGACTCTACTAAAAATACAAAAATTAGCTGGGTGTGGTCCCAGTTACTCAGGAGGCTGAGGCAGAAGAATCACTTGAACCCAGGAGACAGGGGTTGCAGGGAGCTGAGATTGCACCACTGCACTCCATCGTGACAGAGGAAAACTCCGTCTCAAAACAAAAAACAAACAAACAAAAAAATAACAAAACAAAAGAAGATCCTTTGCTAGGCAAGGTAGCTCACACCTGTAATCCCAGCACTTTTGGGGGCCCAGCCAGGAAGATCACGTGAGGCCAGAAGTTCAAGACCAGCCTGGGCAACATAGCAGACCCCCATCTCTCTCAAAAAAGAAAAAAAAAATTGCCAGGCATGATGGCTCACACCTGTAATGCCAGCACTTGAGGGGCCGAGGAGGGAGGATCGTTTGAGCCCAGGAGTTCTGGACCAGCCTGGGTAACATGGTGAGACTCTAGCTCTACAAAGTTTTAAAAATAAAACTTAGCCAGGTGTGGTGGCACATGCCTGTAGTCTCAGCTACTTGTGAGGCTGAACTGGGAGGATCACTTGAGCCCAGGAGTTCAGGCTGCAGTAAGCTATGACTGCACCACTGCATGACTGCCTAGGCAACAGAGTGAGACCCTATCTCTAAAAAAAAATAATAAAAATAATTTTTAAAAAATGTTTAAGGGAGACCCTCAGACCTCAGGGAGAGTTGATGGGGTCCCAGGTGAGAGAAGGTTCCTTGAGGAGAGTTTGATAGACTGTAATCATGTAGTGGACACCTGTTGTTTTCCCCATCTAGTAGTCCTGACCCCTCTTCTTTTAACAGCCTCCAATTTTCCCTCAAGGGACCACCCCTCATCTTAGTAACTGGGATTGGGCAGGGCTGAGCCCACTTCCTAGCTCAGCAGTAATTGAGCGCATGCCCCAGACCTGGCCAATCAGAGCAGTGCATCCCTCTGGCCAAAGCTGATTTGTCAAAAAGGAGCAAATGACCAAAACCAGGCCAATGAGAGATAGACCTGAGACTTTAAGCAAAGCTATTAGGTAAGAGAAGCTAAAAGCAGCTTTGGGAGTCGGGGAGAGGTGCCAGGCAGGTAGGATATAAGCATGGATTCTAACATGGAGGAAGAACAGCTGAGAGACAGAAAGAGACAGATATCTAATGACATCACTGAGGCCCTGGATGCAGCCAGACCTGAAGCACTATGCTACATCTGCATTTTTTCTCGTTAATAGAACAAATAGAATAACTTATTCTCTTTTTTCCCCCTTAAGCCTATTTAAGTAAGGATTCTTTTTTTTTTTTTTTGAGAAGGAGTCTCGCTCTGTTGCCCGGGCTGGAGTGCAGTGGTGCGATCTCGGCTCACTGCAAGCTCCGCCTCCAGGGTTCACGCCATTCTCCTGCCTCAGCCTCCTGAGTAGCTGGGACTACAGGCGCCCGCCACGACGCCCGGCTAATTTTTTTTTTGGATTTTTAGTAGAGACGGGGTTTCGCCATGTTAGCCAGGATGGTCTCGATCTCCTGACCTCGTGATCTGCCCACCTCGTCCTCCCAAAGTGCTGGGATTACAGGCGTAAGCCACCTCGCCCGGCTAAGTTGGGATTCTATCACTTGCATCCATAAATGCCCTGACTGAATTAATATCCCATTTTGATGCTTACAGCAGTCACTATGGGTTGGCTAAAACCTACCAGTTATTCCCAGTCCCCTCTTCTATGCCTGTATCCCTCTATAGAGGGTGAAAAATCTAAGCACTTGCTTTCCCAGACCACCCTGCAACTAGGAGTGGCCATGGGACCAAGCTCTGGCCACTGAAAAATAAGCAGAAGTCTACCAGGGTGATTCTGTGGAATATAATGCACTCTCTCAGAAAGGGAGAGAGATTATTACTTATGCTGCCTCTTCCCTTGGGCTGCCTGGTATAGTTGTACAGATTGTTCATTCTACAACACTAGAAGATTCCATTTTGGGTTTGATGTTTTTTTTTCTTGTTTTTTGAGACGGAGTCCCTCTCCATTGCCCAGGCTGGAGTGCAGTGGTGCAATCTCAGCTCACTGCAACCTCCGCCTCCCAGGTAGCAGGGATTACAGACGTGTGCCACCATGCCCAGCTAATTTTTGCATTTTTAGTAGAGACAGGATTTCACCACTTGCTCTGTTGCCCAGGCTGGACTGCAGTGGCATGATCACAGCTCACTGCAGCCTCAACCTCCTGGGCTCAAGCAATCTTCCCACCTCAGCCTCCAAAGTAGCTGGGACTACAGGTGCATGTCACCATGCCCAACTAATTTTTTTTTTTTGAGATGCAATCTCACTCTGTTGCACAGGCTGGAGCGCAGTGACGCGATCTCGGCTCACTGCAACCTCCGCCTCCCGGGTTCAAGCAATTCTTCTGCCTCAGCCTCCTGAGTAGCTGGGATTATAGTCGCCTGCCACTGCGCCCAGCTAATTTTTGTATTTTTAGTAGACAGGGTTTTGGCATGTTGGCCAGGCTGGTCTCAAACTCCTGACTTCTCAGGTGACCTGCCCGCCTTGGCCTCCCAAAGTGCTGGGATTACCGGCATGAGCCACCGTGCCTGGCCACCCAGCTAATTTTTAAATTTTTTATAGAGACAGGGTTTTGCCAAGTTGCCCAGGCTGGTCTTGAACTCCTGGGCTCAAGCAATCCTCCCACCTCGACCTCCCAAAGTGTTGGGATTACAGGCGTGAGCCACAGCGCCTGAGCCATTCATGCCTCTGTAAGCGGGACATTCTGACACCTGCAGCCAAGGGCAATCCTAACGGCCACAGCACTCTCAACTCACTCTTGTCATAGACGGGCTCGGAAAGCACAGGATCCATCCGGCGCATCTGTCCCTGCTGGTCCCGATATGAGGCCTGGAAGCAGATCCTCACCACATTCATGTCTACTTCCTGATGGTTCTTCAGGGACCCAGCTGTCGGGGGAGATATGGGGAGGCTGAGGGTGGGAAGTGGAGACCCTCTCTGGGGTACAGGGGAACGGGGAAGGGATGGGGCTGGAGGAGACGGTGGGGCCTGGAGTGGTGAGGGGACCAGGGTGAGCACGGAAGTCAAGGGGTTTGGGAGGACGGGATGGTCAGGTCAGGCAGGGGGTGCTCACCGTTGTAGGGGTCAATGCCCAGTTGAATCTTCCGCTCAATGGCAGCCTCAATCTCCTTCTTCCTCACACACTGGATGCCCAGGTTGTTAAAACTGAGGGGGTGACGGGGGAGGGAGAGGAGTGCTCGTGAGCAGGCAAGTGTGGCCCTAACCTGCAGGAGGGCTCTGGCAGATGCTGCTGTGGGGCTCAGGCTCTCAGGGGCTGACATCCCAGGCCCAGGGGTCCCAGCATTAGAAACGGTCTGGGGTTTAAACCTCTCAGAAGGCCAGCGCGGTGGCTCACACCTGTAATCCCAGCACTTTGGGAGGCCGAGGCAGGAGGATCACTTGAGGTCAGTAGTTCAAGACCAGCATGGCCAACATGGTGAAACCCTGTCTCTACTAAAAATACAAAAATTAGCAGACATAGTAGTGCATGCCTGTAATCCCAGCTACTCGGGAGGCTGAGGCAAAAGAATCACTTGAACCCGGGAGGCAGAGGTTGCAGTGAGCCGAGATTGTGCCACTGCACTCCAGCCTGGGCAACAGAGTTAGACACCATCTCAAACAATAAAAAATAAAATAAACCTTTTGGCCAGACGTGGTGGCTCACATCTGTAGAATCCCAGCACTTTGGGAGGCCAAGGTGGGCAGATCACGAGGTCAAGAGAGGGACACCATCCTGGCCAGCATGGTGAAGCCCTGTCTCTACTAAAAATACAAAAATTAGCTGGGTGTGGTGGCGCACACCTGTAATCCCAGCTACTCAGGAGGCTGAGGCAGGAGAATTGCTTGAGCCCGGGAGGTAGAGGTTGCAGAGAGATGAGATCATGCCACTGCACTTCAGCCTGGCGACAGAGCAAGAATCTGTCTCAAAAAATAAAAATAAGCATGTCAAAGGTTCTTGAGAAGATCCAGAACATGCCTTATCTTTACCATGTGAGAACACTGGCCAACTTCATCTTTAATAGGAAAACTTCAGGCCGGGCGTGGTGGCTCACGCCTGTAATCCCATCACTTTGGGAGGCCGATACGGGCAGATCAGGAGGTCAGGAGATCGAGACCACCTTGGCTAACACGGTGAAACCCCGCCTCTACTAAAAATACAAAAAAATTAGCCAGGCATGGTGGCGGGTGCCTGTAGTCCCAGCTACTCGGGAGGCTGAGGCAGGAGAATGGCGTGAGCCTGGGAGGCGGAGTTTGCAGTGAGCCGAGATCGCGCCACTGCACTCCAGCCTGGGCGACAAAGCGAGACTCCGTCTCAAAATAAATAAATAAATAAATAAAATAAGAAAACTTCAGGGCCAGGTGCGGTGGCTCACGCCTGTAATCCCAGCACTTTGGGAGGCCGAGGCGGGTGGGTCACAAGGTCAGAATTTTGAGATCAGCCTGACCAACGTGGTGAAACCCCGTCTCTACTAAAAATACAAAAATTGGAGGCCGAGGCGGGTGGGTCACAAGGTCAGAATTTTGAGATCAGCCTGACCAACGTGGTGAAACCCCGTCTCTACTAAAAATACAAAAATTAGCCAGGTGTGGTGGCTGGCGCCTGTAATCCCAGCTACCTGGGAGGCTGAGGCAGGAGAATCGTTTGAATCCAGGAGGCAGAGATTGCAGTGAGCAGAGATCGTGCCATTGCACTCCAGCCTGGGTGACAGAGTGAGACTCGGTCTCAAAAAAAAAAAAAAAAAAAAAAAAAAAAGAGGCTGGGCACAGTGGGCTCACACCTGTAATCCCAGCACTTTGGGAGGCCGAGGCGGGCGGATCACGAGGTCAGGAGATGGTAACCATCCTGGCTAACACGGCGAAACCCCGTCTGTACTAAAAATACAAAAAAAATAGCCGGGTGTGGTGGTGGGCGCCTGCAGTCCCAGCTACTTGCGAGGCTGAGGCAGGAGAATCACTTGAACCCAGGAGGCAGAGCTTGCAGTGAGCCGAGATCGCGCCACTGCATTCCAGCCTGGGCGACAGAGCGAGACTCTGTCTGAAAGAAAGAAAGAAAGAAGGACGGAAGGAAGGAAGGAAGGAAGGAAGGAAGGAAGGAAGGAAAGAAAACTGCAAATTAAACACCAATGAAGATGCCTTTGTTTTGGGGCACTCATCAAAATAGCAAAAATCAAAATGTTTCATAATACTCGGTGCTGGTGAGGTTGTGGAGAATCAGGTGCTCTCACCCATTACTGATGGGTCTGTAAATTGCATAACATGGCAGTATTCATTCATTCCACAAATATTTCCTGAGCACCTACTATGTGCCAGTTACTATGCCAGACACTCGGAATACAGCAGGGAATGTAAGAGACAAGATCTCTGCTCTCGGAACTTATATTTTCACTAAGTTTAAAAATTTCTAAAATTAAATCTTCCAGACCTGAGTGTGAGCAATACTCAGCCCTACCTCTGAAGTGCGTGCTGCCTTTAGGGCTCTACCCAAAGTCAGTGTAACACAGTGAAGTGTGTCACTACCTTTCTGTCTCTTTGCACTATGAAAAAATGCTCAAAGTTTTAGATGTAGCCACTGTATGTTGTGTAAGCATTTGTGGACATATGCAAAATAAAAGTTATACAGTGCTTCTGTTTTAAAAAGAAAGAAAAGGCCGGCACGGTGGCTCATGCCTGTAATCCCAGCACTTTGGGAGGCCGAGCTGGGAGGATCACCTAAGGTCAGCAGTTCGAGACCAGCCTGGTCAACATGGTGAAACCCCATTTCTACTAAAAATCCAAAAAATTCGCTGGGTGTAGTGTCGCATGCCTGTAATCTCAGCTACTCGGGAGTCTGGGGCAGGAGAATCACTTGAATCCGGGAGGTGGAGGTTGGAGTGAGCTGAGATCGAACCATTGCACTCCAGCTTGGGCAACAAGAGCAAAACTCCGTCCCAAAAAAAAAAAAAAAAAGATGAATTGTAAAGTAAGAGAAAGAACAGACCTTGCAGTTAAGTCAGGTCTGCAGTCAAATCCCAGCTCTGTCATCAATTATCTGTGCTCCTTACCCTCTCTGAGCCTCAGTTTCTTCCTCTACAAAATAGGGATAAAATGTATGTGAATATGTGTGTGGCAAGGCTCCAGGCCTAAGTGAGGCCCTCCACTGTCCCCAGGCCTGTCTCCCACCTAGAAGAGGCAGTGGGGAGGGTTTACCCAAGCTGCCCTCTGCTCTAAAGTTTCATGGGTGGCCTCCAGTCGCTTAGAATCTCCATGATCAAGGATGAGAGGTCGGAGGTCAGGGGGTGGGTACCTGTGCCGGGGGCTGACGTGAGGCCGGAGCCGCACCCTGCAGATGCCGTCGGTGCAGTCTTTCCCCACGAGGCTGTGGGGGTGGACTCGGTGAGGCCAGTCCTTCCACACCAGGCAGGCAGTCACCTCCACCTCCCGCAGCCCTCCACAATCCCGGAGCTGCAGGAAGAGAAGTCCTCTTTGGGGGTCCCATCACCGATGCCTGCGTCCATCCAAACTCCTTGGGGCCTTCCTTGGCAGCTCCCCAATCCTCTCCCCACTAGGGTCCTCTGTTGGGAGCTCCCCAACCTTCTCCCGCGACCAGGATGATGGAATGTGTTTGCTTAAGACCACTTTGGGCCGGGCGAGGTGGCTCACGCCTGCAATCCCAGCACGTTGGAAGGCCGAGGTGGGCGGATCACCTGAGGTCGGGAGTTCCAGACCAGCCTGGCTAACATGGTGAAACCCAGTCTCTACTGAAAATACAAAAATTAGCCCGGCATGGTGGCGCATGCCTGTAATCCCACCTGCTCGGGAGGCTGAGGCAGGAGAATCGCCTGAACCTGGGAGGCGGAGGATGCAGTGAGCCGAGTTCTTGACACTGCACTCCAGCCTGGGTGACAGAATATGACGGTCTCAAAAAAAAAAAAAAAAAAAAAGGCCACTTTGATATCCTAAACCAGAAGCTTCCAACTGATGAACTGGGGGGCCTCATATAATATCTGCCCTACAGGCTGCTTTTTTAGGCCACTCAGGCTTTTTTTTTTTTTTTTTTTGAGATGGAGTCTCGCTCTGTCGCCCAGGCTGGATCCGCTCACTGCAAGCTCTGCCTGCGGGTTCACGCCATTCTCCTGCCTCAGCCTCCCGAGTAGCTGAGACTACAAGTGCCCACCACCATGCCCGGCTAATTTTTTTCTATCTTTAGTAGAGATGGGGTTTCACCGTGTTCGCCAGGATGGTCTCGATCTCCTGACCTCGTGATCCGCCCGCCTCGGCCTCCCAAAGTGCTGGGATTACAGGCGTGAGTCACCGTGCCTGGCCTTTTTTAAATTTTTTTGTGACAGGGTCTCGCTGTATCACCTAAGCTAGAGTGCGGTGGCGGGAGATCTCAGCTCACTGCAACCTCCGCCTCCGGGCTCAAGGGATTCTCCTGCCGCAGCCTCCTGAGTAGCTGGGACTACAGGCGCACACTACCATGCCTGGCTAATTTTTGTGTTTTCAGTAGAGACGGAGTTTCGCTACATTGCCCAAGCTGGTCTCAAACTCCTGAACTCAAGCGATCTGCCTGCCTTGGCCTCCTAAAGCGCTGGGATGACAGGCATGAGCCACCACGTGAAAATTTCAGTGTCATGGAAGACTATAAAGATGGGTGCCATGGCCGGGTGCGGTGGCTCACGCCTGTAATCCCAGCACTTTGGGAGGCTGAGACGGGCAGATCATGAGGTCAGGAGATCGAGACCATCCTGGCTAACATGGTGAAACCCCATCTCTACTAAAAATACAAAAAATTAGCTGGGCGTGGTGGCGGGCACCTGTAGTCCCAGCTACTTGGGAGGCTGAGGCAGAAGAATGGCGTGAACCCGGGAGGCGGAGCTTGCAGTGAGCCAAGATCGCGCCACTGCACTCCAGCCTGGGCGACAGAGCGAGACTCCGTCTCAAAAAAAAAAAAAAAAAAAAAAGATGGGTGCCACATTTGGGGTTAAAAGACAACAAATGATGGGCCAGGCACAGTGGCTCACGCCTGTAATCCCAGTACTTTGGGAGGTTGAGGTGGGAGGACTGCTTGAGACCAGGAGTTCAAGACCAGCCTGGGCAACCCCGTCTCTATAAAAAATACAAAAATTAGCCAGGTGTGGTGACAGGCATCTATAATCCCAGCTACTCTGGAAGCTGAGGTGGGAGGATCACTTAAGCCTGAGACGTGGAAGTTGCAATGAGCCCAGATTGCGTCACTGCACTCCAGCCTGGGTGACAAAGTCCCTGTCTCAAAAAAGAAAAAAAAAAAAAGAGAGAGAGAGAAAGAGAATAAATCATGTATTGTGACCTGGGTGCCTGGGTGGTAGGTAGTTACACTGTGTAAACTACATATGTATACATTATATGTAAAAATTCAGAGCTTTAATCTTAACTATATATGATCAATTATATCTTAATTTTTTTAAAAAAGGAGAGAAGGGCTGCGCACAGTGGCTCACGCCTGTAATCCCGACGCTTTGGGAGGCCGAGGTGGGGGATCACCTGAGGTCGGGAGTTTGAGGAGGCCGAGGTGGGTGGATCACCTGAGGTTGGGAGTTTGAGGAGGCCGAGGTGGGTGGATCAACTGAGGTCGGGAGTTTGAGACCAGGCTGACCAACATGGAGAAACACCGTCTCTACTAAAAATACAAAATTAGCCGCACGTGGTGGCACATGCCTGTAGTCCCAGCTACTCGGGAGGCTGAGGCAGGAGAATCACTTGAACCCTGGAGATGGAGGTTGCGGTGGGCCCAGATCGTGCCATTGCACTCCAGCCTGGGTGACAAAGCAAGACTCCTTCTCAAAAAATAAATAAATACATAAATACATAAATAAAGAGAGAAGGAGAGAGACTAATGAGATAGGACAACCAAATGCAACATGATCCTTGGTTAAATCCTGGATTAAGGAGGAAGAAACAACTATAAAACACATTTTGGAAACAATTGGGAAATTGAAATATGGACTGTATATTACATGATTTGATGGGATTACTAATTTTCCTAGAGGTGATTAATGAGATTGTAGCTACAGAGGAGCTTATGATTAGGAGATACATCCTGAAGGAATTAGGGGTGAAGTAGCATGATGGCTACAATTCATTTGTAAATGAGTCATCAAAAAAACAATGTGTCGGCCAGGCGTGGTGGCTCACACCTGTAATCCCAGCACTTTTTGGAGGCCAGGGAAGGTGGGTTGCTTCAGCACAGGAGTTCAAGACCAGCCTGGGCAACATGTGCAGACCCCATCTCTACAAAAAATACAAAAATCAGCCAGGTGTGGTGGAATGCACCTGTAGTCCCAGGTACTCAGGAGGCTAAGATGGGAAAACTGCTTGAACCCTGGAGATCCGGGCTTCAGTGAGCTGTGATGGCGTCACTGTATTCCAGCCTGGGCAATAGAGCAAGACCCTGTCTCAAAACAAAACAAAAATGTATGTATCTGTGTGTGTGTATGTTTGGCTGTGCGGAGACAGAATGAGAGACACAGCAGATGTGGCAAAATGTCAACTGGTGAATATAGATGAAAGGCACTAGCTTTCAGCCGAGCGCGGTGGCTCACGCCTGTAATCTGGCGGGTGGATCACCTGAGGTCAGGAATTCGAGACCAGCCTGACCGACATGGAGAAACCCCGTCTCTACTAAAAATACAAAATTAGCAGGGCGTGGTGGCACATGTCTGTAATCCCAGCTACTCGGGAGGCTGAGGCAGGAGAATCGCTTGAACCTGGGAGGCACAAGTTGCAGTGAGCCGAGATCGCGCCATTGCACTACAGCCTGGGCAACAAGAGCGAAACTCTGTCTCAAAAAAAATTAAAAAAAAATAAATAAATAACAGGCACTCACCTTTCAAAGATACTCAGTGTATTATTTTTTAACTTTTCTGTAGGTTTAAATTCTTATTTATTTATTTTTTTGAGATGGAGTCTTGCTCTGTTGCCCAGGCTGGAGTGCAATGGCATGATCTCAGCTCACTGCAACCCCTGCCTCCCAGGTTCAAGCCATTCTCGTCTCTACCTTCTAAGTAGCTAAGATTACAGGTGCCTGCCACCATGCCTGGCTAATTTTTGTATTTTTATTTTATTTTACTTTTTTGAGATGGAGTCTCGCTCTGTTGGCCAGGCTGGGGTGCAGTGGCACGATCTCAGCTCACTGCACGCTCCACCTCCTGGGTTCACGCCATTCTCCTGCCTCAGCCTCTCGAGTAGCTGGGACTATAGGCGCCCGCCACCACACCTGGCTAATTTTTTGTATTTTTAGTAGAGACGGGGTTTCACCATGTTAGCCAGGATGGTCTCCACCTCCTGACCTTGTGATCTGCCTGCCTTAGTCTCCCAAAGTGCTGGGATTACAGGCCTGAGCCACCACGCTCGGCCAAGAATTTTTGTATTTTTAGTATAGATGGGGTTTCTCCATGTTGGCCAGGCTGGTCTCGAACTCCTGACCTCAGGTGATCCACCTGCCTCGGCCTCCCAAAATGCTGGGATTACAGGCGTGAGCCACCGCGCCTGGTCTCTAGGTTTAAATTCTTTTATCATCCAAACTAATCAAAAGGGCTGGGCACGGTGGTTCGTGCCTGCAATCCCAGCACTTTGGGAGGCTGAGGCGGGTGGATCACCTGAGGCCAGGAGTTCGAGACCAGCCTGGGCAACATGGCAAAACCCCCTCTCTACTAAAAATACAAAATTAGCCAGGCATGATGGTACAGGCCTGTAATCCTACCAACTCAGGAGGCTGAGGCAAGAGGACTGCTTGAACCTGAGAGGCAGAGATCGCACCATTGCACTCCAGCCTGGGCAACAAGAGCAAAACTCTGTCTCAAAAAAAAAAAAAAAGGAATAATAACAAATTCATCAAAATGTATACATTAAGTATGTGCAATTTTTCTTACATCAATTATACCTCAATAAAACTTAAAAAGAAAAACTAGACAGGAAAAAACTAAAACTTTTTTTTCCAAGTAAAAGATTAGGAAAAACTTGGAGCCCACAATTAAAATTATAAGACATCACATTATTTCGGATTTCCAGAATTGTTTTTTTTTTTTTTAGACAGATTCTCTCTGTTGCCCAGGCTGGAGTGCAGTGGTGCGATCCCAGCCTCCAGGGCCTCGAACTCCTAACCTCAGGTGGTCCGCCCACCTCGGCCTCCCCAGATTTTTCTTTTTTAAAAAAGGAAGATATAGCAAGTGAAGCCAGAATTTTTGCTCAGCAGCCACAGGCAGCAGCAAATAAAAACCAGCCCCGTTAGGCAGGGCCAGTCCCACTTGGCAGCTTTGAGTCACTGGCTCAGCCCTGCTGGCATTAAATACCTTCTGAAGCCTGCTCTGAACTTCTAAAGCCCAAGCCTATAAAATACCATTAACCATTGGTCTCAGTGGGGGAGTGCTGCCCCCTAGGGGAAAAATGGGATTTGGGGGGTGGCTGGTTGACACTGATGTGGACCCTACCGCAAGTAGACAGGACCAGTTATGCTGGACAGTTTATAATACCAGGGACAGTCCCGCACAGCCATCCCACAGCCAGCAAGCCTTCTGAACATCCTGCCAAAGATTCGAGTCAATAAGAAACCTGTTTAAAATGACCAGATCCCAGAAACTTGCTCTATTGTTGCTGAGTGGATTTGTTTGTTTGTTTGTTTGTTTGTTTTTAAGACAGGATCTCGCACAGGCTGGAGTGCAATGGCACGATCTCAGCTCACTGCAACCTCCGCCTCCCAGACTCAAGCAATACTTCCACTTTAGTCTCCCAAACATCTGGGCTTACAGGCATGCATCACACCTGGCCCTTGCTCTGTTTGACACCAATAATATTCTTTCCCATAATTGTTTTTCCTTTTTCTTTTTTGAGACGAGGTCTAACTCTGTCACCCAGGCTGGAGTTTCCCATAACTGTAATACCCACTGAATTTTCAAAGATTGCAACCAGCACACTAATTGTTTAGACCAAGAGTTGTTCGCCACTTTGGAAAATCCCCTCACCAACCGCAACCCTGCACGTGTGACATATAAGTCACTAAGTCTGCGCAGCTGGGTCAGGCTGCATTTGTGGCCACGGCATTAACAAGGAGCCTATATATAGTCACAAACAACTGCCACCTTCCTCATATATCCTGTGGGGCGTTTACATATTGAAATAAATGTGATTATATATGCTGTATTAATTTCCTTTTCTTTCTCTTTTATACTACAGTTTGGTGTAAAATATGGAGTTTTGGCCAGGCACGGTGGCTCACGCCTGTAATCCCAGCACTGTGGGAGGCTGAGGCAGGCAGATCACTTGAGGTCAGGAGTTCGAGACCAGCCTGGCCAACATGGTGAAACCCCGTCTCTACTAAAAACACAAAAATTAGCCGGGCCTGCTGGCAGGTGCCTGTAATCTCAGCTACCCGGGAGGCTGAGGCAGGAGAATCACTTGAACTCAGGAGGCGGAGGTTGCATGCCACTGCACTCCAGCCTGGGTGACAGAGCGAGACTGCATCTCAAAAAAAAAATAATAATAAAATAAAATAAAATATGGACTTTGGGAGTGACTGTGAATAGAGGTAGGTAATATTGTCTACAAATCTCACTGGGTCAGATAGGGTTAAAACCATTCATTTAACCAGCTCCCCGCTGTAATAGTAGGAGATTCTGAAAAGCTTAGAGTCAACAGTCTCGGACTCATGCAGACTCCAGGGCTGAAAGCTTTTCATCCTTGAGATGTCAGTTGGGACTGTGGAAAAAACATTAGACTTTAGTTGTTTCTTTTTTCTTTTTTTTTTTTGAGATAGCATCTTTCTCTGTCACCCAGACTGGAGTGCAGTGGTGTGACCATGGCTCACTGCAGCCTCCACTTCCCAGGCTCAAGCAATCCTCCCCATTCAGCCTCCCATGGTGCTGGGACCCCAGGCGCATGCCACCACGCCTGGCTAATTTTTTTATTTTTATAGAGACGGGCATCTTGCCATGTCACCTGGGCTGGTCTTGAACTCCTGGCCTCAAGTGATCCTCCTGCCTTAGTCTCCCAAGGTGCTGGGATCACAGGCATGAGCCACCATGCCTGGCCCATTAGGCTTTAGAATAAGTCCGACCTGGCACCAAATCCAGGCTCTACCACTGGCCATCTACAAGATAAACCTCTCGGGTCTTACTGTCTTTATGTGTAAAATAGGTATGCAAAGTACCTGGTACATGGAAGCACTCAGTAAATGGCGGTAATTACAATAGTAAACTTGCTGTGTGCCCTGTGCAGGTAACTGCCCCTCTTTTAACCTCAGTTTCCTACTCTGAAGATGGGGATAAACATCCTGAATCCAAGCCAGGCATGCTGGCTCATGCCTGTAATCCCAGCACTTTGGGAGGCCGAGGCAGGTGGATTACCTGAGGGCAGGAGTTTGACATCAGCCTGGCCAATGTGGTGAAACCCTGTCTCTACTAAAAATACAAAAATTAGCTGGGCATGGTGGTGCACACCTGTAATCCCAGCTACTTGGGAGGCTAAGACAGGAGAATCGCTTGAACCCAGGAGGCGGAAGTTGCAGTGAGCTGAGATCACACCACTGCACTCCAGCCTGGGCAACAGAGCAAGACTCCGTCTCAAAAAAAAAAAAAAAAATCCTGAATCCAGATTTGGAGACAGGTCATTCCCTATGGTTAGGCATTTACCATTCTAAATCTTGGAAATCAAAACCAACTCTGGGGTCCGAGCACGGTGGCTCACACCTGTAATCCCAGCACTTTGGGAGGCTGAGGCAGACAGATCACTTGGGGTCAGAAGTTCAAGACCAGCCTGGCCAACATGGTGAAACCCCATCTCTACTAAAAGTACAAAATATTAGCCGGACATCATGGCGCGTGCCTGTAATCCCAGCTACTTGGGAGGCTGAGGCAGGAGAATCGCTTGAACCCAGGAGGTGGAGGTTGCTGTGAGCTGAGATTGCACCATTGCACTCCAGCCTGGGTGACAGAGCAAGATTCCATCAAAAAAAAAACCAAAAAACAAAAAAAAACTCTGAGCCAGAATAACTGCCTGGGAAGACTTAGAAATTAGGCCGGTGCGGTGGCTCACACATGTAATTCCAACACTTTGGGAGGCCAAAGTGGGAGGATTGCTTGAGGCCAGAAGTTCAAGACCAGCCTGGACAACATGGTGAGATGCCAACTCTTCAAAAAAATACAAAAATTAGCCAGGCACGGTGGCATGCACCTGTAGTCCCAGCAACTCAGGAGGCTGAGGTGGGAGGGTCTCTTGAGCCTGGGAGGTGGAGGCTGCAGTGAGCCGTGCTTGTGCCACTTTACTCCAGCCTCTGTGACAGAGAGAGACCCTGTCTCCAAAAAAAAAAAAAAAAAAGCCTTAGAAATTAGAAGTTGGGGAATACAGTTAAACATGGGATGATACATCTCAGTATATCATCCCATAGATAACTTACCAATTCATTACAAAGGGAAAGTTGTATCTTTATCATGGAGAGACCTGATAGTCACCACATTAGCTGGAGGATCCAACTCAGCATCACCAATATTGGGAATAACGACATCCCACGTCCCTTGATGTGAGACACTGAGAAGGCCACAGCATCACTGCTGGAGTGTTTCTGCCAAAAATGCATAATCTGACCTAATCTGGAAACAGCCAACAAACCCAGAATGTGGGATATTCTTTTTTTCTTTTTCTTTTTCTTTTTTTTAGAAGGAGTTTTGCTCTTGTCGCTCAGGCCGGAGAGCAATGGCACGATCTTGGCTCACCGCAGCCTCTGCCTCCCGGATTCAAGTGATTCTTCTGCCTCAGCCTCCCGAGTAGCTGGGATTACAGGCATGCACCACCACGCCGCACTAATTTTGTATTTTCAGTAGACATGGGGTTTCTCCATGTTGGTCAGGGTGGTCTCGAACTCCCGACCTCAGGTGATCCGCCTGCCTCGGCCTCCCAAAGTGCTAGGATTACAGGCATGAGCCACCACGACCAGCTTCAGAATGTGGGACATTCTACAAAACATCCGTCCTGTTCTGCACAAATGTTCAACTCACGAAACACAAAGACAGATTGAAGAACAGATCCAGATTAACAGACACCAAAGAGGCCAGGCACAGTGGCTCACACCTGCAATCCCAGCACTCTGGAAGGCCAAGGCATGCGGATCACTTGAGGTCAGGGGTTTGAGACCAGCCTGGCCAACATGGCAAAACCCCTTCTCTACTAAGAAATACAAAAATTAGCCAGGCGTGGTGGTGGACCTGTAATCCCAGCTACTCGGGAGGCTGAGGCAGGAGAATCGCTTGAACCCGGGAGGTGGAGGTTGCAGTGAGGCGAGATCACACCACTGCACTCCAGCCTGGGCAACAGACCAAGACTCCGTCTCAAAAAAATAAAACTTACCTGTACCTTATTAATACATTAATACCCTGCCAAAAGTAATCACCTTTGCTTTTTTTACTTCCAGTGTTATATATATTTGTTTGTTTTTTAATGGAGGCAGGGTATTGCTCTGTTGCTCAGGCTGGAGTGCAGTGGTGCGATCTTGGCTCACTGTAGCCTTGACCTCCTAGGCTCAAGCGATCCTCCCACCTCAGCCCTACCATGTAGCTAGGACTACAGCCATGTGCCACCACACCTGGCTAATTTTTGTATTTTTTGTAGAGATGGGGTTTTGCCGTCTTGCCCAGGCTCATCTAGAACTCCTGAGCTCGAGTGATCCGCTCGCCTCGACCTCCCAAAGTGCTAGAATTACAAGCCTGAGCCACCGCACCACGATCTGCCTTCTTTTTTTTTTTTCTTTTTTTTTGAGACAAGGTCTCACTCTGTTACCCAGACTGCTATGCAATGGTGCAATCTCAGCTCACAGCAGCCTGCACCTCCCTGGGCTCAGCTAATCCTCCCACCTCGGCCTCCTAAATAGCTGGGATTGTGCCACCACACTCGGCTAATTTGTGTACTTTTAGTACAGATGGGGTTTCACCATGTTGGCCAGGCTGGTCTCGAACTCCTGACATCAAGGGATCCGCCCGCCTCAGACTCCCAAAGTACTGGGATTACAGGCGCGAGTCACCGTGCCCAGCCAAATGTCCGACCCCTCCTTTTTTCTGAACCTTTTGGATTCCAGGCCAGGTGATAGTATAATTAATATCTGGTCCAACAATAACAACAACAGCCACCATCAAATAAACGTATAAATGCATGTGGATGGCTCCGGGGTGCAGGGGAAGCCCCAGTCCCACCCGCCCGGGGCCGCTCGCCGGGCCCACCTCGATGGCGGGCAGCGTCTTGCTGGCCTCGGTGCTGCTCTCCCCAAGGATGCTGCCGGCCGAGCGGCCCTCGCACTCGTAGCGGAAGCGCATGCCGCGCTGCTTGGGCTGCTCCGTGATGACCAGGTGCGGCTGCGGGCCCGGGCCCGGCGCTGGGGACACTAGTCGGCCCAGGGGGCAGCCCCAAGGCGGCGGCGTGGCTGGGGGCGCCACAGGGCCCAGGGTGACCGTGCTCAGGGACGCAGCCCCGCGAGACACCAGGCGTGGCAGCCCCTCGCCCGGGCCCGGCTGTCCCCCGTCCAGGCCGAAGCCGTTCTCCTTGATGTACTCGTCGATGATCTCTGCGGGAGAAGAAAAAACGGGTGGTGACGCCCATTCTTTAAAAAATTAAAAAAAAAAAAAAAGGCTTGATTACCCCCGAGACGTTTTCCATCCCATTTATCTCTCTCTCTCTCTCTCTCTCTCTCTCTCTCTCTCTCACACACACACACACACACACACACACACACACACACACACAGAGTCAGGGAGGCCAGGTGCGGTGGCTCACGCCTGTAATCCCAACACCTTGGGAGGCCAAGGTGGGTGAATCAATTGAGGTCAGGAGTTCGAGACCAGCCTGGCCAACATAGTGAAACCCCGTCTCTACAAAAATTAGCCCGAATGGTCTCCCACGTCTGTAATCCCAGCTACTCAGGAGGCTGAGGCAGGAGAACAGCTTGAACCCAGGAGGCGGACACTGCAGTAAGTCAAGATCGTGACACTGCACGCCAGCCTGGGCGACAGAGTGAGACTCCGTCTCTCAATAAATAATAGGCTGGGCGCGGTGGCTCATGCCTGTAATCCCAGCATTTCGGGAGGCCGAGGCGGGCGGATCATGAGGTCAGGAGATCGAGACCATCCTGGCTAACACAGTGAAACCCTGTCTCTACTAAAAATACAAAAAATTAGCCAGGCATGGTGGCACGTGCCTGTAGTCCCAGCAACTCAGGAGGCTGAGGCAGGAGAATCGCTTGAAACCGTCAGGCGGAGGTTGCAGTGAGCCGAGATTGCGTCACTGCACTCCATCCTGCGCAACAGAGCAAGACTCCATCTCAAAAAATAATAATAATAAATAAATAAATAGGCTGGGCATGGTGGCTCACGCCTGTAATCCCAGCACTTTGGGAGGCCGAGGCAGGCGGATCACCTGAGGTCAGGAGTTTGAGACCTGCCTGGCGAACATGGTGAAACCCCATCTCCACTAAAAATATAAAAATTGGGCATGGTGATGTGTGCCTGCAGTTCCAGCTACTCGGGAGGCAGAGGCAGGAGAATCACTTAAACCTGGGAGGTGGAGGTTGCAGTGAGCCAAGATCATGCCATTGCACTCCAGCCTGGGCAACAAGAGCGAAATTCCATCTCTAAATAAATAGATAAATAAATACAAAAATGAGCCAGGTATGTTGGTGCATGCCTGTACTCCCAGCTACTCGGGAGGCTGAGGCAGGAGAATTGCTTGAACCTGGGAGGTGGAGGTTGCAGTGAGCTGAGACAGCACCACTGCACTCCAGCCTGGGCGACAGAGCGAGACTCTGTCTCAAAAAATAACTTAAATAAATAAATAAGAAAGAACTTGCTCCTCCAACTGCCTGTTCCACACGGTCCCCCATTCAACCCATGCTGGCTGCTTCTCCTCCTGGTCTCAGCTCGTATGTTATCTCTTCAGAAAAGCCTAACCTAATGTGTCTTCTCCAGGCCATCTCTCCCTCGTCCTGTTTATTTCTTTCACAGCTCTCAGCCCAGGCTAACATTATCTTGCTCATCTGTTCATTTTCCTCTGTCTCCCACACCGGGCTATCAGCTCTGCGAGGGCAGGGACTTGGTTTTGTTCATGGCTAAATCCCCAGGGCCTAAAACAGTGTCTGTCTGTACTCACTAGGGGATTAATAACATTATTTTATTTTAATTGGTTTTCTTTTTGAGACACGGTCTTGCTCTGCCGCCCAGGCTGCAGTGCAGTGGTGCAATCATAGCTCACTGCAGCCTCGGCTTCCAAGGCAACCTCCCAGGCTCAGGTGATCCTCCCACTTCAGCCTCCTGAGCAGCTGGGACTACAGGTGCGCACCACCATGCCCGGCTAATTTTTAAAAATTTTGTGTAGAGATGGGGGTCTCACTATGTTACCCAGGCTAGTCCTGAACTCCTGGCCTCAAGCAGTCCTCCTGCCTCTGCCTCCCAAAGTGCCAGGATTACAGGTGTGAGTCACACAGCCCCCGGCGTGCTGAGTGTTTTCCAAGTGTCAAGCACTGCTAAGTACCTTAGGAGCATGACTTCGTTCAAATCCCTCCACAGTCCTGGAAGTCACACAGTGACACCTCTCCCCCACCCCCACTGAACAAGGAAGGCCAAGACCCCCTTCTGTAGGCACTTGGGTCCCTCAGCCTCCCCGCAAACCTGCCCTGTGATACTCACCCAATTCATCTGTGGAAGGAAGAGAAAGAGAAAGAGAAAGGTAAGGTCCAGAAAGTGGTCACAACTTTTCATCTTTTAAGACAGATTCCCCAACCCTGTCCCTCCTGTGACCCTTCCGTCTTCCTCCGTCCTGGGAAACCCTGGGCTCTGACTTGCTGGGGCACTAAACCCCAAACCTCATCTTCTCCTCTGGGCTACCATCCTTTCAACCTCTAATGTTGGGGTCCCAGCATCAGGGTATCCTCCAACTAAGCCAAATGCCTCCCGAAAAACATTTAGACCAGGGATTATGAAGTCTTTTTGGGAACCCATTAGAAAGGGGTCTTAGCACCAGGAAAAAGTGGATGCCCAAATTTCCAAACAAATTGGGGTGTGTTCCCTCCCTGAAGTCCACCCCAGGGTCCTGGAGGTCACTGGCTGGTGTTTAAAGATACAAAGAGGTGGCCAGGCCTGGTGGCTCACGCCTGTAATCCCAGCACTTTGGGAGGCTGAGGTGGGCAGATCACTTGAGGTCAGGAGTTCGAGACCAGCCTGGCCAACATGGCGAAACCCCGTCTCTACTAAAAATACAAAAATTAGCTGGGTATCGTGGTGGGCACCTGTAATCCCAGCTACTCGGGAGGCTGAGGCAGGAGAATCGCTTGAACTCAGGAGGCAGAGGTTGCAGTGAGCTGAGATTGCGTCACTGCACTCCAGCCTGGACAACAGAGCGAGACTGTCTCAAAAACAAACAACAACAACAACAAAAAGATGCAAAGAGGCTGATCTGAACCCAGGCAGCCTCTTGCTCTGTACCCCAGCCCTGTCCTCCCACAGTGACCACCCAAAATCCCAGATTCACCCCTGCTTCCTAAGTGAGGAGGTACAGTAATGCTGGGTCCTCAGGGAAGCCCCTTTTCACCTCCCCAGGAAAGCTCAGCCCTTCACAGAATCGTGGAGGAATCGAAACCGACCTCCCGTCATTCCATAGACAGGACAAGGGGAAGCCCAGAGGCCGCCAGTGAGCCTTAGAATCACACAGCAACGGAAGGCAGCTGCAGCCAGGTGTCCCACCCAGGGCTGCCTGCGCTGGTCTCTGGCTGGGGATTTATAGACGCGAACCTGTTCCGCTGCTAGATCTGTCCTCCTCTGTTCTCAGGGAGTGGCTCCTGGCAGCCAGACCTTTGCCCCTTGAAAGGTAGTTTTCCTGCACCCCTTATCTCATGGGATCTGTGAAGCCAGTAGGGTGCCAAGGTCCCCCCAATTTGGCAGATGGGGATACTGAGGCTGGCAGAGAGGAAGGGACACGCTCTAGGTCAGTGGCAGGGCCAACCTCAAGTCACTTGAACTGGGAAAATCCTTCTTAGGCATCTGTGCTGGATGAACCTGGGGACCCAAAGACAGAGTTAGACTTTGGACCCTCCAGAGGCTCCCGGGCTGTAGGGGGAGACTGAGTCCTGGGCGGCTGTGGCTGGAGCTCTGGGTTCACTGCCTCTGTTCAAATCCTGGCTCTGCAACTTGCTAGTTGTGGGGCCATAAGCCTATTACTTCACCTTTTTGTGCCTTGGCTTCTTCATCTGTAAAATGGGCACAATAATAATGCCTACCTTGTTGGGCTAAGATACTTTTATTTAATATTTTATTTTATTTTATTTTATTTATTTTTATTTTTTTGAGACGGAGTCTTGCTCTGTCACCCAGGCTAGGGTGCAGTGGCACAATCTTGGCTCACTGCAACCTCTGCCTCCTGGGTTCAAGTGATTCTCCTGTCTCAGCCTCCCGAGTAGCTGAGATTACAGGTGCACACCACCACACCCGGCTTTTTTTTTTTTTTTTTTTTTTTGTATTTTTAGCAGAGACGGGGTTTTACTATGTTAGTCAGGCTAGTCTCGATCTCCTGACCTCATGATCCGCGCACCTCGGCCTCCTAAAGTGCTGGGATTACAGGCGTGAGCCACCACGCCCAGCCTATTTTCTATTTTTTGAGATGGAGTCTTGCTCTGTCACCCAGGCTGGAGTACAGTGTGGTGCATTCTTGGCTCACTGCAACCTCTGCCTCCCGGGTTCTAGCGATTCTCCTGCCTCAGCCTCCTGAGTAGCTGGGATTACAGTCTCGTACCACCATGCCCGGCTAATTTTTGTACTTTTAGTAGAGACGGGGTTTCACCATGTTGGCCAGGCTGGTCTCGAACTCCTGGCCTCAAGTGACCCACCCACCCCAGCCTCCCAAAGTGCTGGGATTACAGGTGTGAGCCACCACGCCTGGCCATGGGCATGATTTTAGAGCATGGAGTGTAGAGTCACATAGAGTTGATTTGAATCTCAGCTGTTACTCACTGGCTGTGCAGCCTTGGGCAAGTCACTTACCGTCTCTGAGCTTCCTCTACAAAATGAGGTGTGAGCTCCTACCTCAGGAACTAACATGAGGATTCAGAATCACACAGGTAAACTACTTAGTGCAGGTTCTGACCACGCGACATCTTCCAGAAAGCTTAGTTAATATTATTATTATCTCAAGTCCTCTATTAGCCAGGAAATTATTCAAGTTTCTGCTCAAATAGCAGTGCCTCCCTTTACCCCCAACGTGGACTTGCCACCATTCAGGGGCAGCCAGGATGGGCCACGTGAGAGCAGATGTGAGAGCAGGAAATTGACTATGTATGTGCTGCCTCAGCCTTTGCACAGGCTGGTCTCTGCCTGAATGCTCTTCCCCCAGTTCTTTGCATGGCGTGACTTCCTCCTCCTCCATCTTCAGTTCCTTGGTCAAACGTCACATCCTAGACAGCTCTTCCCTGACCATTTTATCCAAGAGAGTCCCCTTATCCCCCACTCCAGTCCCTCAAAGTCAGGTGCCTTTGTTTTATCATTTTCTTTTTTTTTTTTTTTTTCAGATGGAGTTTTGCTGTTGTCACCCAGGCTGGAGTGCAATGATGCAATCTCAGCTCACCACAACCTCCGCCTCGCAGGTTCAAGTGATTCTCCTGCCTCAGCCTCCTGAGTAGCTGGGATTACAGGCCACCACACCCAGCTAATTTTCGTATTTTTAGTAGAGATGAGGTTTTGCCACGTTGGTCAGGCTGGTCTTGAACTCCTGACCTCAGGTGATCCACCCACCTCGGCCTCCCAAAGTGCTGGGATTACAGGCATGAGCCACCACACCCAGCCTGTTTTATCATTTTCATGGCGCTGATGAAGATGTCACATGACCTCACATTACACTGACTCATACCTGTCTCCTATAGACTGGGAGCATTGAAGAGTGGGAATAATGTCTGTTTCTCCTCATTTTATCCCCAGGGTCCAGCATATGTCTGGCCCTTCACAATGAAGGGGATTTTCTCGCTGGGCACAGTGGCTCATGCCTGTAATCCCAGCACTTTGAGAGGCCGAGGTGGCTGGATCAGTGGAGGTCAGGATTTTGAGACAAGCCTGGCCAACGTGGTGAAACCCCGTTTCTCTAAAAGTACAAAAATCAGCTGCGTGTGGTGGCACACGCCTGGAATCCCAGCTGTTTGAGAGGCTGAGGCAGGAGGATGGCTTGAACCCGGGAGTCGGAGGTTGCAGTAAGCCTAGATCACGCCACCGCACTCCAGTGTAGGCGACAGAATGAGACTCTGCCTCCAAAAACAAAAAGGGAATTTTCCTTCCCATTCTATCTCACTAGTTCTCGTATCCCCACCCTGTTATTAAATATCATTGACCCCAAGGTTTCTTCATAGCCCTTATCACATTTTATAATCCCATATTTAACTTATTGTTTACGTGTCTGCCTCCTCATCTAGGTAGGGAACCCCAGGGCCAGGCCTGTCCTCAGCACTGCTCGGCACAAGGCCAGGTACAGAACAGGCGCATAATAAATATTTATTGAATGGATGACATCAGAAATAACTCTCATTTGAAACCAAAGATCTAGGTCTTGGACCAGAAAAGTCTCAGCCTTGGCCGGGCACGGTGGCTCATGCCTGTAATCCTAGCACTTTGGGAGGCCAAGGCAGGCAGATCGCTTGAGGCCAGGAGTTCCAGACCGGCCTGGCCAACATGGCAAAACCCCGTCTCTACTAAAAATACAAAAATTAGGTGGACATGGTGGCACACGCCTATAATCTCAGCTACTCGGGAGGCTGAGGCAGGAGAATCACTTGAACCTGGGAGGCGGAGGTTGCAGTGAGCCGAGATTGTGACACTACACTCCAGGCTGGGTGACAGAGCGAGACTCTGTCTCAAAAAAAAGAAAAGTCTCAGCCTTGTTCCTGCGCAGGACCACCGCTTGGGCAGTGTCTGTCACTGATGCCATCCTCCCTAAACTCACAGACCTGTTGGGGAACCGGCCTCACTTCTTCAATGGCCAAGCCAGAACTTGGGTCCATCCCAAGATTATATCTCCAGAGAAAGGCCCAGACCCAGCTAACTGGAGCCACTGAGTATTCATAACAACAGGACTACCCCTGCCCTCCAAATCCTGGCAAATGTATATAAGAAAAAATGTCATAATTTGGTTGAGATTCTGCATTTCCTTGGGCAGCACTGAATTTTGGCTGGGGGACTTTATAGACTAGTAGTTCTAGGCATCTCTTGGGAGCTTGCTAAAAATGCAAATAATTTCTCATCCCAAACCTACTGAATCAGAAACTCGAGAGGTGGGGCCTGACATGGTTTTTTGTTTTTTTTCCTGAGACGGAGGCTCTTGCTCTGTCACCCAGGCTGGAGTGCAGTGGCACGATCCCCGCTCACTGCAACTTCCGCCTCCCGGGTTCAAGTGATTCTCCTGCCTCAGCCTCCCAAGTAGCTGGGATTACAGGTGCCTGCCACCACGCCTGGCTAATTTTTTTTGTATTTTTAGTAGAGATGGGGTTTCAACATATTGGCCAGGCTGGTCTTGAACTCCTGACCTTGTGATCTGCCTGTCTCGACCTCCCAAAGTGCTGGGATCACAGGAGTGAGCCACCACGGCCGGCTGTTTTTTTGTTTGTTTGTTTGAGACGGAGTTTCACTCTTGTTGCCCAGGCTGGAGTGCAATGCCATGATCTCGGCTCACGGCAACCTCCACCTCCCAGGTTCAAGTGATTCTCCTGCCTCAGCCTCCTGAATATTTGGGATTACAGGCATGCGCCACCACGCCCAGCTAATTTTGTATTTTTAGTAGAGATGGTGTTTCTCCATGTTGGTCAGCCTGGTCTAGAACTCCCGACCTCAGGTGATGAGCCTACCTCGGCCTCCCAAAGTGCCGGGATTACAGGCATGAGCCACCACATCAGGCGACATTATGTTTTAACTAGCGCTATGGATGATTCTGATGCACATGGTTTAAGAACCACTGTCTGGCCAGGCACGGTGGCTCGCGCCTGTAATCCCAGCACTTTGGGAGGCCGAGGAGGGCGGATCCTTTGAGGTCAGGAGTTCGAGACCAGCCTGACCAACATGGAGAAACCCTGTCTCTACTAAAAATACAAAAAATTAGCTGAGCGTGGTGGCACATGACTGTAATCCCAGCTACTTGGGAGGCTGAGGCAGGAGAATTGCTCGAACCTGAGAGGTGGAGGTTGCAGTGAGCCGAGATCGCGCCATTGTACTCCAGCCTGGGCAACAGGAATGAAACTCCGTCTCAAAAAAAAAAGAACCACTGTCTGGCCAGGCGAGGTGGCTCACACCTGTAATCCCAGCACTTTGGGAGGCTGAGGCGGGCGGATTACCTGAGGTCAGGAGTTCAAGACCAGCCTGGCCAACATGGTGAAACCCCATCTCTACTAAAGACACAAAGTGGGTTGTGGTGGCGGGTGCCTGTAATCCCAGCTACTCAGGAGGCTGAGGCAGGAGAATTGCTGAACCCGGGAGGTGGAGATTGCAGTGAGTCAAAATCGCATCAATGTACTCCAGCCTGGGTGACACAGCGAGACTCTGTCTCAAAAAAAAAAAAAAAAAAAAAAAAAACACAAAAAACAGACAAAAAAAACCCACACACACACCAAAAATGAACCACTGTTATAGACTGTCTAGTAATAATAATTATTATCGTTATTATTATTATACCACTAACAGTTAACACTTACTGAACCCTTACTGTGTGCCAGATACTGCTTGGAAAGTGTACCTGTATCAATTCATTGAATACTCTCAATTTCCCTGAAAGAGAGGCACTGTTATTCTGTCCATCTTACAGATGAGGAAAACTGAGGCCTGAACTGGGGAACTGACTTGCAGACATTCACACAGGGAGGGGCGATGACAGCAGTATGTAAACCCCAGCTCCAAAGCCCAGGATGGCAGTGATTACCTTCTACTAAGCCACAGTGAATCTCTAAAGAAGCCTTTGCGCATGGATAGGTGGTAAGATTTACCTGTCACGCTTTTTTTTTTTTTTTTTTTTTTTTTGAGTCGGAGTCTCGCTCTGTCTCCCAGGCTGGAGTGCAGTGGTGCGATCTCGGCTCACTGCAAGCTCCGCCTCCCAGGTTCACGCCATTCTCCTGCCTCAGCCTCCCGAGTAGCTGGGACTACAGGAGCCCGCCACCACGCCCGGCTAATTTTGTTTTTGTATTTTCAGTAGAGACGGGGTTTCACCGTGTTAGCCAGGATGGTCTCGATCTCCTGACCTCGTGATCCGTCCGCCTCGGCCTCCCAAAGTGCTGGGACTACAGGCGTGAGCCACCGCGCCCGGCCACCTGTCACGCTCTTAACAGTCCAAGAGGTAAGAAAACCTAGGGGGCCCATCTCAACTGGCAGGGAGGGATGCACCCTGTCAGGAGAAAGCTGAGGTGGACCTCGTGAACCCCCAAACAGAGACATCTCTGTGGAGTCCTCCCAACCTCATCCTGCATGAGCGAGTGGGCAGGAACTGTGGAGGGCTGCTCACCTGTGCTCCTGGAAACGGCGAGCGAGAGTGAGGAGAGGTCGGGGGACCCTGCAGAGAAGGAGAAACGTCTCAGGAGGTGATGGGGGGCAGCCAGAGGACCAGAGAATATCCCAAGGAAGCCCCACCCCTTCCTCTTCTAGCCCTTCCCCTCTGGATCAGGCCCCTCGCCCTGACTGCCCCCCTGCGTCTGGCCAGGCTTACCAGCTAAATCATGGACAGGTCCTGGCCTTTAGTTTCTGTGGTTCGCCCCACCCTTCATCACACTCAGGGCCCGCTCCTTTTCTCCCTTAAAGTTGGGCCTGGAGGGGACCCCATCTCAATCTCAGTTTAAAAAGTCCCCATCCCGCTGGGCACAAGGGCTCACACCTGTAATCCCAGCACTTTGAGAGGCCGAGGCGTGCGGATCACCTGAGGTCAGAAGTTCGAGGCCAGTCTGACCAGCATGGTGAAACCCCGTCTCTAGTAAAACTACAAAAATTAGCCGGGTGTGGTGGCGGGCACCTGTAATTCCAGCTACTCGGGGGGCTGAGGCAGGAGAACTGCTTGAGCCCGGGAGGCAGAGGTTGCAGTGAGCCTAGATCGTGCCACTGCACTCCAGCCTGGGCGACAGAGCGAGACTCCATCTCAAAAGAAAAAAACAAAAAACAAACAAAAAAAAACATCCTCCTGTCAGGGTCAGACCACTTTTAATTTTTTCAATGTCAAGGCTCCGCTTCTCCGTCTGGAGGCAAGCCCCACCCCCTCCTCATTCTCTGTGTCGGGCCCCGCCCTGCTTTTTTGGGTAACAGGCCCTTCCCCTCCACTCGGCCAGAGTCAGGCCCCGCCCCTTCCCCTTCTTTCGGCCAACTCAGGCCCCGCCCCCTTCCTGCCCTCACGGCCAGGCCCCGCCCCCTCACCCCTCAGCGTAGGGCCCTGCTTCCTTTTTTGAGTCAGGCCCGGCCCTCTTCTCATAGTCCGGGTCGGATCCCGCCCCTCTTCTCCCTCTCTGGGCCCGGCCCCGCCCCGATACCGCCCAAGAGCAGCTTTCGCTCCGCCTTCTCTGAGTCAGGCCACGCCCCCTTCTTTGCCTCAGGGTCAGGCCCCGCCCCCTCTCACTCTACAGCGGGACGCCTCGCTCGAACCTCGGGCCGTACCCCCTCATCACCCTCTGCCTTCTTCCTACGCCCTAATACAGTGTCTCAGGAACCCTCACTCTGCCCCCGCGAAACCCTTAGACTCCCATAGGAACCCCCAGACTACTCCGGGACCGCCAGAATCCCCGCATCTCCAGCCCCGCCCCAGACCCCTCTCCTGAACCCCAGCCCCGCTTACCTAAGGCCCCCAGCTCCGGCGCAGCCGGCGGTCTGGCGACGCGGCGACTCGGCATGGCCCGGCCAGTGGGGACGGACGGCCCAGAGGCTGGCCCAGACCGAAGCATGCACGCGGGCCGGCCGGGCGGCCGGGAGGCACGGTCTGGTGGACGATCGCGGGTCGGACGAGCGGCGCAAGGGCTGGGGCCGCAGGCCGGGCAGGACGCGCGGCGCCCGGGGCTGCGCGGGGCGCGGGGCCGGGCCGGGCGGGCGGCGGGCGGGGGCGGGGCGGCGGAATTCCCCGGCGCCGCCGGCCTGCGCGCCCATTGGTCTGCACCCCGCCGTGACGTCACGCCTGGGGAACGGGAAAACCCCCACGCGTCACGTGATCGCGGGGGCGGGGCCGGCCGGGAAAGGGAGGCTGGGCGCTCAGGAGGGGTTGGGCAGGCGTCGCTGCCCATTGCTCTGGACGAGACAACTGAGGCCTGCTTAGAGCCATCACGCCTTACCCATTGAGCAAGCCGGCAAACTGAGCCGCTCCCCGCTTTGGTCTCCCAGTGGGACTTGAACCTGCCGTTTCTCAGGCTGGAAGGGGAGCTTCAGGATCGAGAGGTTGGCAGGGCTCTACACCTGCCATCCATAATAATATTTCGGAAACCTCCAAGGTCTCGCTACACCTCAGTTTCCTCAACCGTAAATTGAGGATGAAGATATTTAAGGAACGTTTAAAGCTAGCGTGTCAGCTTCAGAATTTATGTTTTGTGCGTTGTTGTAACCCCAACGCCTAGACCAGCGCCTGGAACACCGTAGGTGCCCAATAAATGTTTATTGGAGGCCGGGCGCGGTGGTTCATGCCTGTAATCTCAGCACTTTGGGAGGCCGAGGCAGGCACATCACGAGGTCAGGATTTCGAGACCAGCCTGACCGACATGGTGAAATCCCATCTCTACTAAAAATACAAAAATTAGCTGGGCGTGTTGGTGTGCGCCTGTAATGCCAGCTACTCCGGAGGCTGAGGCAGGAGAATAGCTTGAACCTGGGAGGCGGAGGTTGCAGTGAGCTGAGATCGTGCCACTGCACTCCAGCCTGGGCAACAGAGCGAGACTCCCATCTCAAAAAAAAAAAAGTTTATTGGATGAATGCATGGATGTTTTATTTATTGGTTTGTTCCTCCCTGCAGCCCCTGAAAGTTACCCATAAATAGCCCAGACCACTTTGAGCTCAAAAGCTCAGTTATTCAGTCTGCGAATGGCAGCAGTGTAGCCTCCGTATACATCCTGAGCTGTGTGCCTAAACCCTGAGCTCATCCCTATCACCAGCGCCAGAAGCATATGATAGGATTATTGCAGAAGGGACTCAGGCTGAAAGAGGGGCAGCCATTTGGCTAGATCACATTCCTAAGCCTCTCATATTCCTGAGAACGACTAGGTGATCTATTAGGTTCTAAGTTGGATGCCAGGCGCTCTCAGACCACAGATGCAGGGTTTGTTGTCTTTCCTTTGCTTGTATAAAATTTGGGTGTTCTGGCTAGGCACGGTGGCTCACACCTGTAACCCCAATACTTTGGGAGGCCGAGGCAGGAGGATTGCTTGAGCCTGGGAGGTTGAGGCTGCAGTGAGCTGTGATGACGCTATTGCACTCCAGCCTGGGTGACAGAGTGAGACCTTGTCTCAAAAAGAAAAAGAAATAACTCTGTAAGTTGAATGTTCACAACAATTGTGTGAAGTATATGGTGTTATTGATCCCCACATAGCAGATGAGAAAACTGAAACCCGGCAAAATTAATTTCTCCAAGGTCACACAAATTAATAGACACAAATATTTAAAACACAAAATTCTTAGAACAGGGCCTGGCACATGTGGGTGCTATATACAAATGTGAACTTTTTTTTTTTTTTTGAGGCAGGGTGTCACTCTGTCACCGAGGTTGGAGTGCAGTGGCAGGAACATGGTTCACCACAGCCTCAACCTCCTGGACTAAGGGGATCCTCTCACCTCAGCCTCCAGAGTAGCTGGGACTACAGGCACACACCACCGCATCCGGCTAATGTTTTCTTTTCTTTTCTTTCTTTTTTTTTTTGAGAGATGGAGTCTCGCTCTGTCACCCAGGCTGCAGTGCAGTGGTGCGATCTCAGCTCACTGCAATCTCTGCCTCCCGGGTTCAAGCGATTCTCCTGCCTCAGCTTCCCAAGTAGCTGGGACTACAGGCATGAGCCACTGCGCCCAGCCTGTTTTCTATTTTTGTAGAGAGAGGATCTGTTGCTTAGGCTGAGCCAGTGCACCTGGCCAAAGGGCAACTAACTATTAACATCATTTTATTTAATACTCATGACCGTCCTATTATTAGACCCACTTTACAGACGGGAAACTGAAGCTCAGAGAGATGAAGTCAGTTGCCTGAGGCCACACAGCTGGTGAGCTGGGACCACAGGTGTGCGCCACCATGCCTGGCCTAATTTTTGTGTTTTTAGCAGAGATGAGGTTTCACCATGTTGCCCAAGCTGGTCTCAAACTCCTGGATTCAAGCGAGCTGCCTACCTCAGCCTCCCAAAGTGCTGGGACTACATTTCTTTCTTTCTTTTTTTTTTTTTTTTTTTAGTAGAGATGGGGTTTCACCATGTTGTCCAGGCTGGTCTTGAACTCCTGACCTCAGGTGATCCGCCTGTCTTGGCCTCCCAAAGTGCTGGGATTACAGTCGTGAGCCACTGTGCCCAGCCCTATTTCTTTCTTTTTTTTTTTTTGTTGAGATGGAGTCTTCCTCTGCCACCCAGGCTGGAGTGCAGTGGCGCGATCTCGGCTCACTGCAAGCTCCTACTCCCGGGTTCACGCCATTCTGCTCCTCAGCCTCCCGAGTAGCTGGGACTACAGGCGCCCGCCACCATGCCTGGCTAATTTTTTGTAGTTTTAGTAGAGACAGGGTTTCACCGTGTTAGCCAGGATGGTCTCAATCTCCTGACCTCGTGATCCGCCTGCCTTGGCCTCCCAAAGTGCTGGGATTACAGGCGTGAGCCACCACACCCGGTCTTCTTTCTTTTATTTAAGACATGGGATTTTGCTGTTGCCCAGGCTGATCTTGACCTCCTAGCCTCAAGTGATCCTTCTGCCCGAACCTCCCAAAGCGCTGGGATTACAGGCGTGAGCCACTGTGCCTGGCTCTTCAATTTACAGTTATTACACACAGCGTAACAGTGTCAGGCACTGCTCTAAAAGCTAGGGACATAGCAAGGCACACAGCAGACAAAAAGCCCTTGCCATCAAGGAAATCCAAGTGAGGAGACAGATGGAAAACAGATAAGCAAATATTATGTCTGATGGTGATGGCAGTATTACAGGATAGAGCAGGATAACGAGAAGGAGTTCGGAAGATAGTTTGGGTTAGGAAGATCAGGGTCTGAGAGGTGCCATTTGAACAGGGAGTCAAAGGAGGTGAGGGATTCATGTGGATATCTGGGGGAGAGTGTTCAAAGCACAGGGGCTAGCACGTGCAAAGGCCCTGTGGTAGGAACATGCATGGCATGCTTAAGGAATAGCAAGAAGGCTGGTGCAGAGTGACTGACAGGAAAGGGGTAGAGATGAGGGCAGAGTGATGGACCAGTAAGGTGACGAGGACACTGAATAATATTAAATGTAATGGATGAAGCCAACCACATGCAGCACTTACACTAGTGCTTGGCTTATGATAAGGATGACAAATAGCAGCTCCAATTGTTATAGGACCAGAAGCTCTCCTGATTCCTCTCTGCCTCTTGCCAATGCCAGGCCTCAAAAATGTTTGTTGAGGCTGGGTGCAGTGGCTCATGCCTGTAATCCCAGCACTTTGGGAGGCCAAGGCAGGCGGATCACCTGAGGTCAGGAGTTCAAGACCAGCCTGGCCAACGTGGTGAAACCCCGTCTCTACTAAAAATACAAAACTAACTGGGTGTGGTGGCATGTGCCTGTAGTCCCAGCTACTAGGGAGGCTGAGGCAGGACGATCACTTGAACCCAGGAAGTGGAGGCTGCAGTGAGCTGAGATCACGCCACTGCACTCCAGCCTAGGTGACAGAGTGAGACTGTCTCAAAAAAAAAAAAAAAAAAAAAAAGTTTGCTGAATGACTAAAAGGACATGTCAGGGCCAGGCACGGTGGCTCATGCCTGTAATCCCAACACTTTGGGAGGCTGAGGCAGGCAGATCACCTGAGGTCAGGAGTTCAAGACCAGCCTGGCCAACATGGTGAAACCCCATGTCTACTAAAAATACAAAAATTAGCTGGTGTGGTGGCGGGCACCTATAATCCCAGCTATTCAGGAGGCTGAGGCAGGAGAATCACTTGAACCCAGGAGGCGGAGGTTGCAGTGAAGTGAGATCGTGCCACTGCACTCACTCCAGCCTGGGTGACAGTGACTCCATCTCAAAAAGAACACAAATAAATAAAAAGGGGCCAGGCACAGTGGCTCACGTCTGTAATCCCAGCACTTTGTGAGGCTGAGGCGGGTGGATCATGAGGTCAGGAGTTTGAGACCAGCCTGATCAACATGGTAAAATACCATCTCTACTAAAAATACAAAAATTAGCTGGACGTGGTGGCGCACTCCTGTAATCCCAGCTATTCAGGAGGCTGAGGTAGAAGAATTGCTTGAACCTGGGAGGCAGAGCTTACAGTGAGCCGAGATCGCGCCACTGCACTCCAGCCTGGGCGACAGAGCAAGACTTTGTCTCAATAAATAAATAAATAAATAAATAAAGGATAGCCAGGCGCCGTGGCTCATGCCTGTAATCTCAGCACTGTGGGAGGCCGAGGCAGGCAGATCACTTGAGGTCAGGAGTTCGAGACCAGCCTGACCAATATGGTGAAATGTGAAACTCTGTCTCTACTAAAAATACAAAAGTTAGCTGGGCTTGGTAGCAGGTGCCTGTAGTCCCAGCTACTCAGGAGGCTGAGACAGGAGAATTGCTTGAACTCGACAGGCGAAGGCTGCAGTGAGCCGAGATCGTGCCACTGCACTCCAGCCTGAGCAACAGAGCGAGACTCCATCTCAAAAAAAAAAAAAAAAGTAAATAAATAAAAATAAAAATTAAAAAGGACATGTCAGATATCCTCAGTGCTCAGGATTTCTGCTGGGCTGTGAGCCCCATGACGGCAGGTCTGGGTCTGTCTTGGTCCTGGCTGTATACACAAAACACCCCAGCACACGGCACTACCCAGGGGCAGGGTTCAGCTGTTACATTTGTTGACTGCTTGTCACAGTCTCCAGTGTCTGAATATGAGCCCCACCGAGGTCCACACTTCTGGATGTGTTCATGTGTCTGGGAAAGTGAATGTTGGGGTTGTTCAACATGCACTCATTAAATATTCCTGGCGTGGCTTCTCTGTGTTTGGCCCTATGCTGGGGACACAGCAGTGATCAAGACAGGTCTGGCTATGTCCTCACGGGGCTCCATCCAGTGGAAGAGACCAACCTGTCCCCAGTGATGACTCACAGTGGGCAGGGCTGCCATGAGAGACCCCAGAGAACTTGGCAGTCAGGGAGGGCTTCCTACAGGAGTGAGCATTGGAGCCACAGCTTGGAGGACACATGGGTAAGATAAAGAAGGGATAAGCCAGCTGTGATGGCTCAGGCCTGTAATCCCAGCACTTTGGGAGGCCCAGCTGGGAGGACTGCTTGAGGCCAGGAGTTTGAAACCAGCTTTGGCAACATCGAGAGACCCCAACTCTACAAAAAATTTAAAAATTACGCAGGCGGCCAGGTGCTGTGGCTCACACTTGTAATCCCAGCACTTTGGGAGGCCGAGGCAGGTGGATCACAATGTCAGGAGTTCGAGACCAGACTGGCCAAGATGGTGAAACCCTGTCTCTACTAAAAATACAAACATTAGCCGGGTGTGATGGTGGGTGCCTGTAATCCCAGCTACTCAGGAGGCTGAGGCAGAAGAATCGCTTGAACCCGGGAGGTGGAGGTTGCAGTGAGCCAAGATCGTGCCACTGCACTCCAGCCTGGGCAACAAGAGTGAGACTCCATCTCAAAAAATAATAATAATAAATAAAAATACTAAATAAATAAATAAATAATTACGCAGGCGTAGTGGCACTTGCCTGTGGTCCTAGGTAGTTGGGAGGCTGAGGCAGGAGGATCGCTTGAGCCAGCAGGTCAAGGCTGCAGGGCTGTGATTGTGCCACTGCACTCCAGCCTGGGGGACAACGCAAGACTCTCTCAAAGAAAAAAAGAAGTGGACAGGGGTTGTGTGCCTGGGGGCAGGATCCAGGTAGGGGGAAGACCAGGCTGGATGCAGGGGTTAATAAGTGTCCCCATCACCAAGGTCTCAGTCCCCAGTAAGGAGCCTGGGCTTTCTCCTGAGGTCACTGTGCACCCACAGTAGGTTCTGAGCAAGGGCTGGGCAGGGTCAGGTTTGTGCTTTAGTAGAATAAACTATAAAGTTTCCTCTAGCTGGGCCGGGCAGGGTGGTTCATGTCTGTAATCCCAGCACTTTGGGAGGCTGAGGTGGGCAGATTGCTTGAGGTCGAGACCAGCCTGGCCAACATGGCGAAATCCCGTCTCTATTAAAAATACAAAAAATTAGCCAAGCGTGGTGGTGCATGTCTGTAATCCTAGCTACTCAGGAGGCTGAGACAGGAGAATCACTTGAACCCAGGAGGCAGAGGTTGCAGTGAGCTGAGATCCTACCACTACACTACAGCCTGGGCAACAGAGCAAGATTCTGTCTCAAAGAAAAAAAAGAGTTTCCTCTAGCTGCTAGCTAGAGTGTGAATGGGATGTGGGGAGGGCAGGACCGGGACAGGGGACCAGACAGAACACTGAGCAAGAACACCACAGGGTAAGGAGGGGCATGGAGCAGGTGGAGCAGGTGGTCCCAATGAAGAGGTGAGACCCCCAGGGAGTTGTGGGGGTAGCTGATGGGCCTTGTCAAAGGCTTGGGCGTGGAGCTGTGAGAGGAGGAAGAACCAGGGGTGACGAGGCCAGGAAGTCCAGGTGGCTGGAGAGCCCACCAGTCTCAAGGGGCTGCAGAGCCCTGTACCTCCGGGGTTCCTAGGAGCCTGTCAGTCAGGCCATGGTGCAGAGGCTGGGGTTCCTCCAAGGGCACCGGGGATCCATGGAATGGTATAGAGTTGGGGGGCGGGTAATGGAGACCCATGGCTGCCCTGAGGGATGGGAGACTGCCATGGCCTGTGGACCTGTGGTATGGGGCTCCGAGGGTGCCATCGTCTCCCTGGGGCCTCATGGATCCCCTGACTGGCTCTGCAATATGGGGTGGCAGCTGGAGCCTGAAGGAACCTGGTGTGGTCCTCAGCGTTGGGCCCCCTATCCCAGAAGTGTTGCTGAGACCACCCCCCAAAACAGTAAACCTGGGAATGTAGGGTCCCCAGCCCTCAGAACACAGAGGCCTCGCTCAGCTCACCTATCCAGTGGGCGAAGAGTCCCAGCACCAGGGGCTGGGATGGGAAATCCAACTCATGCCACCTCTGTTGTCAGCACAGGCAGCCCCGGGGATGTGATATGACACCCCAACACTCACAGAGTGCTACAGCCAGCCAACCAGGTGCCACTCAGGCAGGCTGAGCCTTCACCCCCATGCTCCCCAAAATTGGGAGTGGGTGTCAGCGCAAAAAGCCAATGGCACACATTTAGCGTGCCCCAACTGCTGTGCTGAGGCCTCAGGGTGGCAGGTGCTCATGGCGACCCGGCTGAAAGCTGTACTTGGCCCTGCCTGGTGGTGTCGGGTTAGGAGACATTCAGCGGGCACATGGCAGGCTCCAGCCTGCACCCAGCAGGGGCAGCTGGCAGGAAAGGGTATAGGGCAGCGAGCTCCCTGCAAGCAGCTTCCCCAGCAATCTGAAATGAGGCCAGTTAATGAAATCTCAGAGGGCTGGTGGGAGGGCGAGAAGTGAGGAAGAGGCCTGGCCTGGCGGGTATGGCTTTTTTTTTTTTTTTTGAGATGGAATCTTGCTGTGTTGTCCAGGCTGGAGTGCAGTGTGTGATCTGGGCTCACTGCAGCCTCCGCCTCCCGAGTTCAAATGATTCTCCTGCCTCAGCCTCTCGAGTATCTGTGATTACAGGTGCCTGCCAGCATTCCCAATTAATTTTGGTATTTTTAGTAGAGACAGGGTTTCACTATGTTGGCCAGACTGGTCCCAAACTCCTGACCTCAAGTGATCCATCCACTTCAGCCTCCCAAAGTGTTGGGATTATAGGTGTGAGCCACTGCGCCCGGCCAGGTATGGTTCTTGACACAAGGTCACAATCCCCACCTTTACAGGTCCCGTACCGTGTCAGGTCACTCTCCCAGACCCAGGAAAGCCACCTCATCCCTGCTGGAAGCTGTTGTCCAAGGCAACAGAGGAAGGAAGGCACGAGGAGGAGGGGCAGTGCTGAGTTTAAGTTAAACACCCATATGAATTTATTAAATCCAGACTGTGTTAAAGGGCGGCGGTCTAGGAGGGGGAGTGTGGTAGGGGGACGAGGGACAAGATGATGAACGGCCGTGGGCATCCCGTAGGGGGGCCCGGCCCCACCCCCGCCCAACCCACCCCCTCGGCAACGCTGCATCAGCTTCACCATGATTCCCAGTGGTGCTGGGCTGGCAGGGCGAGATGGCTGGAAACACAGAGGGACAGAGGGACAGACAGCGCCTCCACAAACAAACCCTGGCCTGCCCCGGCCCCTACATCACACGCTGGGCCCTGACCTGAGGCGGGCCTCCCACCGCCCCGGCCTGATCTGTCCAGGGAAAGGGCGACAGGGAGGGGAGGCGAGGGGGCCGGGACGCAGGGGTAGTGGTCGCCAGGAGCCGGAGCAGGTGAGGACCAGTCTCGACTAATCCTTTTTCTTGTCCTCTGCTGGCTTTGGAGGGGCTTCCTGGGGCTCGCTGGCAGAGCTGGCCCCCTGGGTGGGCTTGGTGGGCAGGGACGTGGAGGCCTCCTCCCTGGTGGCGGTGGTCGTGGTGGGTGCAGGTGTGGGCGTGAGGGCCCCTGCTGCTGTGGGAACCTCGGCCACGGGGGCGGCAGCTGTGGGGTCTTCTCCACTCATGCCAAACTCGTTGACTCGGGTGGGGTCGACGCGGTAGATCCACCGTTGGTAGAGGTAGATGAAGAAAACCACATCTGGAGAGGGGTGGGAGGCAGTGTGAGGTCGGGCTGGCCCGTCCACAGCCAGGTGGGCCTGGGTGGAGAGGGCGTGATGCAAGGGCGGGGCCGAGCCCCCTCAGACTGAGCACCCCATCTGGGGCCGTGGCACCCCCTCAGGCCTGGGCCCTAAAGACTGCCTCAGGGCCCTGTTCCGGTGGGAGCTCCCACCTGCCCACCGGGCCTCACCGTCCCGCAGGCAGCCGATCCGGTACATAACGGGCATCTTGATGACAAAGGCGAACAGGTCGTCGATGAATGTGTTGAGGGCCTTGTAGGTGAGCATGCGCCAGGGAAGGTGGGCCACAGACTTGAGCTTGTAGTTGATGAAGAGCTGGGGCGTCATGGTGATGAAGCCTGCAGTGAGAGCACCCATGAGCAGAGGGATGGCCTCTCCCACCTCTCCCCTGTGCACTCTGCACTGGCCATACCAGCCCCCTCACCACTTCCTACACCTGGGCACACTCTACCACTTCCTATACCTGGGCACACTCTACCAGCGGCCTCTGCACTGGTGGGGCCTTCTGTCACATCCGCACAGCTCTCTCCCTGGATATCTGAGGCCTCTGTTTAAATGTCCTGTCCTCAGAGGGGCCCCCGGACCCCTATTAATGTGCATCCTCCCACCACTCTGCCCTTCACAGTACTCACTATTGGCTGTGATTCACCCGGTCTTTTGTTTTTTGAGACAGGGTCTCACTCTGTCACCCAGGCTGGAGTGCAGTGGCGTAATCATGGCTCACTGCAGCTTCAACCTCCTGGACTCAAGGGATCCTCCCACCTCAGCCTCCCAGGTAGCTGGGACTACAGGCACGCACCACCACTCCCCAATAATTTCTGTGTTTTTTTGTAGAGATCGGGTCTTGCCAAGTTGCCCAGGCTGGTCACGAATTCCTGGGCTCAAGTGATCCTCCTGCCTCAGCCTCCCAAAGCATTGGGATAACAGGTGTGAGCCACTGCACCTGGCCCTACTTGTTTACTTGTTCCCAAGACACAAAGGCCCCCTGAGAATGAGGACTGAAGCGTACTGTTCATGTCCTCCCTGAAGTCCTCTCTGACCCCAGATGGGGCCATGTGTGCCCTCGGGCCTCCCTATATCCCAGCTCTGCCCACCCTAGGTTGTCCCTGTCTGGGGATGGGTCTGTCTCCTACACTGGGGCTGTGAGCCCTGCGCAGCATGGGGCCTGCTCTCTCCTGGGGCGGCCGGACCGCTCACCGAAGGTCAGCAGGAAGCCGTAGAGCATGCTGAGCACCCAGGAGTACCAGCCCTTGTGCTCCAGGTACAGAAGACTGTAGACGGCATAGCAGCCCAGGAGCGGGAAGAGGATCCAGGACAGGTACCGGAATGCCATCTGTGGGGCCACAGGGTGGGGCTGTCAGCCAGCTCCTCAGCCCTGCCTGGCAGCCCTGCTCCCCGCCCTCACCCACCACACCTGGTCTGGCAGGCCGGGCAGGGGGAATTTCCAGGTAGCCCTGGGGACTCCGGACTCGCCCAGGGAAGCAGTTATGGCAGATGGGGGACACAGAGGATGTGGCACAGGCTGTAAAGCATGGGTCCGGCAGACAGATGGCCGGCCCCGGGTGCCTCAGGGATACGTGGTACCTGGAGACCACCCCCAGGGGCCCACTGTGCAGGACACTCACATCATCATACACTTTGGTCGAGGACTCGATATACGTGGACTTGTCCTTGAAGGATAGGCGGGGGAAGATTCCTGCCACCCTGTGCTCTCGGTCCAGCTGTGGATGAGGTGGGTGCCATGGTCAGTTGCTACGCTGGCTCCCACCCCACAAGCCAGAACCAGCCCCTGCCCTTCCCCACCGTTCCCAGTTCCCCTGCCCCATGTGTGACCCAAAAAATCCCCTGGTGAGAAAATCCCCTCAGTCCTGGGAGTGAGGCACTTGCTGGGAATCCCCCGGGGGCCAGCTCCAGGGTCCAGCTGGGCCACACTACCCCCTCCCAACCCCTGCAGCTCCCGAGACAGCATGGCGCCCCAGCCTTACCCGGACGTCCATGACCTTGGTGATCTTCCAGAGGTCGATGAGGACCCCAATGAAGACGCTGACCTGGACCACGAAGTTGGTCTCGTTGTCCAGGATGTAGAGGAGGACCACGAATGACTGGAAAACGCCGAAGAAGACGGAGCGCACGGACAGGCCCTCCAGGGACTGCCGGCTGTTCCAGAACTGGATATCTGTGCGCAGGGGGTAGGGGGGAACCAGGAGGCTGAGGAGGTGCTGAGACCCTACTGCAGCTCCCTCAGGCCCCCTTGGCCTGCATCCTCACACCCTGGGGTGGGGCTGGGTCCTCAGGAGGGGTGCTGAACGAGACCCCTCTCTCCCAGGAAGGCTCTCATATTCATTGGGTGACCCCCAGAGCACCAGACAGGCGGCACCCCTGGAGCCCTCCCATAGGACGTCAGCACCCAGCACCCCAAGGTGCAGTCCCTTGACTGATGGTGACGGTGACTGGTGCCATGGACAGGGCTCACCACGTGCCAGGTGCTAAGGACTGGTCAGGGAAGCTGCTTCCCTGAGGCCAAACAGCCTGGCATGGCAGAATCTGAAGGGACGCGGGGTCTGTGCCACACCATGGTGCCAGCTCGCCCTCCCTGGGAAGGAAGATCTGTGGCATGCACTTCAAGACCACCTCCTCCAGGCCCCTGCCCTGACACCGGGAAGGAACTGGCTCACAGCCATGCTCAGGAAACTGAAAAGGGCCCTGGGCTCCAGTCTGGAGCTCCTTCCAGTGCTCCGCCTAGATGCTGCCAAGGATCCATGTCAGCATGCTCCTCTCTGAGCCCTGGTCTCACCACGGACACCCCTCTCTTGACCCCGCCCGGCTGAGCATCTAACCGCAGCCACAGGAGGCTGAGCCACCACGTCTGTAGCACAGTGGTGGAGCCAGGTCTGCAGTCCTGCAGAGTCAGGGCCAGCTCTGCACTCAGGGAGTGAGGGCTGTGAATTCTGGTCCATGTGCACCCTACCCCATCCCAGAGCTCCCCCACATCCCAGAGCTCCCCCACATCCCAGAGCTCTGGCACACTCCATAGCCTCACCCCACCCACCCCTGCCCATCAGAATGACCCCTGTCCCAACTGAGAAGAATGGGTCTGGAGACAGGGTTCTGGTGGGTTCTCGTGGGAGCAGTTGGGCCCAAGCCTCTCCTTAGACCAGGGAGGCCACACAGCACTGGTGCCAAGTGAGGCCTGCGCCCCCTGCTGCATGACACTGGGGAGGACAGCCTTCTTGTGCCTCATTTCTCACTGGACCCCAGCCAAGCCAGCTCCTAGGCAGAAGGGTCCCGTCTCCCAGCGACAGCTGGTAGATGGCTGGCTGGGGTCGGCACCAGCTCCTGTGCCCGTATGACACTGCATTCTTCCAGATGGTAGTTCTCAATAATGGCAAGAGCGTCCTTTTTTTTGGAACAGGGTGTCACTCTGTTGCCTAGGATGGAGTTCAGTGGTGTGATCATGGCTCACGGCAGCCTTGACCTTTCAGGCCCAAGCCTCCCGAGTAGCTGAGACCATAGGCACACGCTGCCATGCCCAGCTAATTCTTAAAAAAAATTGTGTAGAAACGAATCTCGCTTTGTTGCCCAGGCTGGTCTCAAACTCCGGGGCTTAGGTGATCCTCCCACCTTGGCCTCCCAAAGTGCTGGGATTACAGGCGAGAGCCACCACCAGGCCGGCAATAGCATCTTAATACCAGGAATACTACTACTCATTCCTCTTGCCGCCTGCGGGAGCTACAGGGCCGCAGGCCACTCCTTCAGACTGGGGTGCTCTGGGCAAGGAAGAAGTGGCCTGCAGGGCCTAGAAGATGAGAGTTGGGGCTGGAACCATCTGCCCCTTAGGAACCGTGTGACTGGGCAAGTGACATCCCTGAGCCTCTGGCTCCCACAGGGCTCAAGGAGCTACTGGGGAGGGTACCCAGGACAGTGCCTGGCATGTGGCTGCTTCTCCTCAAACGCTGGCCATCAGTATGGTCAGCCTTAGAACCTAGGGACCTTTGGGGGACAGTGCTCCTCCTTCCCACTTGGGCAGGCCCCGTCCACTCAGCCCTAAGCGGCCTCCCGCAGCAGGCAGCCTGCCGGGCAGGGTGGCGGGAGCAGCTCCGGGGCTTCCCTGCTCTTGGCTCTGGAGTTCCCCAGCCCTGCTTCCTGGCAGTATTGGCCTGGCCTCTGCCCCACCAGCGGGCCAGCCCCTCCCTCAGCTCCACACCCGGTGGGTGGGAATTTCTGGGTTGGGAGTTTTGGGGCCACTGCCCCTCCCCAGCTCACTAGGCCTCTGGAGAGTGGGGCTGAGAGACCCCAGGCAGGGGGAGGACATGTGGGGAGGGAGGGGAGGAGGAAGGGGGCAGGTCCTGTCCCCCACCCTGCACAGCCTCTCACTAGCCCTGGGGTCCTGTTCCTACCATTCTTGAAGGCCAGGAACTCGAAGACACTGTGAACGATAGACACGATGATGGTGAGCGCCAGCAGGTAGGGGTTGGTCTCCAGCAGGGCCACCTGCAGGGGACACATGTGAGCACAGCCTGTCCCCACCCAGGAGCACCTTCACTAGCTTTTGTCCCGAGGGCTGCCCCTGGGGCCGCCTGTAGAGGGAGGCTGAAGGTGGGCCAGCCAGGAGGAGACTGGGTCAGAGATGGGCAGATGGGGAGAGAGAGGAGGGTGACTCACAAAGACAGAAGAGACGGGGAGATGGCACTAGGGGAAGAGGCAGAGGCCAAGGGAGTGCTGCGGGGAGTGGGTGAAGGGACACTGGGAGCCAGGAGCAGAGACCCAACAGTGACGACAGCCCAGGAGGCAAAGCCGAGCCTCACGCCACAGACACAGGCTGACATTTCAGGACCCAGTGAGATGGCAGAGACACAGAGTTGGAGCCAGGGCCAGGGACACAAGGTCTGGGACAGAAGGAGGAAGGGACAGGTCTGGACCCAAAGGGTCCAACAGAACAGCCTGGGGAGAGGACCCCCAGTCATCTAGGGCTGGAGGGCTGGGTGCCCACTTCCTTTCACTGTGGAGAAGGGACCTGGGAGGTTGTGAAACTGTGGGCAGAGGAGCACCAGGCGGGAGGTCCCACAGCCCAGGCCTGGCACACTTCCTCTTGGCCTCTTGCGCCCAGGAAGGCACCGGGAAGTCCCGCCCACACCGGCCGCACTCACCTTCACCGAGTCCTGCTCCTCATCTGACTGCTCGTACAACTCATCACCCAGGAAGTTCCAGGGCGACTTGGTGCTCTGGGCAGCATAGAGCTGCCAGCGCCAAAGCGAGAGTGGGCAGAAGGAGACGCGGAGCGGCAGGCTGGCCAGGCTCTCGTTGATGGGGTAGTAGTCCTTCTGCAGGTTCCAGTAGTCATTGAAGTAGATGATGGGATAGTAGTCACCGCTCACGGCGTCGAACTTCACATCTGCAGCACGTGGGGCAGGGGCACCATTTGGCCCGGGCAGGAGGCCAGGGTACCCGCAGGCCTCAGATGTCTGGAGAGACCCAACAGGGCCCCTCTACAGAGACTGGAGGACAGGGGACATTTCTAGGCCACACCATGAGGAGCTAAAGGGTGCCTTGACCTCAGCAGAGGGGACTGAGGCAAAGGGCAGGCAGGTCCCCACTGAAGGGGGCAGCTGTGGCTCAGCTCCAGCCCACGGCTGCCCTGTGGGTGACCATGTAACCCAGTTTTATAAAATAAGCCAGAAATTGTGGCTTTTAAGTGATACTGCCTCAATTTCAAAAGCTGGCAAGTGATAAGACATTTTTTGAAAACAGTTTGTGGGCTGGATGGCACTTGATTGCGGACCGATGCTGGCGTGTAGAAGTCAGTCCTGGGGTCCCCAGGGGTGGTGGTGTGGGAGAGGGAGAGGACATGGGAAGGGGATAGGACAGGGTGGGAGCTTGGGAGGGTGGAGCCCTGGAAAGCTCTCTCAGGGGGACAGGGCCAGGAGAAGACAAGGAGATGGACCCCGAGCACCCTCTCAAAGGCTCTGCAGGCAGCTGGCAGGGCTGGGGAGCTTACATTGATCCAGGGGAGGGGGCACACTGCCCTTCACCCACGGCGTGTGGTCGTCCACGATGTTGATGGTGATGTTGGGGTGCCAATGGGAGATCACCTCCACAGGCCCATAGTCCTCAGCCCTCTGAGGCAACATGGGGGGAAGGACCTCAGAGGCAGGTGGAAGTGCTCGGGGACTATCACTCTCTGTACACTTCCTCCCCAGGGTTCCCGAGAAAATCTTAATCTTTGCTTTCTTTTTTTTCTGAGATGGGGTCTCACTATGCTGCCCAAGCTGGTCTCGAATTCTGGGCTCAAGCACGATCCTCCCACCTCGGCCTCCCAAAGTGCTGGGATTAGAGGCGTGAGCCACCATGGACAGCTTCTTTTCTTTCTTTCTTTTTTCTCTTTTTTGGAAGAGATGGGGTCTCACTATGCTGCCTGGGCTGATCTTGAACTTCCGGGCTCAAGTGATCCTTCTGCTTCGGCCTCCCAAAATGCTGGGAAAACAGGCATGAGCCATCTCCCCTGACAACCCTGGCAGCAGAATATCAGCCACCACAGCAACTGCTGGCAGAAGGCTCTCCTCCCTAGGCTTAGAGATTCCGCCACCCAGGACCCTTCCGGCCACCGACAGGATCCTCCCACCCCACATGTAGAAAACCGAGGTAGAGGTAGAGGCAGGGCTGGCATCCTAGGCCAGGCTGCGAAGCCCAGCCTCATGACAGCAGGCTCCACACACTCTTGCACGGTGGCCTCAGCTCCATGAGCAGGGACCACCCCCCCAACACAGGACCACCCGCAGAGAGAGGAAGTCTCTTAGTGCCCACTGCAGGTTAACCACAGATTAACTGCCCGGCTCCCCAGCCCACTGGGAGTGACAGCAACTATGAATCCTGCAGTTCCTACTAAAGCCATATTCTCGTGTGTGTGCTTGGAGCCAGGCTGAGCTTGGGCTCTGGGGCCTGGCTGTGTGGGTGAGAGTCCCTGGCCTGCCACTTCCGGCTGAGACTGAGCAAGTGTCCTCATGTGACAATGGGACTGTGATGTAGACCCCTCCCAGGCTGGCAAGAGGCTCAGGTAACCTTGTCTGGGATCCTCCTCACTCCCTGAGAGACAGCTGCCTCCTGACCCCATTTCCCAGAGGAGGAGCCCAGTGCTCAGGGAGGGGAGGTGGCATGACCGAGCCGGCATGGTGGTTCAGTGGTGGTGACAGATGACAGCCCCAGTGGTCTGGGATGAGCTGTGAATGGCCTGGCTTGGTCCCTATAGGCCCTGACAACCCTGCCCATTTACCTTGATCATTTCTGGGTCCGCTTCTGTCTCTCCTGTCAGCAGGTTCTTGGTTTTCTGAAATCGTCTGCGCTTGTATTTGTTGATCACTGTGGTTGGGAGGTGGGAAAGGAGGGGACGTGAGACCTGCTGGCACCTGCAGCCTCCAGAGCCCGGACCCCTGCCCACCAGCAACGGCTCACGGTCTCCTGGCATCCACCTTGCACTCACCTGCTGAGATCAATGTGACCTGGAATGCCAGAACTGCCTCCCCAAATCTCAACGAATCCCAGTTCCTCATGATCATGGGGACGCCACCATCACCAAATGCCCCAGGCAGAAACCCCAGCTCAGTAGGGCACTGTAATCCCAGCACTTTGGGAGGCTGGGGCGGGCAGATCCCCTGAGGTCAGGAGTTAGAGACCAGCCTGGCCAGCATGGTGAAACCCCCCGTCTCTAATAAAAATACAAAAATCAGCCGGATGTGGTGGCGGGTGCCTGTAATCCCAGCTACTCGGAAGGCTGAGGCAGGAGAATCGCTTGAACTAGGGAGGTGGAGGTTACAGGAAGCTGAGATCGCACTGTTGCACTCCAGCCTGGGCAACAAGAGCGAAACTCCGTTTCAAAAAGAAAAAGAAAACAAACAAACAAATAAATAAAAACAAGTGACTGATCATGGCATCCCGCAGCTTTGGAACCCCAGACACTCACCGTAGCCCCGGTGACCTCTCAACCCTCACCACCTTCCACTTCTCAAACATGCCAACCCGGGGCCTTCAGGCGTGCTGCCCCGTGTCCCAGGAACCCATGCCCTGACACAATCTTCGTGGCCTGGCTCCTCCGTGGCATTCAAGTCCCTGGCAGAATGTCCTTCTTCCACAGGGCTTCCCTGGCCACCCCACTGAATGAGCCTATGCAGTCATTCTCCTGCCAGCTTGTTTCCTTCACAACATTTCACCACTATCCAAAACCACTTAGCCAGTGGTTTACCTGCCTGCTGTCTGTCCCTGCAACCAGTCTGCAAACTCTGTGCGGAAATGCGGGTAGGGGCAGGGCCTGTTTGAATACACATGGGGCGCCTGCACAGGCTCGGTGATGACCAGTTGAATACATGACTATAAAGAGGCAGCAGACGGTTCCAAAAAAGGCCTGAAGCCACCAACATGAGAAACCAAGATGAGAAACACTTTGAGGCTGTGAATCCCCAGCCAGGAGTTGGCCTCACTTCCTCTCGCAGAGGCCCAGTTGGCCACAGGCCCCCTGCCATGTTGTCCCAAATGCTGCCGGGGAGGAAGGGGCTTGTGCGTGCCCACGCTCCATCTCCCAACCTCTGCCCTGGCCTGGGGACGTTTCTGTTTTTTTTCTGGAGACAGAGTCTCGCTCTGTCACCCAGGCTGGAGTGCAGTGGCACAATCTCGGCTCACTGCAACCTCCGCCTCCTGGGTTCAAGCAATTCTCCTGCCTCAGCCTCTCAAGTAGCTGGGATTACAGGCGTGTGCCACCAGGCTCTGCTAATTTTTTGTATTTTTAGTAAAGACAGGGTTTCACTGTGTTAGCCAGGATTGTCTCAATCTCCTGATCTCGTGATCTGCCCACCTTGGCCTCCCAAAGTGCTGGGATTACAGGTGTGAGCTGCCGCACCTGGCCCGAAAAGAAGCTAAGTATTTTTCTTTTTTCTTTTCTTTTTTTTTTTTTTTTTTTTTTTTTTTTGAGACAGAGTCTCGCTCTGTCATCCAAGCTGCAGTGCAGTGGTGTGATCTTGGCTCACTGCAACCTCCGACTCCCAGGTTCCAGCTATTCTCCCACCTCAGCCTCCTGGGTAGCTGGGACTACAGGCGTGTACCACCACGCCCGGCTAATTTTGTATTTTTAGTAGAGACAGGGTGTCACCATGTTGCCCAGGCTGGTCTCAATCTCCTGGCCTCGTGATCTGCCCACCTCAGTCTCCCAAAGTGCTGGGATGACAGGCGTGAGCCACTGAGCCCGGGGACTTTTCAGCTCTTCCTTATGCTATGAAGGAAAACTCAGTCTGCCCTCCCTCAAGTCTCTATCCTGTCCCCTGGGGCCAGGGAGAGACAGGGAAAGGGGAAAGAGACCTGGCCAACAGCGGGGGCTCTGGGGGCAATCTTGGCTCTGAATCCTACAAGCTAAGGGATGCTGGTGAGTGATGTCACTTCCCTAAAGAAGGAAGAAAAGCCTCACCACTTCTTGGCCCAGGGCCTACTGCTTATTAGCAGAAACGTCATCCTCATTTTTTTTTTTTTTTTGAGATGGAGTCTCACTCTGTTGCCCAGGCTAGAGAGCAGTGGCATGACTTCAGCTCACTGTAACCTCTGCCTCCTAGGTTCAAGCAATTCTCCTGCCTCAGCCTCCCGAGTAGCCGGGATTACAGGCATCCACCACCATGACCAGCAATTTTTGTATTTTTAGTAGAGACGGAGTTTAACCATGTTGGCCAGGCTGGTCTCAAATTCTAACCTCAAGTGATCCACCTGCCTCGGCCTCTCAAATTGCTGGGACTACAGGCTTGAGCCACCTGGCCAATCCTCATCATTTCTATGATTATTAAATCATTGGGGATCTTCCTCCTGTGTCCAGGGGGAGAAACCAACACTCAAGGGTTGACTTGGAGAAAATTCCAGGGGGACATGCCCCAATCGTGTCCACACCTGACAGAGACTGTCCAGGGAAGGGAGAGCCCCAGAGGGCAGCGCTGGCTGGTGGAGGGGGAGGCACAGGGGAGAGAGGCTTTGGCTCAGGCAAAGAACACATTCTGCAGCTTGGAGGCATCCAGACCAGATGGACCTGGCTCCTGTGGGGAGGAAAAAGCCCCCCTTTCTTGGAGGAAAATCTTCTAGAGCTGCACCATCCAGTATCAGGGTTGCTGGCCACATGCAGCTACTGGGCACTGCAAATATGGCTGGTCCAAACCAAGAAGTGCTATGATATAAAACACACGCTAGACCCTTTTTTTTTTTTTTGACATAGTCTCGCTCTGTCGCCCAGACTAGAGTGCAGTGGCACGATTTCAGCTCACTGCAACCTCTGCCTTCTGGGTTCAAGTGATTCTCCTGCCTCAGCCTCCCGAGTAGACGGAATTACAAGCGTTAGCCACCATGCCCGCCTAATTTTTGTATTTTTAGTATAGCTGGGGTTTCATTATGTTGGCCAGGCTGGTCTCAAACTCCTGGCCTCAAGTGATCCACCTGCCTCAACCTCCCAAAGTGCTGGGATTACAGATGTGAGCCACCGTGCCCAGTCACACACACTAGATTCTGAAAACTGACACAAGGGGAAACAAAAATGTAAAATATCTCACTTTTTATACTGATCATATGTTGAAACGAGAATATGTTGAGCTCAATTAAACTATTATTGATATTAATCTCATGGTTTTTCTTTACCTTTTTATTTATTTATTTGTGAGACAGGGTCTCCTTTTGTTATCCAGGCTAGAGTGCAGTGGTGTGATCACTGCAGCCTCAACCTCCTGGGCTTGGGTGATCCTCCTACCTCAGGCTCCCGAGTAGCTGGGATTACAGGCATGTGCCACCATGCCTGGCTAATTTTTGTATTTTTATTAGGGGGGGTTTTGCCATGTTGCCCAGGCTGGTCTCGAACTCCTAGGCTCAAGCAATCCTCTAGCCTTGGCCTCCCAAAGTGCTGGGATTACAGGTGTGAGCCATCACGGCCCTGGCCTTACCTTTTTATTATTTTATTTATATTTCTTTTTGAGACAGGGTCTCGCTTTGTTGCTCAGGCTGAAGTGCAGTGGCCTGATCACAGTTCACTGCAGCCTTGACCTCCTGGACTCAAATGATCCTTCTACCTGAGCCTCCTGAGTCGGAGGACACTACAGGTTGCGCACCACCATATCTGGCTAATTTAAAAAAATTTTTTGGCTCACGCCTGTAATCCCAACACTTTGGGAGGCCAAGGCAGGTGGGTCCCCTGAGGTCGGGAGTTCGAGACCAGCCTGACCAACATGGAGAAACCCTATCTCTACTATAAATACAAAATTAGCTGGGCGTGGTGACACATGACTGTAATCCCAGCTACTTGGGAGGCTGAGGCAGAATTGCTTGAACCTGGGAGGTGGAGGCTGTGGCGAGCCAAGATCATGCCACTGTACTCCAGCCTGGGCAACAAGAGTGAAACTCTGTCTCAAAAAAAAATAAAATAAAATAGGCCAGGCGCGCTGGCTCATGCCTGTAATCCCAGTGCTTTGGGAGGCCAAGGCGGGTGGATCACGAGGTCAGGAGATCAAGACCATCCTGGCTAACACGGTGAAACCTGGTCTCTACTAAAAATACAAAAAAACCATTAGCCGGGCGTGGTGGCGGGCGCCTGTAGTCCCAGCTACTCAGGAGGCTGAGGCAGGAGAATGGCGTGAACCCGGGAGGCAGAGCTTGCAGTGAGCCGAGACTGCACCACTGCACTCCAGCCTGGGCAACAGAGCAAGACTTCATCTCAAAAAAAAATAATAATAAATAAATAAAATGAAATAAAATAAATAAAATAAAATAAAATTTTTTTTTGTAGAGATGAGGTCTCCCTATGTTGCCAGGGCTGGCCTCAAACTCCTGGGCTCAAGCGATCCTCTGACTTTGGCCTCCCAAAGTGCTGGGACTACAGGCATGAGCCACCGTGCCTGGCCTCTCTTTACCTTTTTACTCTTTAGTATTTTTCTATTGGAAAAATTTTAATGCCTTCTCTGGCTCACATCCTATCTCCATGGGACGGAGCTGCTCTAGAATACTGATTATTGGCCTCTTGGGGATAAAAGGGGCTTTTCTTTTCTTTTTTTTTTTTTTTTTTTGAGATGGAGTCTTGCTCTGTCGCCCAGGCTAGAGTACAGTGGCACGATCTCGGCTCACTGCAATCTCCGCCTCCGGGGTCCAAAAGATTCTCCCACCTCAGCTTCCCGAGTAACTGGGATTACAGGCATGTGCCACCATGCCCAGCTAAGTTTTGTATTTTTAGTAGAGACAGGGTTTCACCATGTTGGCCAGGCTGGTCTCGAAGTCCTGACCTCAAGTGATCTGCTTGCCTTGGCTTCCCAAAGTGCTGGGTTTCCAGGCATGAGCCACCACAACCAGCCAAAAGGGGGCTTTTCTGAACTCACACTCTCCTTCACCCTGGAGTTTGTGGGTGGCTCACTCCAAGTCCTTCTATGTCCCTGCTTTGAGGGTCCCAGCTCCAAGGCTGGGGAGGGAGGCCTGGATGATCCTAGTATGCTTTTCAGGTTCACTGTCTGCAGGTTCTATTTTACAGACCAGACTGACTGTGAATAAACCTCACCACACAGTGACATGGATCACACTCACCAAAGACAAAACTGCAGAAAATACTGGCATCGATTTGGGTCAACGGGATGATTAGGTGATCGTCAAACGGGGTACAAGAATAGGGTGAAGAGCCACCCACCTGGGTCACCTTCAGAGCGACCTCTGAAACATCGGGCATTTTAGCCCAGACCCCTGACGTATCCCCCTGCAGGGAAACATCTGTGAGACCAACCCTGTAGGTCACACCCCCTCAAGCCACTTCTGCCTGGTTCTCCAAAGATCTCACCACATGGACGTCAGCCGGGTGGGACATACCAACGCAGCACATTCTTCAGACACACTCACTCAGAAAGGGGCTCAAGTAACTCCAGAAGACCTTTCCAAGTCATTTCTAGGGACCCACATAGAGTCAACTTTTCATTTCATCCAGTATAGGTGATAAAAAAAAATTACCATCCTTTAGGATATTTTTGTACTAAAAGAAGTAGGTAAGACCTAACTCATACAAATAGAATTCTGTCTGTTGCTGCGCCACCCAAAACCAGCCAGATGGATCTTAACCAAATCCACAGGGAATGTCTGGAATAGTCCTCAATAAAGTGAAAGCTAGGTGGAGTACACAGAACTCCCGTTAGAAGAATGGGGGGCTTTCTGAGGAAGCCATTCTCCAGCTCCGCTCAAACAGGTACAGCAAGAGATTTCTACGGCTGCCCATCAGGAGACAGAGGACTCAGGGAAAAAGCTCACAGAGAACCAAGCAAGGCTGGGTGTGGCAGCTCACACCTGTAATCCCAGCACTTTGGGAGGCCGAGGCAGACGATCACTTGAGGTCAGGAGTTTGAGACCAGCCTGGCCAACATGGCGAAACCCCGTCTCTACTAAAAATACAAAAACTAGCCGGGCGTAGTGGCGTGTGCCTGTAGTCCCAGCTATTTTGGAGGCTAAGGTGGGAGAATCGCTTGAACTTGGGAGGTGGAAATTGTGGTGAGCTGAGATAGTCCACTGCACTCCAGCCTGGGCGACATAGTGAGACCCTGTCTCAAAAAAAAAAAAAAAAAGAGCCAGGCAAGCAGAAAGATGACAACAATTATTAACTTCTCGAAAACAAGAGGACGGACAATGCTATGGTTTGAATGTTTGTCCTGGCCAAAACTCATGCTGATTCTCCCACCTCAGCCTCCCAAGTAGCTGGGACTACTGATGTACTCTAGTACTCCCCACTCCCAGTGAAACTTAATCCCCAATGTGCCAGTACTGAGAGATGAGGCTTTTAAGAGGTGACTGGGTCATGAGGACCCTCCCCTCAGGAACTGATTAACCCATTCATGGATTAGTGGTTTAATGGATTAATGAGTTATCATGGGAGTAGAAGTGGTAGTCTTATTTTTTATTACTATTGTTTTTTCAGAGACGTGGACTTGCTCTGTCGCCCAGGCTGGAAAGCTGTAGTGCAATCACAGCTCACTGCATCCTTGACCTCCCAGGTTCAAGCGATCCTCCCACCTCAGCCTCCCATGTAGCTGGAACCACAGGTGCTCACCACCATACCTGGCTATTAATTTTTGTAGCAACGAAGTCTCATTATGTTGCCCACACTGTTCTTTGAATTTTATCTATTTTTTTTTTTTTTGAGACGGAGACGGAGTCTTGCTGTGTCACCAGGCTGGAGTGCAATGGCGTGATCTCAGCTCAATGCAACCTCCGCCTCCTGGATTCAAGCGATTCTCCTGCCTCAGCCTCCCAAGTAGCTGGGACTACAGGAGCATGCTACTACACCCAGCTAATTTTTGTATTTTTAGTAGAGACGGGGTTTCACCGTGTTGGCCAGGATGGTCTCTATCTCTTGACCTTGTGATTCACCCGCCTCGGCCTCCCAAAGTCCTGGGATTACAGGCGTGAGCCACTGTGCCCGGCCTCTATCTATCTTTTTGAGACAGGTTCTCGGTCTGTCACCCAGGCTGGAGTGCAGTGGTGTGATTCTGGCTCACTGCAACCTCCACCTCCTGGGCTCAAGCGATCCTCCCACCTCAGCCTCCTGAGCAGCTGGGACTACAGGCACACGCCCAGCTAGTTTTTGTGTCTTTTTTGGTAGAGACAGGGTTTTGTCATGTTTCCCAGGCTGGTCTCAAACTCCTGGGCTCAAGCAATCTGCCCACCTTGTCTCCCAAAGTGCTAGGATTACAGGCATGAACCACTGCACCCAGCCCACAAATTATTTTTGAGTGTCTACTTCTATCAGGCCCCTACTGTGCAAAAGTCAACCCTGGCCCTTCCCCCTTGGTGAAGGACGTCTCCTCCTCTCCAAGAGTCCCTGTCTCCAGCTGCTTTTTCTGGCCAATTTCTCTCTGGTCCCTGAGCCTCCGTGGGTCTCCCTTCCTCCGTGGGTATCCCTGCTTAGTGTCCACAGGGCTCTTTCAGGCTGGGTGGGGCTTGAGCCTGCCCTGCCAATCCCACCCTCTTTGAGCACAGGCTTCCTGCCTGCCCTCCTGGACTTGGGATTTGTCCGCCACATTAGCCTGGGGGCTCCCAGGATGCTGGCCTCCTGGACAGTGGGTCCTGGCTGCAGGGGAGCGACTTACTCCGGGACATGTGGACTGTGGCAAGCCGGCGGTACAGGGCCTTCTGCCGGGGGTCTGGGTGGAAGCCACTCTTGGTGAAGTAAACGTGGATGTAGATGGAGCCGTTCTGCTGGACGCTCTGCAAAAGACGGAAGGTCAGGTGGGCAGGCTGGGCAACTGGGGTGAGGGAAACGTTAAAGCCCTGCCTGGCACCCATCTGCAGCAGTTTCCTCCCCCTCAACTCTCTGGCCATTTACTGAGTACTCAGGGTGGGGCATGTAGCTGGGTGGCAGAGAGGTAAATGCTGGAGTCAGACAGACTCAGACGCCCGCTCTACCTGCCATGGCCGTGTGAGCTCAGCTTCTCTCTGAGCCTCAGGGCCCCACCTAGAGGATGCGAAGTTCCCACAGCACTGACCCGAGGGCACCACTGCAGGGACTACCTGGAGCACTGGCACACAGCTCAGTCAACGAGCTCTCGTTAAGCTCACTCAACAGGAAGAAGCAGCTGACCGACATGGAGCTCCTACTATGGGCCAGACCCTGCCCTGGGCACTTCAGACAACAGCTTCCTAATCTAACGAGTTAACACACATATAACATGTCAACCTTATGCAATGGGTCATGTTACCACCCCATTTTGCAGATGAGGCAAACGGGGCTCATGCCAAGGGGTCACATAGTGTGTGGCAAGTACGCAGATGGAAACCCAGTCTGTGGGCTCCTGGGTGCTACTCCCTGCTACCTCCAGCTGGCCCCTCTCTGCCCAAGTCTTCCTCATTATCTCATCAAGTCTCCTTGCCTCCCAGGGAAGGGGGACTATTCTCACTTGATCCAGATGAGGAAACTGAGGCTTCAAGAAGGGAGGCAAGTTGTCCAGGGGCACTGGGTGGAGACAAAGGCGAGCACTGAACCTCTCTGATCCTTGTGCAGAGCTCGAATTCAGTTGGCCACATTGTGTTCTCCTCACTCTCCCTATCTTTTTTAGAGATGGGGTCTTCCTGTGTTGCCCAGGCTGGAGTGCACTGGCTATTTGCAGTTGCGATCATGGCACACTACAGTCTTAAACTCCTGGGCTCTGGCCATTCTCCCACCTCAGCCTCCTGAGTAGCTGTGCCTACAGGCACATGCCACTGTGCCCAGCTCTCCTGCCTTTTAAGTCCACTTGGACCCCACCCTGAAGCTTCGACTTAGATCCAAGCCCTTGGAAGCAGATCCCCCTGCTGGGCCTGCCAGGCCCTGGTCCTTCCTTGGATCTCGTGGCAAGGCCTGGGGGCTGGGCTTGAGGTCTCTGTGGGAGTCACCTCTCAGTGCAGGTCAGAAAGTCCAGCCAGGTGGGGTGGTTCATGCCTGTAATTCCAGCACTTTGAGAGGCTGAGGTGAGAGGATCGCTTGAGCAGAGGAGTTTGAGACCAGCCTGGGAAACATGTTGAGACCCCATCTCTACAAAAAATTAGCTGGGCATGGTGGTGCATGCCTGTTGTCCCAGCTACTTGGGAGGCTGAGGTGAAAAGATTGCTTGAGCCCAGGAGGTTGAGGCTGCAGTGAGCTGTAATTGCACCACTGCACTTCAGCCTAGGCAACAGAGCAAGACCCCATCTCAAAAAGAAAAGAATGATGGCTGGACGCGGTGTCTCACGCCTGTAATCCCAGCACTTTGGGAGACCAAGGTAGGTGGATCACTTGAGGTCAGGAGTTCAAGGCCAACCTGGCCAACATAGTGAAACCTTGTCTCTACTAAAAAATAAAAAAATTAGCTGGGTGTGATCATGTGTGCCTTAGTCCCAGCTACTCAGGAGGCTGGCACATGAGAATCGCTTGAACCTGGGAGGTGAAGTTGCAGTGAGCCAAGGTTGCGCCACTGCCCTCCAGACTGGGTGACAGAGCGAGACGCTGTCTCAAAAAAAAACAAAAAACAAAAAAAAAAACCAGAATGACTGTGTCCACATTCTGCTTCTAGCTACCCAGACAGAAATAGAACAGAAATGTGCCCTCCACCCCAAAGCTGAGAAGGCCTGCTGGGGAGAAAGGAATGAGGGCAGCTGTCTTGGACTCAGCCGAAGAAGGCCCCAAAGAGAGATGTCCCTTTTACTTGTTCAATACTTGCTGATTCTGCACCCAGCCCCACGTTGGGCAGTGCTGGGGACATGGAAGTGATCTAGGCAGCCCCAGCCTTATTATCACAAGGCTCACAGTCCCATACAGGAGTCCCAATGAGGCCCCAGAATGGGCTGGGATGGGGAAGCCCAGCAGGTGTGAGAACCCAGAGAGGGTGCTTAACCAAGCCTGAGTGCTCTGTGAGTCAGGGAGGGCTTCCTGGAGGAGGTTGGATTTGAGCCTAGGGCTGCGAGAGTCCACAGCCGTAGAGCCTGAGTCTGAATCTCTCATGCGATGTGGCCTTGGGTAAATCACTTTCCTTCTCTCTCAGTTTCCTCACATGTTAAATGAGAATAATAACAGTTCCTGCTTCACAGGGTTGCCGGGAAATTTCCATGAGTCAGCCTAGCTTAGTACCCTGCACTTAGCTCAATCAACATTAACTAATATTATTTTGAAACGGGGCTGCCTGATAAACTGGTGATAGGCAAACATCCCCAAGGACAATTACTAATCTTTCACCAGTTTAAAGTGGAGGACTGCACAACCTTAGAGGTAGCTGGGAGGGTCCCAGGCCAATTCCACCCCTATCTACCTTTTTCAGGTAGGGGAAAGTGAAGCCCAGAGATCTCAGGGACTGGCTTGTGGTCACAGACCATGTGAGCCCAGGGAAGGGCCAAGCCTGGAGCCCAAACTCCACATGCTCTCAGCAAGGAGCGGACTGGAGGAAAAGGTCCTTCAGTGCCAGTCAAGCAGCCATGGGGCCAGAAACCGAGAGCTGCCCCCACCTGTGGGATATCGAGCTCAGCAAAGTGCTCGTAGCAGCCGTCTGAGTTCTCGCCGCTAGTCCAGTCGCCATACACAAGATCGTGCTGTTCCCAGAAGAGTGCCGACGTGGCGTTGAAGTCTGTAAAGTGCTCGTGCTCTGAGATGTACACATGCAGGTTCTGTTGGGACAGGAAGGGAACAGAGCTCAGGCCTGCTCTTCAGAGCCTCTGCAGGCTGGCTAAAGAGCTATGGCAGCGGTCAGCACACTCAGGGGAACAGTAATTATGGAGGACAGGGGAGAGGAGAGAGGAAGAGCAGCAGAGAGGACATATTTTCTCTTTTCTCATACCACCATGTTTGTCCTGGTCTGAGCCTGTGAAGTCAACGAACAAAGAACACTTGGAGACTGGCCAGCCTGCCAATTAGAATTTAGGGGTAGGAAGGGGCAGGAGCTCCCTGAATGATCTCCTGCCCTCATGGCTGCTGGGCCTTCCTGGTCAGAGCTCTGCAGGCTTATGGACGAAGCAGTCCAGAGCTACAAAAGCACTGTGAGCCACCGGGCACGGTGGCTCATGCCTGTGATCCCAGCACGTTGGGAGGCCAAGGCGGGTAGACCACTTGAGGTCAGGAGTTCGAGACCAGCGTACCAAAAAGGTAAAACCCCATCTCTACTAAAAATACAAAAAATTAGCTGGACGTGGTGGCACATGCCTGTAATCCCAGCTAGTCGTGAGGCTGAGGCAGGAGGATCACTGGAGCCCGGGAGGCAGAGGTTGCAGTGAGCTAAGATTATGCCACTGCACTCTAGCCTGGGCGACAGAGTGAGACTCCATCTCAAAAAAAAAAAAAAAAAAAACCCACTGTGACCCAACAAGAACTTCCTCCTTTCTCAAGCCCCAATGGCCATGTTTGCTCAGAAAAGCCTAGACTGACAGATCTAAATGCTTTTGCTCTGGAGGCTCCTGAAGCCCTGCCCTGCCTGTGCCCAAGCCCACTGTGGAAGTGCAGGTCTCCTCTCCTTCCGGGCCCACCTCCTGTCAGCCTCTGCTGGCTCCCTGCCCTCCCCACCTCTCACACTCTCTCCCTTGCACATCTCCCTCTGCAACCCTGAAAGGCTGAACATACTTTTGAAATATAACATCCAAAGACCCTGATTTAACCTATTTTAACCAAATGAATTTGCTTTTTCTTTTGGGTGACACAGGTTTTATGTGCTGGGGATGGACCCAGGTGACAGAGGTCTCACGTGTTGGGGATGGGCCCAGAGTTCCTCAACCCTGGACCTGTTTTCCTAGACCTGCCAGTGAGCAAGGACCTGGTCTGTCCCGACTGCTGACATCACTCCTCCACATTCCACCCCTCCACACCCCATCACCTCCCAAGTCTGCCCTACCACCCGGCAGTTACCATTAAAGTGTCTTTGGGGAACAGGTTGCGGCTGGCGACGCGTGGAGCTCCTCCGGGGCCCGCCTGGTCCTGAGGGGCCGGCCCTCGGCGGAACCAACTGCTGATGGCCCAGATGATGAAGATCCTGAGGAGAGAAGCAGCAAGGTGGTGAGTCCCCAAGCCTTGGCTCTCCGCCATAGACCCGCCTGACTTCCTTCTGACTTAGCACATGCTGGCGCCTGACCTGGGGCTAGTGACCAAGTCAGGGAGGCCCTGAGAAGGTAGTCACAGGGCTGGCAAGGAGATAAGATGTCCCTAAAGACCACATCTGGGGAGGGAGCCCAGATGCCACCGTTTGCCAGTGTGTGGGGGTAGCTGGCACTGCCCTGGTCTGCATGCAGACCCTTGACTCTAAATCCTGCAGGAGCTCCTGGTGACCACAGGGCTGCAGGGGCTGACTCTTGACTCAGACTGGGAAACCTGCCATCCAGCCCCCTGGGATCCCCCGAGAGGAGACTAAGAATCTGGAACCCCTTCAGTGTGCAGATGGATGAATTAAAAGAAAAAAGAAATAAAGAAAAAATAATAAACATAAAATTTTTAAAAGAAAGAATCTGGAATCCTAGCGCTTCAAAAGCACAGAACCGGGGATGGTTAATGGCTACAAAAAATAGAATGAACGAGGACGGGCGCGGCGGCTCATGCCTGTAATCCCAGCACTTTGGGAGGCCAAGGCGGGCGGATCACGAGGTCAGGAGATTGAGACCATCCTGGCTAACATGGTGAAACCCTGTCTCTACTAAAAAATACAAAAAAATTAGCTGGGCATGGTGGCGGGCGCCTGTAGTCCCAGCTACTCCGGAGGCTGAGGCAGGAGAATGGTGTGAACCCAGGAGGCAGAGGTTGCAGTGAGCCAAGATCGCGCCACTGCACTCCAGCCTGGGCAACAGAGCGAGACTCCATCTCAAAAAAAAAAAGAATGAATGAGATCTAGTATTTGGTAGCAAAACACGGCAACTCTAGTCAATAGTAATTTAATTACACATTTTAAAATAACTTAAGAAGTATAGAGGCCAGGCACAGTGGCTCATGCCTGTAACTTTGGGAGGCTGAAGTGGGCAAATCACGAGGTCAAGAAATCGAGATCATCGTGGCCAACATGGTGAAACCCTGTCTCTACTAAAAATACAAAAATTAACTGGGCCTGGTGGTGCGTGCCTCTAGTCCCATCTACTTGGGAGGCTGAGGCAGGAGAATCACTTGAACCCGGGAGGCGTAGGTTGCAGTGAGCCGAGATTGCGCCACTGCCCTCCAGCCTTGCAACAGAGTGAGACTCCATCTCAAAAAAAAAAAAAAAAAAAAAAGTATAATTGGGTCAGGTGTAGCAGCTCATGCTTGTAATCCCAGCACTTTGGGAAGCTGAGGCAGGCGGATTGCTTGAGCTCAAAAGTTTGAGACCAGCCTGGGCAACATGATGAAATCCCGTCTCTACAAAAAATATAAAAATTAGCTGGGCATGGTGGCCCATGCCTGTAGTCCCAGCTACTTGGGGGACTGAGGTGAGAGAGTCACTTGAGCCCTGACGGTCAAGGCTGCAGTGAGACGTGATTGCGCCACTGCACTCCAGCCTGGGAGATAGAGAGCTTGTCCCAAAAAAATTAATCAATTAATTAATTAAATTTTTTAAAAAAGAAAAGGAAAAGAACCGAAGGCACAGAAGCTTAGAAAGAGCAACATTTCTGAACTTTTGGAGAATTTTTGGAGAAGCAGATAGTAAGTGATACGTTAGTTCCAATTTTAGTAACAGTGGGCTTAATTATTCAGACCAACCCTCTCACTGGAAAAAATTGGAAAAGCTTGATAAAATTAATACACTAAGAAAATATCAATATATTTTATATTTGTAATTATACATATTGATAGAATGAGAATATATGCTGCTCACGTATTCTCGTATTTGTTCTCATGCATGTAATTTTTATCAAGTTTACATATGAATATATATAAATAGACAGCTCTGAAGAATGGACACGACTGTAGGTTACCAAACCTTCAGGCAAAAACTGAAGGGAAAGTGGGAATCCTAAAGTAGTAAAGGATCGGCCGGGCGCGGTGGCTCAAGCCTGTAATCCCAGCACTTTGGGAGGCCGAGGTGGGTGGATCACCTGAGGTCAGGAGTTCAAGACCAGCCTGGCCAACATGGTGAAACCCCATCTCTACTAAAAATACAAAAATTAGCCAGGAGTGGTGGTGCATGCCTGTAATCCCAGCTATTCGGGAAGCTGGGGCAGGAGAATCGCTTGAACCCAGGAGAAGGAGGTTGCAGTGAACCGAGATCGTGCCATGGCACTCCAGCCTGGGCAACAAGAGCAAAAAGTCCATCTCAAGGAAAAAAAAAAAAAGAAGTAAAGGATCTTGGATTTGCAGGTCTAGGGGAAAAAAAAAAAAAGAATAAGTAAAGGAGCCCTATAAGCTTCTTCATGTGTCCGAGGACATCTGCTAGGTGTTTTGGTGGGTGACAAAAATGCTGGCCTAGGCTGGGCGCGGTGGCTCACACCTGTAACCCCAGCACGCTGGGAGGCTGAGGTAGGTGGATTGCTTGAGCCCAGGAGTTTGAGACCAGCCTGGGCAACACACAGTTTCTACAAAAAATACAAAAATTAGCCAGGCATGGCAGCACGCACCATGCCTATATTCCCAGCTACTCAGGAGGCTGAGGTGGGAGAATCACCTGAGCCCAGGAGGTCGAGGCTGCAGTGAACCACGATCATGCCACTGCACTCCAGCCTGGGCAACAGAGTGAGACCCTGTCTCAAAAAAAAAAAAAAAAATGCTAGCCCAGGGCACATACAACATATGAGGTAACCAGAGACCTACCCTATAGGAAACTAAGACCCCACAAGGTGCAAGCCTCCACCCCTGAGAAGGAAGGAACCAGGTGGCCTACCCATTCCCAGGAGTTGCACAACAGGTATGCAGGGCGAAGTATGCAAGGCCACTCGTGGGATAAGGAGTCACGAAGGGCAGCTCAAGCCCTGAACCTGGTGCAAGGAAACCTAGGACTTGGTAATGCCCCCAGGCAGAAGCAAAGGCAATCCTCTCTGTAGGAAAATATGCTCATCCTAGCCCTGAAATTCCTACAAATAACTTTTCAAGTATAATGACTAGGACACAGACAGAGATAAGCCAGGCACAAAAGGAAACGACATTATGAGCGAGAATCAGCAGCAACAACAGATACCAAAACCAAAACGAGGCTGGGCGTGGTGGCTTACACCTATAATCCCAGCACTTTGGGAAGCCAACACTTGAGGTCAGGAGTTCGAGACCAACCTGGCCAACATGGTGAAACCCCATCTCTACTAAAAATACAAAAATTAGCCGGGCGTGGTGGCGGGCGCCTGTAATCCCAGCTACTTGGTAGGCGGAGGCAAAAGAATCGCTTGAACCTGGGAGGTGGAGGTCGCAGTGAGCCGAGATCATGCCACTGGACTCCAGTCTGGGTGACAGAGTAAGACTCCATCTCAAAAAAAAAAAAAAAAAAGTGTCCTTAAAGAGAAGAAATATTCCTTCTTGATTTATTCTTCTCTCCTGTTGCCTGGAGTGTGGATGTGATGGCTGAATCTTCAGCAGCTGTCTTGGGCTATGAGGATAAAGGGAAAAACCTAGCAATGGCACAACAAACAGCAAGGAGTCTGGGTCACTGAAGACTGCAGAATCCTAGTCTGCCTCCATCCAGACTGGTATATCAGAGAGAAATGAACCTGTACTGTGTTAATGGAGGTTTCTCAGCTGCATGCAGCCATGTGATTAAATGATTCAAGTACTTATTAATTATAGGTATGATAACCATACAGCAGAAGAGGTTATGAGCCCAGCCTCTAAACTACAGTATCTTCATCTGAAGCCCAGCTCTGCTACTTACTGTGACCTCAGTGGTCAACTTCAATGGTTGAAATGGGGATAATAACAGTGCCTACTCTCATAGGGTAGTTTATAAGCATTAAACACATTAAATTATATATATGTTTATATAGCGTGTATATACATCTGACACACGCACACGTACCTCAGAATGGAGCCTGGTGCATACCCAGTAAGTGACTGAGAAGTGTTAGCTATTACTGTTATTTTAATCATAGGAAAAAGGCATACAAAAAACTTTGGAGCAGAAAAACACTATGAGTAAATTCTAGTGTGGGTGGGGTGCCTCCCTGCTGAGCCCTGATCAGGGGCAGGATCAGGCACAGGAACTTGCCTCTGCCTGTAGAAGCCACAAGGCCCTGGGGTCCAGGGTCTTAGGGGCCACGGTCCAGCTGAGCCATCGCTACCTCCCCATGAAGTCCCTGATATGCACGTCTGGGGAAGGTCTGGACCTGGCAATCTCTGGGGATACCGATGCCTCCAGCAGAGGCTCTCATTTTAGTAAACACACCAGGGGAGAGTGTAGAAGCAGTGATGCCCCCAGGCAGCTCTGCCCCTGGCTTAGTGTGTGGCTGTGGGGGTCCTAACCCCTCTGGGCTTCTAGATCCCCATGTATAAAACAAGGCCAGGCCTTTTTGGATTCCAGATCCCCAGTCCCCTGAAGAACGTCCTGTGTGTATCCACACGCCCACAGTTCTGTGGACCCTCTCAGAGGGCTCATGGCCATGGCCCCTCATCCATGCACCCAGGCCTGCAGGAGACTGGACCTTTCTAATGCTTCCTGATGTACTTGAGTAAGCAAAGAAAACAGACATTAAATCCTTTCTCCCACCCAAATAGGTATTCTACAGTCACAGGTTCAGAACATTTTTAAATATATGAAAAGACGTATAATCAAAACTCTCCCTCCCACCCCATTCCTTTATATACCCAGTTCCTGCTCCACCTCCCACTCCAGGTAACCACATGTGCTCAAAAACACAGACGCCACCCGCTATCTAGAAAGGCTATTCCCACATAATCAGCTTCAAGCTACAAGGAGTTCATGGGCCCCTGAAAACAAACCCTGGATCCCATTTTAAGAACTGCAGCCAAGATGGTCTCCGAGCACCCACCCGAACTGATGTTTGATGCTGCCTAGTTCTAAGAAAGGAAATTAGCCTACAGTGTGACTTGTATTAAAAATGTCTCTCTGAAGGAAGCTCCCTATGCACTGACGTGGAAAGATTTCAAAGATATATTGTTAATGAAAAAAATCAAGGAGCAGAACAGTGTGTAAAACAGGCTACCTCTTATGTAAAAATGAAGGGAAAGATAAAAATAATTTTCATGCAGAGCTGCTTGCAGCATGAAAAAAAAGAAGGTGATATATAAGAAAATCTGAAGTCTTTACGTGGCCATGGGGAGGGGAGGTGAAGTGGAGACGGTAAGGGACAGGGGCGCATGACTGAGAAGCGTAGGGCACATGGCAGGAATTTTTGAGGCACACATGTCAGTTTTGCAACTTAACAGAGTGGGGAGGTTTCTTTCCTGCAGTTTCTCAGTGTCCTGTGTGACACTCTTGGAGGACACCAGGCAGGCAGTTCTGCTCTAGTCTAGAATGTGATCAGTGACTACATCAGGGATCATGAGTTGTTTTTTTTTTTTTTTGGGACAGAGTTTCACTCTTGTTGCCCAGGCTGGAGTAAAATGGCATGATCTCGGCTCACTGCAACCTCCGCCTCCCGGGTTCAAGCGATTCTCCTGCCTCAGCCTCCTGAATAGCTGGGATTACAGGCATAAGCCGCCATGCCCGGCTAATTTTGTATTTTTTGCAGAGATGGGTTTCTCCATGTTGGTCAGGCTGGTCTGGAACTCCCGACCTCAGGTGATTCACCTACCTTGGTCTCCCAAAGTGCTGGGATTACAGGCGTGAGCCACTGCACCCGGCCTCATGAACTTTTTTTTTTCACTGTTTCACTATATATTTCCTAAGGTTTTTGTTTGTTTGAGATACAGTCTCACTCTGTTGCCTAGGCTGGAGTGCAGTAGTATCATCACGGCCCATTGCAGCCTTGACCTCCTGGGCTCAAGCGATCCTCCCTCTTCGGCCTCCCTAATAGCTGGCACTACAGGTGTGCGCCATCACACCCAGCTAATTTTTTAGTTTTTTACAGAGATGGGGTCAGGATAGGCGCGGTGGCTCACGCCTGTAATCCCAGCACTTTGGGAGCCCGAGGTGCGTGGATAGCGAGGTCAGGAGATCGAGACTATCCTGGCTAACACGATGAAACCCTGTCTCTACTAAAAATACAAAAAATTAGCCGGGCGCTGTGGCGGGCGCCTGTAGTCCCAGCTACTCGGGAGGCTGAGGCAGGAGAATGGCGTGAACCTAGGAGGCGGAGCTTGCAGTGAGCCGAGATCGCGCCACTGCACTCCAGCCTGGGCGACGGAGCGAGATTCTGTCTCCCAAAAAAAAGAGAGAGAGAGAGAGAGATGGGGGTCTTACTGTGTTGCTCAGGCTTTTTTTTTTTCCACGTTGAACAACAAAAGGAATCATGGCCAACATTGTCTGTGTGCGTGCCAGCTCCTGCACCCCTCAGTTGACATGAATTCTCTTGGAATCCTTCTGATGCACCCTGAGCTAATTGTCAAGATTCCCTGTCTGTGAGGTGGAAAATGAGGCTCAAGAAGGGTGATAACCTGACCAGGCCACAGAGCTCAGAGGTGGCAGGGCTGAGATGTCAGCAGGGCTGTGCTCTTACACGCTATCTGACACTACCTGCCCCCCGCCTCCTAACTTTTCTCTATTTTAAACAACTCTATCTGTGAGCATCTATATATAATCCCATTTAGGGCCAATTACAAAAATGTGTGCCTATGGGATGGCCACCAACACATTACACTTTTTTATTTTTGAGACTGTGTCTCGCTCTGTCACCCAGGCTGGAGTGCAGTGGCGGCATCTTGGCACACTGCAAGCTCCGCCTCCTAGGTTCACGCCATCCTCCTGCCTCAGCCTCCCGAGTAGCTGGGACTATAGGCGCCTGCCACCATGCCCGGCTAATTTTTTATATTTTTAGTAGAGATGCAGTTTCACTGTGTTAGCCAGGATGGTCTCGATCTCCTAACCTCGTGATCCACCCACCTCGGCCTCCCAAAGTGCTGGGATTACAGGCGTGAGCCACCGCGCCCGGCCCACATTACACTTTTTCATTAGCTTTTTCTTTTCACTCTTCGTATTGTTTGAACTACTTAATTTTGTAAAATAAACACTCATAATTTATAAGCTAAGGGAAACCAGTAATAAGATTTTATGGAAGAGATAAGTAGCTGCCCCCCATAACCACTCTCCTCTTCTTCCTCAGTAATAGGAGCCCTGCTTTCCAGCAGGGTGCTCAGTTTCCCAGATTAAAGACCACATTTCCCAGCCTCCCGTGCAGCTGGCCATGGCCATGTGAAGACATTCTAGCCAAAGGAATGATTGTTTTATTTTTTTATTTTTGTTTTATTTTTTGAGACGGAGTCTCGCTGTCGCCTAGGCTGGAGTGCAGTGGCACCACCTGGGCTCACTGTAAGCTCCGCCTCCTGGGTTCACACCATTCTCTTGCCTCAGCCTCCTGAGTAGCTGGGACTACAGGCGCCCGCCACCACACCTGGCTAATTTTTTTGTATTTTCAGTAGAGACGGCGTTTCACTGTGTTAGCCAGGATGGTCTCGATCTCCTGACCTCGTGATCTGCTTGCCTTGGCCTCCCAAAGTGCTGGGATTACAGGCGTGAGCCACCGCGCCCAGCCATGATTGTTTTATTTTTATTTTCTCTTTTTTTTTTGAGACTCAGTCTTGCTCTGTCGCCAGGCTTGAGTGCAGTGGCACGATCTTGGCTCACTGCAACCTCTACCTCCCAGGTTCAAGTGATTCTCCTGCCTCAGCCTCCCGAGTAGCTGGGACTACAGGCTTGTGCCACCACACCCAGCTAATTTTTGTATTTTTAGTAGAGATGGGGTTTCACCATATTGGCCAGGATGGTCTCGATCTCTTGACCTCATGATCTGCCTGCCTCGGTCTCCCAAAGTGCTGGGATTGCAGGCGTGAGCCACCGCACCTGGCGGGATGATTGTTGTAAACATCTCTGCTGTGCAATTCCTTCTATCTCATAAGTAGGGAAGCTGATTGCCTAACTGCATGGTGTGGTCTCTTATTTTGCTAAAATACATCTCCAAAAAGCAAAAAAAAAATAAAAGGAATATCTATTTTGCAGAGGAGTAAACAAAGGCTCAGAGCAAAGAAGGTGACTGTCACTAGGTCTAGGCAGGAAGGATAGAACCCAGTGCCAAGCATATTCCCCCGCCACCACCCAGCATCTCCCCAGGGCCTCAAACAGAAGCTGGGCTTTGAAAAAACAGGCCCTGGGGTCCCACTGCCCAGGAATAGCATGTGAACCCACAGGTAAAAGGGTCACCACCAGGCAGTCACAGAAGGACAAATGCTGTCTGATTCCACATACAGGAGCTAACTAGAGTAGTGAAAGAGAGACAGGAAATAGAAAAGTGGCTGCCAGGTGTTGCAAGGAGGAAGAAATGGGAAGCTTGTGTCTGATGGGTATGGAATTTCAGTTTGGGAAGAGTAAATTCTCGGGATGGATAATGGTGATGGGGGCACAACAGTGGAGATGTACTTAATGCCACAGGACTACATACTTAAAAATGGTTAAAATGGGCCAAGCGTGGTGGCTCACGCCTATAATCCCAGGACTTTAGGAGGCTGAGGCGGGTGGATCACCTGAGGTCAGGAGTTAGAGACCAGCCTGGCCAACACGGCAAAACCCCATCTCCACTAAAAATACAAAAATTAGCCAGGCGTGGTGGCAGGTGCCTGTAGTCCCAGCTACTCAGGTGGCTGAGGCAGGAGAATCGCTTGAACCCAGGAGGCAGAGACTGCAGTGAGCCGAGATTGCACTACTGCACTCCAGCCTGGGTGACAAAGTGAGACGCTGTCTCAAAAAAAAAAAAAAAAAAAAAAAAAAAAAAGGTTAAAATGAAAACATAGGTTAAAATGGTAAATTTGATGTTATGTGCAGATGTGGGCTGAATCATGTCTCCCAAAATTCATATGTTAAAGTCTCAACCTTCAGTACCACCGTGACTAGATTTAGAGACAGGGTCCCCCCAACTTTTTTTTGCGATAAGGTCTCACTCTGATGCCCAGACTGGAGTACAGTGGTGTGATCTCGGCTCACTGCAGCTTCAACTTCTGAGGGTCAGGCAGGGCCCAGTGGCTCACGCCTGTAATCCCAGCACTTTGGGAGGCTGAGGCGGGTGGATCATGAGGTCAGGAGTTCGAGACCAGCCTGGTCAACATAGTGAAACCCCATCTCTAATAAAAAAAAAAAAAAGCAAAAATTAGCTAGGCACTGGGTGCAGTGGCTCACGCCTGTAATCCCAACACTTTGGGAGGCCAAGGCGGGCAGATTGCCTGAGGTTGGGAGTTCGAGACCAGCCTGACCAACATGGAGAAACCCCATCTCTACTAAAAATACAAAATTAGCTGGGCATGGTGGCACATACCTTAATTCCAGCTGCTCAGGAGGCTGAGGCAGGAGAATCGCTTGAACCCAGGAGGTGGAGGTTGCAGTGAGCTGAGATCGCGCCACTGTACTCCAGCCTGGGAAACAGAGCGAGACTCCATTACAAAAATAAAAATAGGCTGGGTGCGGTGGCTCACACCTGTAATCGCAGCACTTTGGGAGGCCAAGGCAGGCGGATCATGAGGTCAGGAGATAGAGACCATCCTGGCTAACACGGTGAAACCCCATCTCTACTGAAAATACAAAAAATTAGCCAGGTGTGGTGGCGGGTGCCTGTAGTCCCAGCTACTCGGGAGGCTGAGGCAGGAGAATGGCGTGAACCCGGGAGGCGGAGCTTGCAGTGAGCCAAGATTGTGCCACTGCACTCCAGCCTGGGCGACAGAGCGAGACTCCGTCTCAAAAAAAAAAAAAAATACATAAAATAAAAATAAAAAAATTTCCAAGGCTCAAGTGATCCTCCTACCTCAGCCTCTTGAATAGCTGAGACTACAGGTACGTGTCACCATACCTGGCTTTTTTTTTTTTTTTTTTTTTGAGATGGAGTCTCACTCTGTCCCCAGGCTGGAATGCAGTGGCACGATCTCAGCTCACCGCAACCTCTGCCTCCTGGGTTCAAACGATTCTCCTGCCCTCAGCCTCCTGAGTAGCTGGGACTACAGGCACGTGCCACCACACCCAGCTAATTTTTGTATTTTTTTTGTATTTTTTATTTTTTTTGAGACGGAGTCTTTCTCTGTTGCCCAGGCTGGAGTGCAGTAGCGCGATCTCAGCTCTCTGCAAGCTCCGCCTCCCGGGTTCACGCCATTCTCCTGTCTCAGCCTCCGGAATTTTTTTATTTTTAGTAGAGATGGGGTATCACTATGTTGGCCAGGATGGTCTCGATCTCTTGACCTCGTGATCCACCCGCCTCGGCCTCCCAAAGTGCTGGGATTGTAGGTGTAAGCCACCGTGCCCAGCCAGATTTTTTTATTTTTAGTAGAGACAGGGTCTTACTATGTTGCCCAGGCTGGTCTCAAACTCCTGGGCTCAAGCAGTCCTTCCAACCTGGCCTCCCAAAATGCTGGGATTATGAGGGTGAGTCATTGTGCCTGGCCCAGATAGGGTCTGTAAAAAAGTAAGGTTCAGTGAGGTCATTATGGTGGGTACTAAGCCAGTATGACTAGTGTCCCCATAAGAGGAGCTTAGGACACAGACACACACAGAGGAAAGACCACATGAAGACACAGGGAGAAGACGGCCTTCTGCAAGCCCAGGAGAGAAGCCACAGAAGAAACTGCCCCTGCCCACAGCTGGATCCTGGACTTCCAGCCTTCAGAACTGTAAGACAATGAATTTCCTATTTCAGTTGTTTAAGCTACTCCGTCTATATTACTTGATACAAGGGCCCTAGCAAACTACTTCAGTATTTTTTGTGTTTTTATTTTTTCACAAATCAGGTAGCCCCCCAAAAACCAGAACAGGTTCAGGGAGACTCCCTACTTCAGTATGTTTTACCAGAGTAAAAAAAAGGTTTAGAAAACATTCCATCATACAAAAAAAAAAAGAAAAAAAGCAACTCTACCATACAGTAATGATCACCATCCTCAGCTGATCAGCTGACTTTTCCTTTCTTCCTTATTTTTATTTGAATGTTTTCGGTGAACAAACCCAAGTCCCGTCTGCTCACCTAAACAGCACACCTTTGATGACCTGCCAGGCATTGGGTGCCGGCTGGGCCGGTGGGTTCTGAGGCTGGGTCTCCGCTGGCGGGTCCCTCCCGATGCTGCCATTGCTGGTCACCTGTGGGGGACAGAGGCCAGGGTAAGGAGGGAGAATGGACACGGGGGCTGTCTTAGACACCATCATGCATGAAGGCCAGGCACAGGCTGGGCAAAGAGTGGGTGCTTATCAATAACTGGAGAATGAATCAGTGAAAACACCTGGGAAGGTGCGGTCCTCTTCTTTTAGGAGGAAAACACTCGCAGAGCACCTCTGTGACCTAGGGACAGTGGTGACCTAGAGAGTCTTTTGCTGTCCTCCTGGGGTTTAACAGCCCGGTGGGGGAGAAAGATTCATCTCTAGACAGTGACTGTCCAGAACGGGGCAGGAATGCAGGAGCCCTGAGAGGCACCTGGTCCAGTCTAGGGTTCGGGGCAACTTCCTGGAGAAGGGGGCATTGAAGCTGAGACCTAAAACATAGCAAGTTGGTGGCACAAAGGAGGAAGTGAGAGAAGCAGCAGGTGCAGAAACAGAAGATTAGAGGCACAGTCTGATTCTGATGACTGTCCACTGTTCCCTGGGGCTGGAGCCAGGATGCAAGGAGGTGGCTATTGGGGACAACAACAGAAGGAGTCTTATGGCAGGTGCCAGATTCTTCAAGGCTGGGGCTTAGCTGAAAGAGCCTTCCCTGGGCAAACCATTCCTGAGGCCCCCTCTGTGGCCAACCCTGCCCTCCAAGGGCCCCTGGTCCAGCAGGTGGGACAGACACAGAAAAACACAACCAGACTATCAGCTGCTACCATAAGCCACGGCCACAAGACATGTCTGTGACAGCACACAGCACACTAATCCTGAGGCCAAAACTATGACCAGCTCCATCCGGCTGCTGAGCAAAGGGAGGCTCAGAGAGGTGAAGCCACTTGTCTGGTCACTCAGGAAGGACCGCAGAAGCAGAATGACAGAAGGGAAGGGGGGCAGGCAAGGGAGCCAGGCACGGCTTCCCAGAGGAGGACTCTTCACTCAGACACAGAAGGTCACAATCAGAGACTCTCTGAATGCCAGGTTTGGAAGGGGATGTTCTGCTCACCCTTCACGCACCCTGCTAGCTCCCCAGTCCTGTTCTCATTCACCCCTCCTCCCAGCTGTCCCCTCAGCCATCAGCCTTCAAGAGGCAGGACCAGGGCTATCACAGTCACAGTTAGCTCAAGAGCACCAGTGGCACAGAGCAAGGCTGTGATAAACACCTGTGTGGCCACCGCTGCCTGAAGGACTCACCCCGGACGCTCAGGTCACCCAAACCCACTTCCCTCTGAGGCTCCAGTGTCTGGCCCTCTCCTCCACAGCCCCTAGTCCACTCCTCTGCAATGTTTTCTCCATTCACCTTACCCACCAGATAGCAAATGTCCCAGGAGCATGGTTAGAGGGGCTACATGTGTTAAATGTGTCACTTGTCACCTCCTGTCCCCTTCACCAGCAAGAGCTCTTTCCTGTAATCTCCCAAAGCACAGGACACCATTGGAGGGGCTCCAGGGTCAAACAGACCTCAGCTATAGTCCTGGTCCCACCGTTCTTGGCTGTGACACCTTGGGCACATCACTTCACCTCTCTGACCTGTGGACCAGGTTGTGAAAATACTGGAACATTTTAGACAGAAATCTGGGCCCTGCTTACCCAGAGCTGGGGATCTAGAAGGAAACACACTAGAACGGTAAACAGGATAATTAAAAATGGTACATGGAAAACAAGCAGGGGGAAGTGACAGCAACTGAGTTGGGAACAGGGATCCACTTTGGAGTGGGTGGTCAGAGAGGCCTCCCTGAGGAGCTCCCTTTGACGTCTGGGTCGTCTGGGTGAGACCCTTAGGCTGAGACAGAGAAAGCCACATTCTGATGAGGAGATCTATGGGGCGGGGGTCGGCTGGGGAAGGGAAATCAGACAGGCACAAGGCCCCCTCCTCAAGGCCAGCCTAGCTATTGGGAAATTTAGGGGTCCAAGTATGGGTTTCAATGGGTCTGAGCTGATTTGGGGTCAGGAAAGGACACTTGATGCCAGGTCAGGATTTGAAGCTGCATCTGACTGACTCCCAGGTCTCTTCGCTTACCCGTTAGTGATGGGCAATCTGGCTGGGAACCTTCCCACGGAAAGGCAAGTTAAAACCACAATGAGGTGTCACTTCACACCTATTAGGATGGCTATCAGCAGAAAGACAATCACAAGTGCTGGCAGGGATGTGGAAAAACAGGAACCCTCGTATGCTGCTAGGGGGGAAAGTAAAAGTACAGCTACTTCGGAAAATATGGCAGTTATTGAACAAGTCATATGTGCACCTACTACACAATCCAGCAAACCCATCCTGAATGGCTACCCAGGAGGCAGAAAACATGAAGCCAGACCAGGCGCAGTGGCTCACGCCTATAATCCCAGAACTTCAGGAGGCCAAGGCAGGAAGACTGCTTGAGCCCAGGAGTTCAAGACCAGCCTGGGCAACACAGCAAGACCTCATCTCTATAAAAATACAAAAATTAGCCAGGTGTGGTAGTGCATGCCTGTGGTCCCAGCTACTCAGGAGGCTGAGACGGGAGGATCAATTGAGCCTTGGAGAATGAGGCTACAGTGAACCAGGATCACACCACTGCACTCCAGCCTAGGCGACAGAGCATGACTCTGTCTCAAAAACAAACAGTGGCCAGGTGTGGTGGCTCATGCCTATAATCCTAGCACTTTGGGAGGCCAAGGCAGGAGGATCCATTGAGCCCAGGAGTTCGAGACCAGCCTGAGCAACACAGGGAGACCCTGTCTCTCTTACTTAGAAAAAAAAAAAAAGAAACAAAATACAGCCACAGAAAAGCCTGTACATGAATGTTCATAGCAGCATTATTGGCAACAGACAAAAACTAAAAACAATCCAAATATCCTTCAAGGACTGAAAGAATAAACTGTGTCATGTCTGCAGACTACCACTGAGCAGTGAAAAGGAACAACTGTGAGCACGTACTTTAGGATTTCCCCAAAGGCCAAATTTCCCTGATCCTAGGTTGTAAAAAATAAAATAAAAATGAACAACTGCAGATCTATGTAACAACATGAACCTCAAACCCATTATGCCCAATGAAAGAAGCTGGACACAAAAGACTGGATGTTGTTTAGATCCTTGTTTAAGACATTTTTAGAAAATTACAGAGATAGCACCTCTGTGGCTGCCTAGGATTGGGAGCAGCAGAGACTGTAAAAGGGAACTTTTTGAGGGGACAGAAGCTTTCTCAGACCAGACTGTGGTGATGGCTGCACCACACAACTGCATAAATGGACCAGGAGCCAATGGACTCTATCCTAAGAACAGGTGAACGTTATACCATCTAAATTATACCACAAGGCTGGACGTGGTGGCTCACGCCTGAAATCCCAGCACTTTGGGAGGCCGAGGTGGGCAGATCACCTGAGGTCAGGAGTTCAAGACCAGCCTGGCCAACCTGGTGAAACCCTGTCTCTACTAAAAATACAAAAATTAGCTGGGTGTGGTGGCAGGTGCTTGTAATCCCAGCTACTTGAGAGGCTGAGGTAGAAGAATTGCCTGAACCCAGGAGACGGAGGTTGCAGTGAGCCGAGATTGTGGTGAGAAAGCGAGACTCCGTCTCAGAAAAAAGAAAAAAAAAAAAAGAGTCACTCTTTTCAGCTCCTATTTCCCTCAGAGTAAAGGCCAAGTCCTCCCCATGGCCTCCAAAGCTTGGCATAATCTGCATCTGTCCCCAGCCACCCCTCTCCCCTCACCCGCTCCAGCCTCCTCGCCCTTCCTTCATCACACCAGGCACCTCCCACTTTAGGGCCTTCGCACTGGCTGCTCCTTTGCCTGAAAAGCTTTTCCCTCGTGTATCTTTGGGACTCCCTCTCTCACTTCCTTCAGGTCTTTGTTCAAGCGTCACCTCCTCAGAGAGGCCTTCTAGACTACCCTATTTAATTGCAACTCTTCTACCCACCCCTCACTTCCTATCCCCATCCCAGCTTTATTTCTGTCCATGGCACGCAGAGCCATCTGAACTGCTGTTTTTCTTATTTATCTTGTTCACTGTGTGTCCCTGTCTGTGCTTCCCCTATAAATTCAGCTCCAACTAGAACATAAGTGTAAGGGCCTTCAAGAGGGCAGCACCTATTTTATTCACAGCTGTATCTCCAGCATCAGCAAAGGCCTAGCATGGAGTAGACTCAATTCGCATTCGCTGAAGGAAGGAATGGCAAAGCTGTGGGTTCTGTGTCCGAGTTCCTGGCTACAGGAGCAGGCTAGCTAAAGCAGCAGACTGTGCAGAGGGTGTGCCTGCTGTGCACTAGGCCCTGGGCATGGGAGAAGGGTGGCAGTGGCTGTGGACACATCAGTGACTAAGACACAGTTCCTGCTCTCGGATCTGCACGTCCACGCACACACACAATCCCCAGCAACATCTGCTAAAGGGTCCAAGAAGTAGCTGAGACCACCAGGGCTAGGCAAGAGCAGGAGGAAGCTAGGTTTTGCGGCATGTCTTCACTGATTACCTGGATCCACCACGGCATCAGGGAATTCCACCTCAGCCCAGCCTCTGTTTCAAGATCCGCTCATTCCACAAACACTGAGCACCTCCTCTGTGCCTGGCGCTGAGCTGAGTGGTGCTAAGGAAGCAGTGGTGATCAAGGCAGTCCTGGCTCTGCCCTCCTGGGGTTCCCAGTCCCCAGACAGTGAAACCCAGTAGGGCAGGGCTGGGACAGCGGAGCCCAGACAGTCAAAGAGGGCTTTCTGCAGGAAGGGACATCTGAAATCTGTAGGACTAATACACATCAACTAGCTAAAGAGGGGAGAGACCTGTGCATAGACTATGAGGAAAGAGACTGAGAGGCAATAAAAGAGGTTTAGAAATAAAATAGGTTCAGAGCAGCGGATCCCCTTTAGCGCAGTTGTTCTCACGCAGGGATGGCTTTGCCCCCCTGCTCTTGGAACATTTGGCAATGTCTGGAGACATATATGGTTGTCACAACTGGGGAGGGGCGTGGATCCTACTGACATCTAGTGCGTAGAGGCCACGGATGCTGCTAAACATCCTAAAATGCACAGGGCAGCCCCCCAAACAAAGCATTATCCAATTCAAAATGTTGATAGTGCCGAGCTCGAGAAATCCTAGTCTAGTCTGAAGAAAAGTGTCGGATCGTGCAAGACTGTGATTTATTAAAGAATTTGTACTTTGTCCTAAAGGCAAAGGGGTAACTCTTGATTGTTTTTAAGCAGAGTTGGTACAAGAGAAGATCAGAGTGCCATCTGGAAGCTCAGGGCAATGAGAACAACCTGGGCCCTGGTCTCTCAAGCCACCATCAACCCAATAATCAACAGAAACCCAGAGGGGAAACGACCTCCTTTCAGCAAGACTGGGAAACCCTTGAAGACAGGAACTGAGCCTTCATTCCAGCACTAACTCAACAAACATTTCCTAAGCTGTCCCTGAAGCCAGGCCCTGGCTGAGAATGCTGAAAAGATTCAGAGCAGATACAGTGGGCTCTATCACACAAATTTCATCCATGTGTCCTACCCAAGTGATACCACTTGCTCTTTCTCTGGGCTCCCCCAGTCCCTGACACAGACTTTTGTCACCAACCTAATCATTCAGGATTACAACTGTTTACATGTCAGTCTCCTCTCTTCGTCCCCTGACAGCAGGGATATGGCTGGCCCTCCTGTCCAACCTCTGCATTTAACACGGGAGAGATAAAGGCCTAAAGAGGGAAAGGAACTTGCCCAAGGTCACACAGAGAGTCAGCTTCATTCTCCCCTCTCAACCCGCACTCCTTTCCCCTGAGCTGCCTCCCACATGTCAGTGACATCCCAGTGGGTGGGTCGACAGCACCTTCATGTCTCTCCATCTATTCCCCAAATGCCTGAACGGTAGCTGCCTGAAATGGTATGCTCTGCAGTGTGTTAAGACAGCAGTGGGGCAGAAGTCATCCGCACCAGGACTAATTAACCCATAGAACTATTTTACATTAAAACCACAACCATACCAGTCCCTGTGTCAGCAGTGTCTTGTAACTTCTACATAAAGTTACAAACCTAACCAGGATGACCTTCTAGAAGCGCCTTAGTCTCACTGTTCCTTGAATTCCCGTCTGTAAAATGGGTCTGTCGGCCGTGCCCTGCTAATACTGACTTCCCCACAGCTAGAAAACTCCCAATTAATCACTGCGCACACCTCAAACACTACAACGAGACCTGAACGCCAGACCACTCTAGGAACGGCCTCAGAGCATGGAATCGCGGAGTTGAGAACCCAGCGCGCCAAGGTACAAGCCTGCGCCCCTCCGAGCCACTGTCTCCCCGGATCGAGCAATGAGCCTGGTGGCCGCCCGGCTCGAGCGTGCAGGGGAACCGACCCGCAACAGGGCCCTGTTCCCGGCACCGTCCGGCCTCCCGGGCGGTCCGGCCCTGCCTGGGCCGGGTATTCAAGGTCCCTCTGGCCAAGGAGCCCCCAGTGCACGGGATTCCGTGACAAGAGGTAGGACACGCCCCGTGGGAGGCCCCCCGGCTGGGGAAGAACCCCCTCAGTCCCCTCTCGGCCTCCGTACCTGACCGGAGCTGCCTCCCCCGGCCGCCACCACGGCGCTGCGGGCCCCGTCCGCCTCCTGCGCCGCCGCCATCTTCCCGCTCCGGGTCCCCGCCCCCGCCGCCAGCCCCGCCCCGTCCCCGACTTCGCAGCGCAATCGCGCGAGATTTCACGCTTTCCTAGCCCCGCCGGGCCACCCTATCCGGCAAGAGTGCCGCAGCCACGCCTCTCAGGAAGGCCACTTCCGGCTATGGAAGGACCAACCTGGCCACCGTACTCGTCTTTCTCCCAGCCCGTTTGTTTCCACCTAATAAAAACACTGTATGCTCCGAACTCCAGGACTTTCTCGGCCAGCATGTGCCTCCCGCAAGTTCTGTCCCTTCCGTCCCTTCACATTAACCCGCCTTTTCGGTTATATGAGCCTTTCGGGACATCCTGTCCGCTTCTCCCTGCCGATTCTTCGCGTCCTTTTCGTTCCATGTTTCTTGAGCTTTACCGGCCACTGTACGGCTTCGAACCACGCCCCTCTTTCGTCAGAGGAACCTTTCTGGCCACCGTATTCTGATTCGAAGAACTAGCCTTTTGCCCAGCACCCTTGTCTTCTGACCCCTCTTCCTAAGACAACTCTTTCGTTCAAGTCTCCTGAGCTCATATCCTTTCTGTGTTTTTAGAGTTCCAATTCCAGGGGTCTTACGGCCAACAAACCTCCGATGAGACCCTATGATACACCCCCAAGCCTTCGGACTGCCCTGCCTAGCACGCATGCGCGTTCCCTCAGTGGTCCAAACCTCGCATCCGTGGGCTAGGCTTCACGGGCTCTGAGAATTCCACAATTTTTCATTAGCTGTGTGTCTTCGTACAGCTCTAAACCCGGCCATCTGCTGAGAGACCCTTAGTTTGGAGAGGGTGTTACGGAGGCCCAGAGAGGACAAGACTCTCAGAGGCTGTTAACTGTTCACCCGTGAAATTGGGTGGATGTCTGGCCAGGGTTCTAACCCTTGTGGTGCTACTGACTGGATAAGATATCCTGGACAAGTGACGTCTCTCTCTCTCTTTTTTTTTCTTTTTTAGACGGAGCCTCACTCTCCCCCAGGCTGGAGTGCAATGGCGCGATCTCGGCTCACTGCAACCTCGGCTCACTGCATCCTCGGCCTCCCGAGTAGCTGGGATTACAGGAGCACGCCACCACTCCTGGCTAATTTTTTTTTTTTTTTTGAGACGGAGTCTCGCTCTGTCACCCAGGCTGGAGTGCAGTGGCGCGATCTCGGCTCACTGCAACCTCTGCCTCCCGGATTCAAGCAATTCTCCTGCGTCAGCCTCCCATTTTTTTTTTTTTTTTGTAAGTAGAGACGGAGTTTCACCGTGTTGGCCAGGCTGGTGACAAGTGACATCTATGTTTGAGCCTCAGTTTCTCCCCTTTTATAAACCAGGGATATAATCGTACTCGTTCTTCGTCTTCCCGTTTTGCCCCGCTGTGTTATTGGGAAGACGTAGTTAGATGGCGAATGGAAAACATCAGGCCCTGGGCCTCATGCTTAAGTGGTCAATATTTGGAGCGCTGTGATTATGAACCTTATATATTACCTGGAAAAAGAGTAAGCTTTGCATTGGGATATTCTGAATATATAATTATCATTTTATTATCGGTTTCCTCCACTTTCCTCTAGGTCTCAGCCCTGTAACAGTAGCTCTCGCTCTAGGAAACTCTCTCTGAGCCCTTTTCCTATCCTCCCTTGCCCCCTCAGCTCCTCCACCCCATCCCTGCTCACTTTGTGTCATCACTGTCAGGGATGGGTGTGTCTCCCCAACTGGGCAGGCTGACCTGGGACTGTTGTGGTCACTGCTGTATCTCCAGCACTGCCCTGGGGATGATTGCCCTGGGGATGAGGCTCTCTAGGTGCAGAAGGTGAGTGACTTACCTCTCTGAGGGCTAACACAGGACAAGAAGGAACCTTAGAAAACTTCGCTCCTCAGCCAGGCGCGGTGGCTCACGCCTGTAATCCCAGCACTTTGGGAGGCCGAGGCAGGCGGATCACCTGAGGTCGGGAGTTCAAGACCAGCCTGGCCAACATTGTGAAACCCCGTCTCTACTAAAAATACAAAAATTAGCCGGGCATGGTGGCGGACGTCTGTAACTCCAGCTACTCGGGAGGCTGAGGCAGGAGAATTGCTTGAACCCGGGAGGCAGAGGTTGCAGTGAGCCAAGATCATGCCACTGAATTCCGGCCTGGGCAACAGAGCAAGACTCCACCTCCAAAAAAGAAGAAAGAAAAGAAAAAGAAAACTCAGTGCCTCATCCTCACTGTTACAGACAATAATGGTGTTAATAACGATTCTTTGAATGTGTAGGCCCAGTCTTTTAAGTCCAGGGATGAAGTGAATAGACTAAGACAGGGATTGAGGAGAGACTTTGTGGGGTCTGAAGCTTATGTGTTTTGTGGGCCTCTTTTTTTTTTTTTTTTTGAGATGGAGTCTTGCTCTGTCACCCAGGCTGGAGTGCAGTGGCATGATCTCAGCTCAATGCAAGCTCCGCCTCCTGGGTTCACACCATTCTCCTGTCTCAGCCTCCGGAGTAGCTGGGACTACAGGCGCCCACCACCACGCCCAGCTAATTTTTTGTATTTTTAGTAGAGACGGGGTTTCACCGTGTTAGCCAGGATGGTCTTGATCTCCTGACCTCGTGATCCGCCTGCCTCTGTCTCCCAAAGTGCTGGGAGTACAGGCATGAGCCACCGCGCCTGGCCTGGCCTCTTTTAAAAAGTACAAAATTGGCTGGGTGTGGTGGCTCACACTGTAATCCCAGCACTTTGGGAGGCAGAGGCTGGTGGATCACCTGAGGTCGGGAGTTCGAGACCAGCCTGACCAAAATGGAGAAACCCCATCTCTACTAAAAGTACAAAATTAGCTGGGCATGGTGGTACATGCCTGTAATCCCAGCTACTTGGGAGGCCAAGGCAGGAGAATCGCTTGAACCTGGGAAGCGGAGGTTGTGGTGAGCCGAGATCATGCCATCGCACTCCAGCCTGGGCAAGAAAAGGGAGACTCTGTCTTGAAAAAAAAAAAGTACAAAATGACTTGTACAAATTTAGGTAGAGGACCATGGAAAGCCCAGGCAAGTGAGGGGCTTTGAAACTTTCTCCAGCCTCACTGCAACCCCAACTGCGCTCTCAGCTATAAATACAAACTGCTGCAATCTGCTCTCCAAGTCTCATACACTGCAAGGGCCAATGTGTTGGAGCATGATGAGGTCTAAGCTTCTCATGAGAAGTGTGACCTTGGACAGGGCTCCTGTGGAGGCAGGTTCCCTGCAGAGCCTTCCTATGCTCTGTGGAGTGACCAAATAAATTCTGCCATTCCGTCCAGGCTTCGTGGCTCATGCCTGTAATCCTAGCACTCTGGGAGGCTGAGGCAGAAGGATCGCTTGAGCCTAGGAGTTTAAGACCAGCCTTGGTGACATAGCGAGATCCTAGCTCTACTAAAAATTAACAAAATTAGGTGGTGTGGTGGCATCCACCTGTGGTCCAGCTACTCTGAGGCTGAGGTGGGAGGGATGCCGGAGCCCAGGAGTTCGTTCGAGGTTGCAATTAGCTGTGATCACATTACTGCACTCCAGCCTGGGTGACAGAGTGAGACCCTGTCTCTAAAGAAATTAAAAATCATAATAAGTAAAAAATTCTGCCATTCCTGCTGTATGTAAGTCACAGGACAGACCCACTCTTCTCTCCACTAGGGGGCGCAAAATACTGATCAAGGGCTGTGATTTCAGGTTCTAAGGGAGAAAGGGGGCTGGGGATCCAACCTTCTAGGTCCTGAGGAGAAGGGACTGGGGGGTCCCAGACTCCTGAGTTCTAGGGGAAGAAGAATCTAGGGGCCTGGACTCTGGGGGCCCTGAGGGGAATGGGGTTCTGAGAAAGAAAGGAGGAGTCTGAGGCCAGCACCAGGATTGGTTGGAAGCCGAACTGGTCCGGGCAGTGCTTTGGCTTGGCTTGAGTCCGTGGGAACCAAGTGGACACAGCAGGGATTGTTACTCCAGGGTCTTCCCCTCCCCACCACCCCCTGCACTTGGCAGCCTCTGTTCTTCCCAGGCCCCGGGGACTCGGGGGCATTGCCCACAGTCCCTCTCCAGGGCCCCTGTTTTTTACTGGACTCAGCTGCCCAGCCTCAGGACCTGGGAAAACTGCCCCAAGGGTGTTGAAAGCCTGGCAGGAGGTTAATGCCAAGCAGATTAGGAGAAATACAAGCAGTGGATCCCCAGAGACCAATAGCCCCACCCATGGGACTTGGGGAGCAGTACCACCCTGGACTCCCTCAGGATACAGGAATCTTGGCCCCCAGCCCCCTTCATTCATGGTCCCAGCACTGGCCTCCTTCAGACCATGGAGCCTCTGCTTATTTGCACCTTCTGCCTTCTGTGCTTTTTGCTTGCAATTTTTTTTTAATAAGTTTTTCTTTTTTTTTTTTAGAGACGGAGTCTCACTCTGCTGCCCAGGCTGGAGTGCAGTGGCACTATCTCCGCCTCCAGGGTACAAGCAATTCTCCTGCCTCAGCCTCCAGGTAACTGGGATTACAGGCGCGGGCCACCCCTAGCTAATTTTTGTGTTTTTATTAGAGACAAGGTTTCACCATGTTGGCCAGGCTGGTCTTGAACTCCTGACCTCAGATGATCTGCCCACCTCAGCCAACCAAAGTGCTGGGATTACAGGCGTGAGCCACCACGCCGGCCCTAGAGGTTTGTCTTCTTGGGTCCCAGCCAAGAAGTACTGACTTGGGCACCATTCTCCCTCTGCCACGGGACCATTATACACTGATTGCAATGGCACGTTTAAAGTGTCAGCCCAGGCCTGGTGCGGTGGTTCACACCCGTAATCCCAACACTTTGGAAGGGCAAGGTGGGCAGATCGCTTGAGCCCAGGAATTGGAGACTAGCCTAGGCAACTTGACGAAACCCCGTCTCTACTAAAAATACAAAAAATTAGCCAGGTGTGGCAGTGGGCATCCCTAGTCCCAACTACTTGGGAGGCTGAGATGGGAGGATCTCTTGAGCCCAAAAGGTCAAGGCTACAGTAAGCCAAGATCTCACCACTGCACTTCAGCCTGGGCGACAGAGCAAGACCTTATCTCAAAACAAAATAAATAAAATAAAAAATGTGTCAGTCCAGCAACTGTAAGGCAGGAAAATAGGGAGGCAGGGAACATAAGGCCAATTCACTTCAGCTATAACAGGAAACATCCTCTCCGGTAGGCCATAAATGACTTTGTAACTTTTCTTCATCCTCTCCATTTACATAGGGTGTACCAGAAGTAACCAGTGGAAGGGGAATCCTCTAGGGGGAATTTAAACTCCCAAAAATTCTGTAACAGGGCTTTTGAACCCATATGCTTGGGCCCGCTCCCACACTGTTTAGTGTATGTTCGTTTTCAATAAATCCCTTCATTCCTTCCTTGCTTTGTTTGTGCGTTTTGTCCAGTTCTTTGTTCAGGACGCCAAAAACCTGGACACCATTCACCGTTAACAACTGGAGACTGTCAGAGGCCACTGTGGACTAGCTGTGTCTATGATTTGTTATTTTACAAATGAGAAGGCTGGATTTTGGCATGGCGCGGTGGCTCATGCCTGTCACCCCAGTACTTTGGGAGGCTGAGGCGGGTGGATCACTTGAGGTCAGAAGTTTGAGACCAGCCTAGCCAACTGGCAAAACCCTACTAAAAATACAAACATTAGCCGTGCACAGTGGCACATGCCCATAATCCCAGCTACTCCAGAGGCTGAGGCACACAGAATCGCTGGAACCTGGGAGGCGGAGGGTGCAGTGAGCCGAGATTGCACCACTGCTGTCCAGCCTGGGTGACAGAGTGAAACCCTGTCTCAAAAAATAAAAAAATAAAAGAGAGAAAGCCGGACTTCAATAAAGATTAGTCTCTAATTGCTGTTACGATTATTTATTGTTACTATTCACTGCTTTATTCCCATGGACCCATGGGTTAGAGCTCCATACATAAAGTAGGTGCTCATTAAATGTTGGCTGGACTGAGTCAGCCCCTCCATCTTGGCCCTTGAGTCCTCAGAAAAGCAGTGCCATCCATGAGAAGCAACTTGAATTGTATTTTTTATTGAAAAGAATTCAGGCTAGAGTTGGGAGGAGGATGCAAGAGCTACTGGGAAGGGGGAGCTCAGTCTGAACCTGGGGGATCAGGGGAGTAGGGGACTCTCCCCTTGTCCACTGATGGGGGGTCTGGCTGTTACTCCTCTCCCTTCAGCACAGAAAGAACTTGGTCAGTAAAAATGCCTGTGTAAGTGCTCATGGCTGCTGTGCTTTTGCTGTACAAGTCCCTGGGGAGAAAGCACAGATGGTTAGAGGGAGGAGGGGCTGGGGGCCTGGACTCCTGGGTCTGAGGGAGGAGGGTCTGGGGACCTGGACTCCTGGGTCTGAGGGAGGAGGGGCTGGGGGCCTGGACTCCTGGGTCTGAGGGAGGACGGGCTGGGGGCCTGGACTCCTGGGTCTGAGGGAGGAGGGGCTGAGGCCTGGACTCCTGGGTCTGAGGGAGGAGGGGCTGGGGCCTGAACTTCTGGGTCCTGGATGCAGTCGGTGGTATGGGCCAGACCCCATTTCTCCAGGGGCAGGTGCTACCTGAGTTTCTCATCTACAGCGGGCAGGTATGTCTTCTCGTACAGGTTCTGGGCGGCTGTCTTTGCTGACTCCCAGTAACTGGAGAGAGATTCCTTCACCTGGGTGAGGAAGGTCGGGCTAGGCATCTCATCTTGCTGGGGCTGTTGGGTCCCCTGGACCTCTGCAGGGGGAGAGTGTGTCAGGAGAGCCCGTGGGGCTGCAGCAGGGGGAAAGGAGGAAGGAAGAAGAGGAGAGGGCAGAGGCAGAGGTAAGAAGGGCCTGGGCTGGGAAGATGCTTGGAGCTCATTCCCCTCCCCAAGGCTTCCCTCCCCGGAAGCCCACACTCACCAAATCCCAATACCAGGAGGACAAGAAACAGAGCTGGGAGGAGTCGTGTGCCCATAGTGTCCAGAGACCTGGAACATTGAGGGGGTGTCATGTGGCAGGCTGACTGGAGGCGGCTGTTCCTGTGGTCACGCCCCACTCTGGTGGGGGGGACTGAGATCCTGCTCTGTGTGAGCTCGGTGTCCCAGTCAAGTTTCCCATGCATGGACTTGGACACAGCCCCCTTCTTGGGCCTCACTTTCCAACATTCTGTGATTCTACTCCTGATTTTAACATTTTAATTATTATTTTTTTCTTTTTTGAGATGGAATCTCACTCTGTTGCCCAGGCTGGAGTGCAGTGGTGCAATCTTGGCTCACTGCAACCCCCACCTCCCAGGTTCAAGCAATTCTCCTGCCTCAGCCTCCCCAGTAGCTGGGATTACAGGCACCCGCCACCACCCGGCTGATTTTTGTTTTCGTATTTTTTGAGATGGAGTCTCGCTCTGTCACCCAGGCTGGAGTGCAGTGGCGTGTTCTCGGCTCACTGCAACCTCTGCCTCCAGGGTTCTAGCAATTCTTCTGCCTCAGCCTCCCAAGGAGCTGGAATCACAAGCACCTGCCACCATGCCCGGCTAATATTTTGTATTTTTAGTAGAGATGGGGTTTCACCATGCTGGCCAGGCTGGTCTCGAACTTCTGACCTCGTGATCCGCCCACCTTGGCCTCCCAAAGTGCTAGGATTACAGGCTTGAGCCACTGTGCCCCACCTGATTTTTGTATTTTTAGTAGAGATGGGGTTTCACCATGTTGGCCAGGCTGGTCTTGAACTCCTAACCTCAAGTGATTTGCCTGCCTTGGCCTCCCAAAGTGCTGGAATTACAGGCATGAGCCACCATGCCCAGCTGCTAATTTTTATTCTTTTGTAGAGATGGGAGACTTGTTTTGTTGCCCAGGCTGGTCTGGAACTCCTGGGCTCAAGCGATCCTCCCATCTCGGCCTCCCCAGGGTGCTGGGAGTACAGGTGTGAGCCACTGAGCCCAGCCTAGAAGGCTTTCTTGAGCACCTAAACAGTTCTGGGCCCAGCAGGGAACACAGCAAAGCCTCTGCCCTTTGCTAAGGCTGAGTCAGTGCAGGGAGGTGCTCTGCAGACACCATTAAGGACCTACAGTAGATCAAATGTGTTACCTTAGGGCTCTGCCCTAAGTCAGACCTCATGTCCCTGCATCTCCTCACTGAGTTCTCACCTGCTCTATGAGAGAGGCACTTTTGGTGACGAAGAACATGCACAGGGCACAATATCATCATCCACACGTAGGAGATGAGGAAGTACGGCAGAAAGAGGGTGAGATCTGATCCCCGGAGAAAGAACACAAGCAAATGGTCTACAATTCTTTTTTTTTTTCCAAGACAAGGTCTTGTTCTCTCGCCCAGGCTGGAGTGCGATGGCGCAATTTTGGCTCACCGCAACCTCTGTCTTCCGGGTTCGAGCGATTCTCCTGCCTCAGCCTCCTGAGTAACTGGAAATACAAGCATGCACCACCATGCCTGTCTAATTTTTGTATTTTTAGTAGAGACGGGGTTTCACCATGTTGGCCAGGCTGGTCTCCAACTCCTGACATCAAGTGATCCGTTTGCCTTGGCCTCCCAAAGCGTTTGGATTACAAGTGTAAGCCACCACGCCCAGCCTACAGTTCTTTTTTAGTTTTTTAAATTTTTTCATTCTTTTTTTCCGCCAAGACTGAGTCTTGCTCTGTCACCCAGGCTAGAGTACAGTGGCACGATCTGGGCTCACTGCAACCTCCGCTTCCTGGGTTCAAGCAATTCTCCTGTCTCAGCCTCTGGAATAGCTGGGATTACAGGCATATGCTACCACACCCGGCCAATTTTTGTATTTTTAGTATAGATGCGGTTTCACCATGCTGGTAAGGCTGGTGTCGAACTCCTGACCTCAAGTGATCCACCCGCCTCGGCCTCCCAGAGTGCTGGGATTACAGGCATGAGCCATTGTACCTATCCCTTTTTCTTTCTCTTTTTTAGAAATGGGGTTTCTCTGTCACCCAGGCTGGAACACGGTGGCAAGATCACAGCTCACTGCATCCTCAAACTCCTGGGCTCAAGGGATCCTCCCCACCTCAGCCACCCTAACTCTAAGCAGAAGCTCAAATAGTCTACAGTTCTAAATTCTGTGATTTGTGGAGTGTGGTGGTGCACCTGTAGTCCCAGCTACTGGGGAGGCTGAGGCAGGAGGATTGCTTGAGCCCAGGAGTTTGAGTCTAGCCTGGGCTACATAGCGAGACTCCATCTCCCTCTCTCTCTCTCTCACACACACACACACACACACACACACACACACACACACACACAGTCATGGTTCCAACACGGGCTTCTAATATTGTGCCTCTTAAAATTCCTGCTTTATCGATCTTTGCCCTCTCCCTGCTGACGCCCCCCTGTCCCCGCACCCTGAGTCCCTTTCTTACCAGACTCTGGCAGGCTGTCCTCACCAGCTCCGGACGGGCACAGAGAGGATTTATAGTGGTTGAGACCCACTTCCGCTCCACAGCCACAACCCCCATCCTTTGTCTAGGCCAAAGTCCTGGCCAACAGAACTGCGGAGGGGGTGGGTGGGGACAGAAAGGGCAATGACGTCCCCCAAGGTCACGTCACAGGGAACCTTCTCTCAAGTGACAGGGAACCCTCACTCTGAGAATTCGCCTCCGACAGAGGCTGGGTTGGGGGCTGTGGAGGGGTTGGAGGTGCTGGGTGCCCACTGGGAATGGAGTCAGAGCTTGTAGGAGACAAGGGCGAAGCTCTCAGTGAGGGCCATCATGGGGACCTGCTGACTCCACCCACGCTCCTGCCCTCACCCTCCTGAAACTGACACGCCTTGAAGTCCCCCATTCTCCGCAAGCCCACAATAGGGTGTTATTCCTTGATACCCTTCCCGACCTCCCTACTCTTCCTTCCCCATCAGGTGTCACCTCTTCTACTCATTGATTCCTGGGAGGCAGTGGGGTGGGTTTTTTTCTGGCCACACTGGGGAAGGATCCAGACAGGGACACAGGTGAGACTTTATTTATTGGAGAAGTATGAACTTTTTTTTTTCTTTTTGTTTTACCCCCAAGAGATCTCGCTGTGTTGCCCAGGCTGGTCTCGAACTCCTGGGCTCAAGCCATCATCCTACCTCAGCCTCCTGAGTAGCTGGGACTACAGGCACCCGCCACAACCACACCTGGCTTTTATGAACATTTTAACCCTGGTCCTTGTCCCCACAGACAAGCCTGGGGCACAGGCTGTGGGTCTTCTTCAAGAGGCTGTCTTTGGATTCGAGGAACCAGGCCTTGGTGAGCGGACCCAGGTCCCTCAGGTGGTCGTCATAGTAGGTCTGCATGAAGCCCCGGAAGGTGCTCGGGCTCCTACAGGAGAGAGGACATCACAGTGGAGGCCCCAGCTCTCCCCAGGTGTTCTCTGCCCCATTTATCCGCTCCTCTCTGTGACCTAGGAGTTCCTGCTCTCAGCTCTAACCCTCCACTCCTCCCAGACCTAGGGGTCACAGCCCCACTCCCACCCTTTCCTCCTCCCTGAGACTCAGGGGTCCAGGCCCCAGCCCCTCCTCCCTCAGACCCAGGAGTCCCCTCCCACCACCCAGCCCAGCACACCCTCACCAGAACCATTGCCACCCGTCTCTGGTCCTGTTCACCACTGTCTCCAGCAGCTCCTTCATCCTGCCCCTCACCAGGCTCCAGCGACTCATCTTTAGCTTTGGTGGGGGGCTCAGGGTTCCTTCCTGGGCCTCTGGCTGGCATGCTAGGTGGAACCAGAGGGCAACTTGGGTAGGCTGGGACCCTAGAATCCCCTTCTCCCTTTCCCTCCATGCTCATCCTGTGTCGCTCCCGGTGGCCCAGGGGCAGCCCCCTGCCAGTCCTCTTGCCTCCTGCCTTTACCCTTATGTGTCCCCTGACCGCTAACCCCTCTTTAACCATCAGCCATCTCTTTTTTTTTTTCTTTTTTCTTTTTTTTTATGAGACAGAGTCAGTCTCTTGCTCTGTTGCCCAGGGTGGAGTGCAGTGTCATGATCTCGTCTCATTGCAACCTCCACCTCCTGGATTCAGGCAATTTTCCTGCCTCAGCCTCCCGAGTAGCAGGGATTACAGGCATCTGCCATCATGCCCGGCTAATTTTTGTATTTTTAGAAGAGATGGGGTTTTGCCATGTTGGGGCCTCGAACTCCTGACCTCAAGTGATCCACCCACCTCGGGCTCCCAAAATGCTGGGATTACAGATGTGAGCCACCCCGTCCGGCTGGGCCATCTCTTCACCTTGTGTCAGTAGTCCCTCCTGTCACCCTGTCTGCCTGTGGTTCCCCTCTAATGGCCTCTCTAATTGCCATCCTCTGATGCCTCCCTTCACCACCTGATTTTGCTGCCCAGGAACTACCCCCTTCTCCCTTCGTTCTCCTGTGACCCCCACCCTGTCTGAGCTACCTCTGTGGACAGTGGAGGGAGAGCAGGAGGTGACTTTCTGCCCCCAGGGGCAGACATTGGCTTAGCCTTGCTGTCAGTTCCTCTTTCCGGGCCAGACCTTCTACCCACGCATCTGGACAAAGCCTCGCCTACAGAGACCAGCCGTCACGCGGGGGCCACATGTAGCTAGCTGTGTGCCTTGGCCGGTGACTTATCCTGTCTCCCCAGGACTGTTTCTCCTTTTGTAGAACGGGGTAATAATATCTACCTCAGGGTTATCGTGAGAATTAAGAGTTACTACATACGATGCACATGGAATGGTGCCTTGCACATTGTCTACATACGTGTTAAATTTTTTTTTTTTTTCAGACGGAGTCTCGCTCTGTCACCCAGGTTGGAATGCAGTGGCGCGATCTCGGCTCACTGCAACCTCTGCCTCCCGGGTTCAAGTGATTCTCCGGCCTCAGCCTCCCGAGTAGCTGGGACTACAGGCGCATGCCACCATGCATGGCTAATTTTTTGTATTTTTAGTAGAGATGGGTTTTTACCCATCTGTTAGCCAGGATGATCTCAAATCTCCTGACCTTGCGATCCACCCGCCTCGGCCTCCGAAAGTGCTGGGATTACAGGCATGAGCCACCGTGCCTGGCCCTGTATTAAAAATTTAAATTTCTACTGGATAATGCTGATCTAGAATATGATCCCATTTTAACATAAAGTACATGGCCGGGCGTGGTGGCTCATGCCTGTAATCCCAGCACTTTGGGAGGCCAAGGCGGGCGGATCACCTGAGGTCAGGATTTCAAGACCAGCCTGGGCAACATGGCAAAACCCTGTCTCTACCAAAAATATAAAAAAATTAGCCAGGCATTGGCCAGGCGCAGTGGCTCACGCCTATAATCCTAGCACTTTGGAAGGCCGAGGCAGGCGGATCACGAGGTCAGGATATGGAGACCATCCTGGCTAACACGGCGAAACCCCGTCTCTAGTAAAAATACAAAAAATTAGCCAGGCGTGGTGGTGGGCTCCTGTAGTCCCAGCTACTCGGGAGGCTGAGGCAGGAGAATGGCGTGAACCCGGGAGGCGGACGTTGCAGTGAGCCAAGATCACGCCACTGCACTCCAGCCTGGGTAACAGAGCGAGACTCCGTCTCAAAAAAAAAAAATTAGCCAGGCATGGTGGCGTGTGTCTGTAGTCCCAAATACTCTGAAGACTGAGGCAGGAGAATCCCTTGAAACGGGTAGGCGGATGATGCAGTGAGCCAAGATCGCACCACTGCTACCACTGCACTCCAGCCTGGGTGACAGAGTGAGACTCCGTCTCAAAAAAAAAAAAAAAAATGCATATGCAAAACACAGACGTACACACCAGCACACACTCACCCCCTCACACATGTCCACACACTCAAATATTTTGCACACACATACCCCACAGAGAGACAGGTGCACACAAATACACATATGCACACAGACATGCACTTTTTTACCACGACTGCATACTCCCACTTCCACGCACGCACGTGCACACACACAGATGATCCCAGTTTGTACCAATGTGACATTCACACTTCACTCTCAGCCACCGACACACACACTCCCCGACACGCACATGCATACGCACGCCATGAAACGCACACACTCCGTACTCATGTCTCACGTGGCTACAGAGCCACAGGACACACAGCCACACTCACACCCACCAGGTGTGGGCCCCACATCCCTCCACCCACTTCTTCTCACCCCCAATGCAGGCCAGGACCAGCACGCAGAGGCACAGGGCAGGCAGGGCCTGGAGCCTGTTTCTGAGGAGGGACATTTCTGGGGGTTCCGTGCCTCTGTCCCTCTGTGCTCAACTCTGCGGGCCGGGGGAGGGGAGGCTGCACAGAGCAGGGCCCTCCCCCGGCCACCTCCCCGCTTGGCAGAGACTTCAGAGAGCAGGGCCCAGGTGACAGTGGCAATCAGAGGTCATGCCTCTGTGGGCCTCCCTCCTTCTCACCCTCCCACACAGTGCCCTGAGAGAAGACAGAGGCTCTTGAGCCTCCTGCACTGAGGCAGGTTCAAATCCTGTCTCCACCTCCCATGACAGCCTCATTTGCTGGCCTCAGTTTCCTCCTCCATAAAGTGGGAGGCACAGTACATATTTCAGTATATTACTTGAACAAATACAAAGAAAGGCGCAGTGGCTCACGCCTGTAATCCCAGCACTTTGGGAGGCCGAGGTGGGCAGATCATATGAGGCCAGGAGTTTGAGACCAACCTGGCCAACATGGTGAAAAACCCTGTCCCTACTAAAAATACAAAAATTAGCCAGAAGTAGTGATGCGTGCCTGTAATCCCAGCTACTTGGGAGGCTGAGGCAGGAGAATGGCTTGAACCCGGGAAGTGAAGGCTGCAGTGAGCCGCGATCACACCACTGCACTCCAGCCTGGGTGACAGAGCAAGACTCTGTCTTGAAACAAAACAAAACAAAAAATGAAGAAAGCTCTTACCGTGGAGACTGGCAATATAGGTGCTCAAAGATCATTGCTGTTGGCCAGGCGCGGTGGCTCATGCCTGTAACCCCAACACTTTGGGAGGCCGAGGCAGGCGGATCACGAGGTCAGGAGATTGAGACCATCTTGGCTAACACGGTGAAACCCCATCTCTACTAAAAATATGAAAAATTAGCCAGGCGTGGTGGCAGGCGCCTGTAGTCCTAGCTACTCGGGAGGCTGAGGCAGGAGAATGGCGTGAACCTGGGAGGTGGAGCTTGCATTGAGCCGAGATCGCGCCACTGCAGTCCAGCCTGGGCGAAAGAGCAAGACTCCGTCTCAGAAAAAAAAAAAAGATCATTGCTGTTATTATTATCTTGTGTCTAATTTCTCCTAGTCACTGGGCTGCAGGGCCAGGCTTGTGGTAGGGCCTCAATAGGGCCCAAGGGTTGATGAGAGGAAATAGCAACACAGTCTCATGTCTCCAGCCTCTGTTTCTTCCTAGGTGGGCTCGAGCCCGATCACTTCCAAGCATTCCTTGAGTTCTCAATTCCAACTCTTTCTCCTCTGGGTGACTCTGGCTTCAGATGGACCTGGGCTTCGAATCCCTCACTTCTTCACCGTGTGACCTGGGCAAATACGTTTTCTTTTCTGGGGCTCAGTTTGTTCAACTGTAACACGGGGTTGATAGGGAGCACCTGCCTCCCAGTGTCCTCATGCAGGACGGCTGAGGCCTATGCAGGAGAGCTGCAGGTGCACATAGTAGGAGGTCATCAACATCAGGCCCAGGGCCAGGGCGGTGGCTCCCACCTGTAATCCCAGCACTTTGGGAGGCCGAGGCAGGCGGCTCACTTGAGGTCAGGAGTTCAAGACCAGCCTGGCCAACGTAGTGAAACCCCGTCTCTACTAAAAATACAAAAATTAGCCGGGTGTGGTGGAGCGAGACCTTGTCTCAAAAACAATAACAACAACAAAAACCAACAAAAAACCCACATCAGGCTCGGTCCCAGTGCCAGAAATAGAGCATTTTTCTCCTGAAGGACCCAGCTGCACCCCAGGGCACATGGCTCAGGGGACTATGGACTGGATTCTTTTTTTTTTTTTTGAGACAGAGTCTGGCTCTGTCGCCCAGGCTGGAGTGCTGTGGCGCGATCTCGGCTCACTGCAAGCTCCGCCTCCCAGGTTCACGCCATTCTCCTGCCTCAGCCTCCCGAGTAGCTGGGACTACAGGCACCCGCCACCACGCCCAGCTAATTTTTTGTATTTTTAGTAGAGACGGGGTTTCACCGTGTTAGCCAGGATGGTCTCGATCTCCTGACCTCGTGATCCGCCCGCCTCGGCCTCCCAAAGTGCTGGGATTACAGGCTTGAGCCACTGCGCCTGGCCTGGACTGGATTCTTTTGTCTACGCTTGCCAGACGAAATAGAGGAGGCCCAATTACATTTGAATTTCAAATCAACAGTGCATGACGTTTTAGTATAAATATGTCCCATGAAATATTTCAGAATTATACCAAAAAGTTTTTTTTGCTATTAATCTGAAATTCAAATGTAACTGAGCATCCTGTATTTTTACATGGCAAATCTGCAAACGCAACCTTGGCCACAACCTGAACAACTGTGCAGGACTGTCTTGACCCAGATGTCTGCCTTGGCAGAATCCTGTCCATCCCAGAGGCCCCAGCGTGAGCACAGTAGGTGCGCAACAGATGTCCCCTGGAATTCCTCTGTAGCAATCATCAGCAGATTGAAAACACCCAGAGTTTCTGTTTGGGATGACGAAGACATCCTGCAAATAGTGGGGATGGTTGCACAACAGTGTGAATGTACTTAATGCCACTGAACTGTACACCTAAAAATGGCTGCAATGGTTAAGTTTTTTTTTTTTTTTTTTTTTTTTTGAGGCAGAGTCTCACTCCGTCACCCAGGATAGAGTGCAATGGTGTGATCTTGGCTCACTGCAACCTCTGCCTCCCGGGTTCCAGCGATTCTCCTGCTTCAGCCTCCCGCGTAGCTGGGATTACAGGTGTGCGGCAACCACACCCGGCTAATTTTTTGTATGTATGTATGTATTTGAGACATAGTTTCGCTCTTGTTGCCCAGGCTGGAGTGCAATGGTGCGATCTTGACTCACTGCAACCTCCGCCTCCCGGGTTCAAGCGATTCTCCGGCCTCAGCCTCCTTAGTAGCTGGAATTATAAGCGCCTGCCACCATGCCCAGCTAATTTTTTGTATTTTTAGTAGAGACGGGGTTTCACAATGTTGGCCAGGTTGGTCTTGAACTCCTGACCTCAGGTGATCCACCTGCCTTGGCCTCTCAAAGTGCTGGGATTACAGGCGTGAGCCACCATGGCTGGCTCATTTTTTTGTATTTTTAAAGAGACAGGTTTTCACCATGTTGGCCAGGGTGGTCTCAAACTCCTGACCTCTCAGGTGATCCATCCACCTCAGCCTCCCAAAGTGCTGGGATTGCAGGCATGAGCCACTGCGCCTGGCTGCCCAGCTAATATTTTTATTTTTTGTAGAAACACAGTTTTGCCAAGTTGCCCAGACTGGTCTTGAACTCCTGGGTTCAAGTAATCCTCCCACCTCAACCTCCCAGAGTGTTGAGATTACAGGCGTGAGCCACCACACCCGGCCATGTTGTTTATATTTTACCACAATTATAAAAAAACAAAAACAGCCAGGTACTGTGGCAGGGGCTTGTAGCCCCAGCTACTCAGAAAGCTGTGGTAGAAGGATTCCTTGAGCCCAGGAGTTTGAGAGTCCAGCCTGGGCAACATAGTAAGACCCCGTCTCTTAAAAAAAAAAAAAAAAAGCTGGGCACGGTGGCTCACGCCTGTAATCCCATCACTTTGGGAGGCCAAGGCGGGCGGATCACGAGGTCAGGAGTTCGAGACCAGCCTGACCAACATGGTGAAACCCCCGTCTCTACTAAAAATACCAAAAAAAAAAAAAAAGTTAGCTGGGCATCGTGGTGGGCACCTGTAATCTCAGCTACTCAGGAGGCTGAGGCAGGAGAATTGCTTGAACCTGGAAGGTGGAGGTTGCAGTGAGCCGAGATCGCGCCACTGCACTCCAGCCTGGGCGACAGTGCGAGACTCAGTCTCAAAAAAAAAAAAAAAAACAGGCCGGGCGCGGTGGCTCACGCCTGTAATCCCAGCACTTTGGGAGGCCGAGGCGGGCGGATCACGAGGTCAGGAGATCGAGACCATCCCGGCTAAAACGGTGAAACCCCGTCTCTACTAAAAATACAAAAAAATTAGCCGGTCATAGTGGCGGGCGCCTGTAGTCCCAGCTACTTGGGAGGCTGAGGCAGGAGAATGGCGTGAACCCGGGAGGCGGAGCTTGCAGTGAGCCGAGATCCCGCCACTGCACTCCAGCCTGGGCGACAAAGCGAGACTCCGTCTCAAAAAAAAAAAAAAAAAACAACAAAAAACAAGGGCCAGCATGGTGGCTCGTGCCTGTAATCCCTGGTGGCAGGATCACCTGAGCCCAGGAGTTAAGACACTAATCTGGGCAACATAGGGAGACCTCATCTCTACTAAAAATAAAAAAAAAAAATTTAGCTAGGCGTGGTGGCATGCCCCTGTAGTCCCAGCTACTCAGGAGGCCGAGGTGGGAGGATTGTTTGAGTCTAGGAGTTCAGGGCTACAGTGAGCTATGATTGTACCATTGCATTACAGCCTGGGTGACGCTGTCTCCACAACAAACAAAAGCCCAAAATAAAAAACAAAAACAAACCTACTGTGTGTTGTGTTATGATTGGTGTGGGGTTCAGAGCCTGACTCTACCTGTTGCTTCTTTTCCTTTCTTTCCTTCCCTCCCTCCCTTCTTTGTTTTTTGAGATGGAGTCTTGCTCTATTGCCCATGTTGGAGTGCAGTGGCGCGATCTCGGCTCACTGCAACCTCCATCTCCTGGGTTCAAGCAATTCTCCTACCTGAGCCTCCCGAGTAGCTGGGACTACAGGCGCCTGCCACCACACCCAGCTAATTTTTGCATTTTTAGTATAGACAGGGTTTCACCACGTTGGCCAGGCTGGTCTTGAACTCCTGACCTCAGGCAATCCACACGCCTTGGCCTCCCAAAGTGCTGGGATTACAGGTGTAAGCCACTGCTCCTGGCCTGTTTTTTTTTCTTTTTGAGATGGAGTCTTGCTCAGTCACCCAGGCTGGAGTGCAGTGACGTGATCTCAGCTCACTGCAACCTCTGTCTCCCGGGTTCAAGCAATTCTTCTGCCTCAGCCTCCTGAGTAGCTGGGATTACAGGCGTCCGCCACCACGCCCAGCTAATTTTTGTATTTTTAGTAGAGACGGGGTTTCACCATGTTGGCCAGGCTGGTTACGAACCCCTGACCTCAAGTGATCATCCCGCCTCAGCCTCCGAAAGTGCTGGGATTATAGGCATGAGCCACCGCGCGTGGCTGACTCTACATCTTTCTAGCGGTATGACCTGGTACAAGTTGCTTTACCTGTGTGGGCCTGTTTCTTCATCCATGAATGGGAGTCATGGACTATCTACCTCATAGGGTTGCCAGGGAGAGTAAAGATCGTGCACAGAAAATGCCGCATAGGTGCCCCGTCAACGCCAGCTACTGTTTAATTCGTGCGCGCTTCCCCAGCACACACTGTGTGGCAGGAACCATGGCAGGGCTTTTAGATGATTACTTTACTTAATTGCGGTGGGGCATGGTGGCTCATGCCTGTAATCACAGCACTTTGGGAGGCTGACACAGGCAGATCACTTGAGGTCAGGAGTTCGAGATCAGCCTGGCCAATATAGTGAAACTCTGTCTCCACTAAAAATACAAAAATTAGCCAGGCATGGTTGTGGGCGCCTGTAATCCCAGCTACTTGGGAGCCTGAGGCAGGAGAATTGCTTGAACCCGGGAGGCAGAAGTTGCAGAGAGCCAAGATGGCTCAATGCACTCTAGCCTGGGTGACAGAGCTTTCCATCTCAAAAAAAAAAAAAGGTGGGGGAGCTGGGCGTGGTGGCTCATGCCTGTAATCCCAGCACTTTGGGAGGCCGAGGCAGGTGGATCACAAGGTCAAGAGATTGAGACCATCCTGGCCAACATGGTGAAACCCCATCTCTACTAAAAATGCAAAAATTAGCTGGGTGTGGTGGCGGGCGCCTGTAGTCCTAGCTACTCAGAGGCTGAGGCAGGAGAATCGCTTGAACCCGGGAGGTGGAGTTGGCAGTGAGCCGAGATCACGCCACTGCGCTCCAGCCTGGTGACAGAGTGAGACTCCATCTCAAAAAAAAAAAAAAAAAAAGAAAAAGAAAAACAAAAAAACTACTTACTTATTTGCCACAAAAACCCTATCAGGTGGGCATCTTCATCATTTCCATTGTACAGATGGAGAAACAAGCCTCAGGGTGGGGGCGCAGCCACTTACTGACGACTCCTCAACCAGCAAGTGGTGGTTTTGAACCGGGACCCTCTCACACTACCTAACCAGGCCAGGACAACCTCTGCCCCTCTCCACCAAAATCCAAGAGATCAAGGGGATGTTGGAAGTGGTATGGGCCCTGAGAGGTCTCTGACCTCTGCCGCAGCTCCAAGGTCAGCACGCAGGGAGGGCTATGTGTTTGCTGTTTGCTGCTTGCAATGTTTGCCCATATCAGGGACGGGAACAGGCTGAAGGTCATTCAGGGTGGACTTCAGAGGCAGCACACAAACAGCTGCTGGAGGATAGGAACTAAGAGGTCGGAAGGGGGCAGGGCGGGCCCAAAAACAGAGCCTGCAACTCTGTTCTCTAAGTCACCAAGCCCCAAAACCACTCTCAAATCTTTCTCTCTACCCCTGGATCCTTACCCTGGTCTGAATCCCATCCCCTCATCCCCCGAAACCCTGCACCCTCCTCCCTGCTAATCTTCTGGTGTCTCTAGCCACTCCCCTCCTGGCTGGATACTCTGGGTGATTGCAGGGAAGGCTGGGGTAAAAAAGGGTTTGAAATGTCCCTCCTAATGCATGTTGAAAAATTGAGTTATAATTCACATTCCATAAAATTTACCCTTTTTTCTTTTTCTTTTTTTTTTTTTTTTTTTTTGAGATGGAGTCTCACTCTGTTGCCCAGGCTGGAGTGCAGTGGGGCAATCTCAGCTCACTGTAGCCTCTGCCCCGCAGGTTCAAGAAATTCTCCCGCCTCAGCGTCCCAAGTAGCTGAGACTACAGGCACTTGCCACCACGCCTGGCTAATTTTTTAATTTTTCGTAAAGATGGAGTTTCACCATGTTGGTCAGGTTGGTTTCGAACTCTTGAGCTCAAGTGATCTGCCCGCCTCGGACTCCCAAAGTGCTGGGATTACAGGCGTGAGCCACCGCGTCCTGCTAAATTTACCCTTTTAAAGTGTACAGTTCAATGGTTTTTCCTATATTGGCAAGGTTGCACAATCACCACTATCTAATTTGGAACATGGCTCACTGCAGCCTCAACCTCCCTGATTCAAAGCCATCCTCCTACCTCAGCCTCCCAAGTGGCTGGAACCACAAGTGTGCACCACCATGCCCAGCTAATTTTTTTTAGGAGGGATGGGGTCTTGCTATGTTGCCCAGGCTGGTCTTGAACCTCTGAGCTGAAGCAATCCTCCCATCTTGGCCTCTCAAAGGTTAGGATTACAGGAGTGTGCCACTATGTCTGGCAGGGGATGATTTTGGAAGAGAACTGGAGGAAGTGAGGAGGGAGCCAGGCAGATATCTGGACCCCTGGGGAAGAACATTCCAGGCAAGAGGAACAGTAACTGCAAGGGCCCTGAGGTGGGAACCTGCCCAGTACATTGGAGGAATAGCAAGGAGTTGCTTGTGAGTGATGGAGAGAGAGGGATGAGGCGATCGTGAACCGGGTAGTGTCCTGTTTGTAGGCCTTTGGTAAGTTCTTCTGGGTTTGCTCTGAGAGAATCAGGAGAGTTCTGAGCAGAGGAAGAGCATAATCTGACTTGAGGCTGGGCACGGTGGCTCATGCCTGTAACCCCAGCACTTTGGGAGGCCGAGGAGGGTAGATCGCTAGAGCTGGGCAGTTTGAGACCAGCCTGGGCAACATGGTGAAACCCCGTCTCTACTACAAATACAAAAATTAGCTGGGTGTGGTGACACACACACACCTGTAGTCCCAGCTAATTGGGAGGCTGAGCAGGAGAATCGCTTGAACCTGGGAGGCAGAGGTTGCAGTGGACTGAGATGGTGCCACTGTACTCCAGCCTGGGCAACAGAGTGAGACTCCGCCTCAAAAAACAAAAAAACAAAAAATCTGACTTGAGTTCTAACAGGCTGCTGAGTGAGAAGAAAGGAGAGTATAGGAGTTTGGAGGGTTGATTTTGGGGGAGAAGGGAATGCATTAACCCCAGAGAGTAATATTTATAATTTATTTATTCTCTTTCTTTCTTCTTTTTTTGGTAGAGACGGTGTCTCACCATGTTACCCAGGCTGGTCTTGAACTCCTGACCTCAACTGATCCTCCCATCTCAGCCTTCCAAAGTGCTGGGATTACAGGCATAAGACACTATGCCCAGGTTCAGGATTTCCTTTTTTTTTTTTTTTTTTCTCCTGAGACACAGTCTCACTCTGTCATCCAGGCTGGAATGCATGGCGCAATATTGGCTCACTGCAAGCTCTGCCTCCCGGGTTCACGCCATTCTCCTGCCTCAGCCTCCCGAATAGCTGGGACTATAGGCGCCCGCCACCATGCCCAGCTAATTTTTTGTATTTTTAGTAGAGACAGTGTTTCACCATGTTAGCCAGGATGGTCTCGATCTCCTGACCTTGTGATCCACCTGCCTCGGCCTCCCAAAGTGCTGGGATTACAGGCGTGAGTCACTGCGCTCGGCCCAGGATTTCCTTTTATGTTTTGAGATGGAGTCTTGCTCTGACGCCCAGGCTGGAGTGCAGTGGCATGATCTCAGCTCACTGCAGTCTCTACCTCCTGGTTCAAGCTATTCTCACGCCTCAGCCTCCCAAGTAGCTGGGATTACAGGCACACGCCACCATGCCTGGCTAATGTTTGCATTTTTAGTAGAGATAGGGTTTCACCATGTTGGACAGGATAGTCTCCAACTCCTGGCCTCGAGTGATCCTCCTGCCTTGGCATCCCAAAGTGCTGGGATTACAGGTGGGAGCCACCGAGCCTGGCTTCAGGAGTTCCTTTTTTTATTTTTTGAGATGGAGTTTTGTTCTTGTCGCCCAGGCTGGAGTGCAACGGCACGATCTCTGCTCAGTGCAGCCTCCGCCTCCTGGGTTCCAGTGATTCTCCTGCCTCAGCCTCTTGAGTAGCTGGGTTTACAGGCACCCGCCACCATGCCTGGCTGATTTTTTTTGTATTTTTAGTAGATACGGGGTTTCACCATGTTGGCCAGGATGGTCTCCAACTCCTGGCCTCAAGTGATCCTCCTGCCTCGACCTCCGAAAGTGCTGGGATAACATGTGTGAGCCACAGAGCCCGGCCTCAGGGTTTCCTTTTTAAGGATGCTTTACATTCCATTGCACGTATAGACCACATTTCCTTGACCCATTCATCTGTTGATAAACATTTAGGTTGTTTCCATATCTTGGGTATTAAGCAGACCTGCAGTGAACATGGGAGGGCAGGTATCTCTTCAAGGTCCTGATTTCAATTCTTTTGAATAAATACCCAGAAATGAGATTGCAGGATCATTTGGTAGTTCTATTTTTAATGTTTTGAGGAAACCCCATACTGTTTTCCACAGTGGCTGCAGTGTTTGGTGTTCCCACTCGCATTGTAGGAGTCCCTTATATATTTTGAATATTAACCCCTTATTAGATATATGGCTTTCAAATATTGTTCTTATGCAATCTTAAGCTGGGCGCAGTGGCTCACACCTGTAGTCCCAACACTTTGGGATGCCAAGGCGGGCGGATCACTTGATGTCAGGAGTTCGAGACTAGCCTGGCCAACATGGTGAAACTCTGTCTCTACTAAAAATACAACAAAAGTAGCCAGGTGTGGTGGCACATGCCTGTAATCCCAGCTACTTAGGAGGCTAAGGCAAAAAAATCACTTGAATTTGGGAGGCAGAGGTTGCAGTGAGTGGAGATCGCATCATTGCACTTCAGCCTGGGTGACAGAGCCAGACTCCATCTCAAAAAAAATTTTTTTTTTACATAGGGTTGTTTTGCATGTGCATGTGGTTTAATTTTACGTAAGAGCTGGGCACAGTGGCTCACGCCTGTAATCCCACCACTTTGGGAGGCCAAGGCAGGAGGACTGCTTGAATCCAGGAGTTGGAGACCAGACTGGCCAGCACGATAAAATGCTGTCTCTACTAAAAATACAAAAATTAGCTGGGTGTGGTGGCACACACCTGTAATCCCAGATACTAGGGAGGCTAAGGCAGGAGAATCTGTTGAACCCAGGAGGCGGAGGTTGCAGTGAGCCGAGATCATGCCCCTGCACTCCAGCCTGGGGTACAGAGTGAGACTCTGTCTCAAGAAAAAAAAAAAAAGGCCAGGCGAGGTGGCTCATGCCTGTAATCCCTGCACTTTGGGAGGCCATGGCAGGCAGATCATGTGAAGTCAGGAGTTCAAGACCAGCCTGATCAACATGGAGAAACCTCGTCTCTACTAAAAATACAAAAATTAACCAGGCATGGTGGCACGCACCTGCAATCCCAGCTACTTGGGAGGCTGAGGCAGGAGACTCCCTTGAACCTGGGAGGCGGAGGTTGCAGTGAACTGAGATGGTGCCATTGTACTCCAGCCTGGGCAAGAGGAGCGAAACTCTGTTTCAAAACAAAACAAAACAAAACAAAAAACCTCAGCCCCTCATCTCGGGTAGACCACACTAGGAAAAGTGTAGCATAGTGACATTGCCTGGCTGAGGGTTCAATCTAGTTCCAGTTCTCCACTTCCTGGCTGTGTGACCTTATACAAGTAGCCTCACCTCTCTGGGCCTCAATGCCCTTATGGGATTATTAAGTCCCAGTTTGCAAGGTTCTTAGGAAGATTCTTTTGAGACCATAGAGTTAAAACATCCTTAGCACAGGGCAAGTAGATGGGGCATTGGAGGGCTTGTGAGGAGTCCGTAAGGTTCAGCCCCTGCCCTCTCCCACAGCCCCTACCCTCTCCGGCACCCCTGCCCCACAGTGAAGAAGCAGTCAGACAGAATTTTCTTTTCTTTTTTTTTTTTGACGCGGAGTCTGGCTCTTGTCACCCAGGCTGCAGTGCAGTGGCACGATCTCAGCTCACTGCAAGCTCCACCTCCCGGTTTCAAGCGATTCTCCTGCCTCAGCCTCCCGAATAGCTGGGACTACAGGCGCCTGCCACCACGCTTGGCTATTTTTTTTGTATTTTTAGTAGAGACGGGGTTTCACCGTGTTAGCCAGGATGGGCTCAATCTCCTGACCTTGTGATCCGCCCGCCTCAGCCTCCCAAAGTGCTGGGATTACAGGCGTCAGCCACCATGCCTGGCCAGAGAGAATTTTCCATAGGATTTTTATTGGTCACACCTGGGCGTGTGACCACATTGGACACACATGGAGGGCGTCCTCAGTACAGGCGCTGGGGTGTTGGAAATTTCAGAGGCCCCTCCTGGGATGTCACCCTTCAGGTCCTCATGAGTCAGTCTTGAGTTTCTCCTTCACTTTCCGAAATGTCTCTGAAAACCAATCCCTGTGGGGAGGAATAAGGAAGGGGGTCACTGTGTGCAGCTACCTCCCAGGCTGTTCAAATTCTACCTGCTACCTGACTCCCACCTCTTCCCCTTGCTGAATCTCCATCCCCACTGTCTGTGGGATTAGGAGGACCGCTGGGCTGGGTGGGCCAACTTCTGTGCCTCAGTTTCCCAGGTGGACCAAAGCACGTTGAAGTCTAAACACTTTACCCTTGGCTGGGCATTTGGCTCACGCCTGTAATCCCAACACTTTGGGAAGCCGAGGCAGGCAGATCACTGGAGGTCAGGAGTTCGAGACCAGCCTGGCCAACATGGCAAAACCCCGTCTTTACTAAATTACAAAAATTAGCCACCCGTGGTGGTGCACGCCTGTAATCCCAGCTACTCAGGAGGCTGAGGCAGGAGAATTGCTTGAACCTGGGAGGTGGAGAGTGCAATGAGCTGAGATCACACCACCGTGTTCCAGCCTAGGCAACAGAGCGTGACTCCGTCTCAAAAGAAAAGAAAAGAAAAGAAAACTTCACTCTGGCCTGGCTTTCAAGGCCTGCCATCTCTTGCTACCCACTCTTTCTTCCAGCCTGCCCTTGCCCTATCTGTTCCCCTACTCATTCAAAGGTACTTTCCAGCCTCCCTGCGTATGCCCAGGCTGTTCCCCTGCCTGGGATGCCACCCGCTCTTGCTTATTGATCGACCTTCTTGACTTTGGACCTTTGCCTCTCCCTCCAAACAATCAATCTTTCTTTCTTTCTTTCTTTTTTTGAGACGGAGTTATGCCCTTGTTGCCCAGGCTGGAGTGCAATGGCGCGATCTCAGCTCACCGCAACCTCCAGCTCCCAGGTTCAAGCAATTCTCCTGCCTCATCATCCTGAGTAGCTGGGATTACAGGCATGCACCACCATGCCTGGCTAATTTTTTGTATTTTTTTTTTAGAAGAGACAGGGTTTCTCCTTGTTGGTCAGGCTGGTCTCAAACTCCTGACCTCAGGTGATCTGCCCGCCTCAGCCTGCCAAAGTGCTGGGATTACAGGCATGAGCCACTGCACCTGGCCTCCAAACAATCTTTCTAAGTTTAGGCCTGACTAGATTTTCCCTCCCTCCCTCCCTCCCTTCCTTCTTTCTTTCTTTCTTTCTTTCTTTTTTTTTTGGATGAGACAGGGTCTCATTCTGTTACCCAGGCTGGAATGCAGTGGCACAAACATAGCTCACTGCAGCCTCAACCTCCTGGGCTCAAGTGATCCTCTTGCCTCCGTCTCCGAAGTAGCTGGGACTACAGGTGTGTGCCATCACGCCTGGGTAATTTTTTGTATTTCTAGTAGAGATGGGGTTCTCAAACTCCTGACCTCAAGTGATCCACTCACCTCAGCCTTCCAAAGTGCTGGGATTACAGGTGTGAGCCACCGCGCTCGGCATATTCTTCACTGTTTTATTCCCCACATTGAAACAGTTTCTAGCACTTAGCAGATGCTCAATAAATATGTGTTGAGGAACGAATGACTCTCTAACTTGCCAAAGGGAGCAAGTGTGGATTTGAAGATGTACTGAGCATTTACAATGTGCCAGACACCCTATAGGCCTTCTGCTTTACTTCCCCACAGAACCACCATTTCACAGGAAAGGAAACTGAGGCTCACAGTAATGCCTCTCTCTTAAGATCACACAGGGAGTAAGGGGCTCTATGCCAGCCTGGGGACTCAGGTCCCACCAAGCTTGTGTCCTTCATTACCCCACAAGACCATCTTTTTTTTTTTCAATTTTTTTTTTTTTTTTTGAGACGTGGATTCGCTCTTATTGCCCAGGCTGGAGTGCAATGGCATTATCTCAGCTCACTGCAACCTCCGCCTCCCAGGTTCAAGTGATTCTCCTGCCTCAGCCTCCCAAGTAGCTGGGAATAGAGGCATGCACCACCATGCCTGACTAATTTTGTATTTTTAATAGAGACGGAGTTTCTCCATGTTGGTCAGGCTGGTCTCAAACTCCCAACCTCAGGTGATCTGCCCAACTTGGCCTCGAACCCCCGATCTCAGGTAATCTGCCCGACTCAGCCTCCCAAAGTGCTGGGATTACAGGCATGAGCTATCGCACCGGGGCTGGCTTGTATGCTTTTTGTTTTGTTTTGTTTTGTTTTGTTTTTTAAATAGAGACAGGATCACCGGGCATGGTGGCTCACACCTGTAATCCCAGCACTTTGGGAGGCTGAGGCGGGTGGATCACAAGGTCAGGAGTTCAAGACCAGCTTGGCCAAGATGGTGAAACCCCATCTCTACTAAAAATACAAAAAAATTAGCCGGGCGTGGTGGTGGGCGCCTGTAATCCTAGCTACTCAGGAGACTGAGGCAGAGAATTGCTTGAACTGGGGAGGCAGAGGTTGCAGTGAGCCGAGATGGCGCCACTGCACTCCAGCCTGGGCAACAGAGCGAGACTCTGTCTCAAAAAAAAAAAAAAAAAAATAGAGACAGGATCTCGCCATGTTAGCCAGGCTGGTCTCAAACTCCTAGGCTCCAGCAATCCTCCCACAGTGCTGGGATTACAGGTGTGAGCCACCGTACCTAAGCAAAACCATCTTTTTTTTTTTTCTTTTGTGACGGAATGTTGCTTTGTTGCCCAGGCTGGAGTGCAGTGGTGCAATCTTGGCTCACTGTAACCCCCACCTTACTGGTGCAAGCAATTCCCCTGCCTCAGCCTCCCGAGTAGCTGGGATTACAGGTGCACACCCCCATGTCAGGCTAATTTTTTGTACTTTTAGTAGAGACAGGGTTTCACCATGTTGGCCAGGCTGGTCTTGAACTCCTGATCTCAGGCAATCCGCCCGCCTAGGCCTCCCAAAGTGTTAGGATTATAGGTGTGAGCCACGGCGCCCAGCCCAAGACCATCTTTTAAAATGTGGCCTGGATGGGAGTCCGGGAAACTGTCCCTGACGTCTGAGATCCTTGAGATCTAGCTGTGTGACCAGAAGGATGCTGTCAGCCTCTCTGGGACTTGTTTTTTTTTTCAATCTGTTCATCTTGGACATCCTCCAGGGCTCCACACAAACACACCCCAGCCCTCCCGTGCCCTGGGAAGGGTTCTAACCACATCTTGGCAGGAAGTTCACTCTGTGTGATGCGGTTGATGAATTCCCGAGTGTAGTCCTCCAGGGTCTTTCCTAACTCCTCCAGGCCATCAAAGGGGTTGGAGACTTCTGGAGCCCCCTAGGCTGGGGCTGGGCCTGCCAGGAAGATGAGGCAGGGGTGCAAAATTTGGTTGTTGTTGTTGTTGTTGTTGTAGTTTTGAGACGGAGACTTGCTGTGTCAAATGGTGCGATCTCGGCTTACTGCAACCTCCGCCTCCTAGGTTCAAGCAGTTCTCCTGTCTCAGCCTCCCAAGTAGCCAAGCGCGCACCACAACGCCTGGCTGTTTTGTATTTTTAGTAGAGATGGGGTTTCACCATGTAGGCCAGGCTGGTTTCGAACTCCTGACCTCAAGTGATCTGCCCGCCTCGGCCTCCCAAAGTGCTGGGATTACAGGCATTAGCCGCCACGCCCCACCAAAAATTTGTTATTGGAACCCCCTTGGGGTGGGATCCCGGGGATAGATAAGGAGATCCTTGGGGATCATGTGGTTAGAATGGGGAGGATACTGAAGTGACCGCGTGGGGCTCAAGCCGCTGGGAATTGCCTTACTCAGCACTGACCTCCTCCCACAGCCCATCGCCCCATCACCCACTTTCAAGGCTATAAAAGGAGGACAGCCAATCCCAGAGGTGTGGAGATCCATACGTCATCGGTTACTAGGGCTCTCCTGGGCAGATTTGGCGCCTGCCGGACTGAGCCTGGGCGAACCTGGAGACCCACTCGACCACAATGGGGCAACCACGACCAAGAAGGGGCCCCAGAGCTCTCAGAGGTCCTCTAAGCCGGGACCCCAGGCCTGTAGCCACCTTCACTCTTCCAAATCTCCAACTCCGCAATTCTCCCATCCCACTTTTACCTTCCAAGACGATCGACAGAACCACCACCAGGACCGGGAGCGACAGGAAGAGCCTCATGGCGAGGCCGGAGGGGCACCCTGGAGGCGGAGGCAGGGGTTCAGGGGATCAGTGGCACCCTCCTCCCTCCCTCCCACGATCCCCTCATCTCCCTTTATGAGTTCTTGCAGAGTGGAGGCGGGTGTCCCTCCCAAGCACTCAACAACCTGAATCCTTGCTGGAGGGCTTGGTTGGGAGGTCCTGTCCTGCCCGCAGGACCTTTATCAGGCTGGGGAGGGGGCGGGGCAGGTTGATGTTGATCTCCCTCCTCCTGAGCCTTCCCCTGGAAGATTGCCTCCTTCTGCCCACCCAGGTTTTTCTCCTCTGCCCCTGGCCCGTGGGCGTTGGGGTCAGGTGGGGTCCTGACCATTTCCCTTAGCTCCGAAGCCCTTTACCATTCAGCACCCTCACCTCCCAATCTCCCTGACTCTGGGGGGTCCTCAGACTACCATAGCTCCTTTCCCCACTCAGAGGACAGCCTCGTCCTGTCCCTGTGGCCATCTTCCCTCAGGGGTCTCCCAGTAATAACCCTGTGATCTCATCCCCCCCTCATTCACACCGTGTCCCTAGATCACCTCTTTCCCTCACTTCCCCTCTCTCAGCAAGCCTCCTCAGCCCCAACAACTTTTCCTTTATGTTGCTGGGGCCTCCCAGTTGGCCCCGCAACCCTGCCCTGCGTGCCACCTCCAATTTCTTTCAGACCAGCCCTTGAAACATCCCAGACCACCCTGATATTCTCTGGGCTCTTAACTTGATGATTTTCAGTCTCCCTTTTTTGCAAAGGGAAGGGGTCGCCTTAGCTGGACACTAAAAACCTCACCTGCATTGGCCAGGCATGGTGGCTCATGCCTGTAATCCCAGCGCTTTGGGAAGCTGAGGAAGGAGGATCACTTGAGCCCAGGAGTTAAGAGACCAGCCTGGGCAATATAGGGAGACCTCATCTCTACAAAAAAGTTCAAAAATTAGCTGAGCGTGGTGGCGCACACCTGTAGTCCCAGCTATTCAAGAGGCTGAGGTAGGAAGATTGCTTGAGCCCAGGAGTTCGAGGCTGCAGTGAGCTGTGATTGCGCCACTGCACTCCAGCCTGGTGAGACAGAGTGAGACCCCATCTCAAAAAATTAAAACCTTCAGCTGCAAAGCTCTGAGTGTATGCCCCTTCTTCCCTTCCACCGGGCCTCACCCCCTTTGGCTGGCTACCTCCCCCAAACACTCTATCTGCTCTTATTCACCCTCTGATGCCCCTCCTGGCACCAAGCCTGCTTCCCACCATCACCACATCCGTCCCCCAGGGCTGGAGTCCAATTCCTTCCCCACCAGCTGCCTTTGACCGCCAGTGACCCTGGCAGCTGATGGGGAGGGTGTCCTCAGCCCAGCCTCAGACTCTAGTTCGGCTGGCCTTGTGCCCCCACAACCACGTGTCAGCCTGGCGGTAGGGGGATGGTTGTGAAAGGGACAGCATAGACAAGACCCTGGCAGGATTGCAACATCCCTCTGGCCAGCTCAGAGCTTCCAGTCCCTGTAAGCCCCAGGGGCCCCCCTACTTCCTCAACTGAGCCCAGCATTCCCCAAACATCCACCCAGATGTCTGCTTCCCCGATCCCACAAGAATAGAATAACAATGCTCCTGATTTTCCAACCTCATCCTCCCCTCTGCTATAGGGGTTTCTGTTTAATAGATGGGGAAACTGTCACACAACCAAGAACATCCAGTAGGGCTCAGTGAGGGGCAAAGAGGGGGCTACTGACTGGGCGCAGTGGCTCACACCTATAATCCCACCACTTTGGGAAGCTGAGGCAGGAGGATCTGCTTGAGCCCAGGAGTTTGACACCAGCCTGGGCAACACAGTAAGACCCTATCTCTAGAAAAAAATTAAAAATTTGGCCAGGTGCGGTGGCCCACGCCTGTAATCTGTGCACTTTGGGAGGCCTAGGTGGGTGGATCATTTGAGGTCAGGAGTTCTAGACCAGCCTGACCAACATGGTGAAACCCCGTCCCTGTCAAAAATAGAAAAAATTAGCCGGGTGTGGTGGCACAGGCCTGTAATCCCAGTTACTTGGGAGGCTGAGGCTGACCAACATGGAGAAACCCGTCTCTACTAAAAATAGAAAATTAGCCAGGTGTGGTGGCACATGCTTGTAATCCCAGCTACTTGGGAGGCTGAGGCAGGGGAAGGTTGTGGTGAGATGAGATTGTGTCACTGCACTCCAGCCTGGGCGACAGAGCAAACCTCCATCTCAAAAAACAAAACAAAACAAAACAAAAAAACCAAATGTTTATTTGCCACAAAAACCCTATCAGATGGGCGTCTTTATCATTTCCATTGTACAGATGGGGAAACAGGCTTCGGGGTCGGGGCATAGCCACTTACTGACGACTCCCCACCCAGCAAGTGGTTTTGAACCCGGACCCTCTCACACTACCTAAACCACGCCAGGACAACCTCTGCTCCTCTCCACCGAAATTCCAAGGGGTCGAGTGGATGTTGGAGGTGGCATGGGCCCAGAGAGGTCTCTGACCTCTGCCCCAGCTCCAAGGTCAGCAGGCAGGGAGGGCTGTGTGTTTGCTGTTTGCTGCTTGCAATGTTTGCCCATTTTAGGGACATGAGTAGGCTGAAGTTTGTTCAGTGTGGACTTCAGAGGCAGCACACAAACAGCTGCTGGAGGATGGGAACTGAGGGGTTGGAAGGGGGCAGGGTGAGCCCAGAAACTCCTGTGTGCCTCTGAGCCTGCAGCTCTGTTCTCTAAGTCACCAAGCCCCCAAACCACTCTCATCTCTTTCTCTCCATCCCTGGGTCCTGGCCCTAGTCTGAATCCCATCCCTTCATTCCCCGAATCCCTACGCCCTCCTCCCTGCTAAACTTCTGGTGTCTCTAGCCCCTCCCCTCCTGGCTGGATACTCTGGGTGATGGTAGGAAAGTCTAGGGTAAAAAAGAGTTTGAAATGTCCCTCCTAACGCATGTTGAAAAATTGAATTATGATTCACATTCCATAAAATTTACCCTTTTATTTATTTTTTTGAGGTGGAGTCTCACTCAGTTGCCCAGGCTGGAGTGCGGTGGTGGAATCTAGGCTCACTGTAGCCTCCACCCGCCGGGTTTAAGCGATTCTCATGCCTCAGCCTCCCAAGTAGCTGAGACTACAGGCACCCACCACCACGCCTGGCTAATTTCTTAATTATTTTTTTTTTTTTTGAGACGGAGTTTCGCTCTTGTTGCCCAGGCTGGAGTACGATGGTGTGATGTCGGCTCACCACAACCTCTGCCTCCCGGGTTCAAGCAATTCTCCTGCCTCAACCTCTGGAGTAGCTGGGATTACAGGCATGCGCCACCATACCTGGCTAATTTTTTGTATTTTTAGTAGAGACGGGGTTTCTCCATGTTGGTCAGGCTGGTCTTGAACTCCCAGCCTCAGGTGATCTGCCCGCCTCGGACTCCAAAAGTGCTGGGATTACAGACATGAGCCACCGTGTCCGGCTAAATTTACCCTTTGAAAATGTACTGTTCAGTGGTTTTTCCTATATTGGGAAGGTTGCACGATCATCACCAGTATCTAATTCAGAACATGGCTCACTGCAGCCTCAACCTCCCTGATTCAAAGCCATCCTCCTACCTCAGCCTGCCACGTGGCTGGAACCCCAAGGTGTCCACTACCATGCTCAGCTAATTTTTATTTTTTATTTTTTATTTATTTTTATTTTTAGAACGGATGGGGTCTTGCTATTGCCCAGGCTGATCTTGAACTCCTGAGCTGAAGCAATCCTCCCACCTTGGCATCTCAAAGAGTTAGGATTACAGGCGTGTGCCACCACGTCTGGCAGGGGATGATTTTGGAAGAGAACTGGAGGAAGTGAGGAGGGAGCCAGGCAGATATCTGGACCCCTGGGGAAGAACATTCCAGGCAAGAGGAACAGTAACTGCAAGGGCCCTGAGATGGGAACCTGCCCAGTACATTGGAGGAATAGCAAAGAGTTGCTTGTGAGTGATGGAGAGAGAGACAGGGAGGAGGCGATCGTGGACGGCATAGTGTCCCGTTTGTAGGCCTTGGTAAGTGCTTCTGGGTTTACTCTGAGAGAATCAGGAGAGTTCTGAGCAGAGGAAGAGCATAATCTGACTTGAGGCCGGCCATGGTGGCTCATGCCTGTAACCCCAGCACTTTGGGAGGCCAAGGAGGGCTAATTGCTAGAGCTCAGGAGTTCGAGACCAACCTGGGCAACATGGTGAAACCCCGTCTCTACTACAAATACAAAAATTAGCTGGGTGTGGTGGCACACACACGCCTGTAGTCCCAGCTACTTGGGAGACTGAGCAGGAAAATCGGTTCAACCTGGGAGGCAGAGGTTGCAGTGAGCTGAGATGGTGCCACTGCACAGGCTGGGCAATAGAGTGAGACTCCGTCTCAAAAAACAAAAAACAAAAAATCTGACTTGAGTTCTAACAGGCTGCTGAGTGAGAAGACAGGAGAGTATAGGAGTTTGGAGGGTTGATTTGGGGGAGAAGGGGATGCATTAACCCCAGGGAGTAATATTTATACATTTATTTATTCTCTTTCTTCTTTTTTTGGTAGAGATGGTGTCTCACCATGTTACCCAGGCTGGTCTCGAACTCCTGACCTCAAGTGATCCTCCCACCTCAGCCTTCCAAAGTGCTGGGATTACACGCATAAGCCACTGTGCCCAGTTTCAGGATTTCCTTTTATGTTTTGAGATTGAGTCTTGCTCTGATGCCCCGGCTGGAGTGCAGTGGCATGATCTCGGCTCACTGCAGCCTCCACCTCCTGGGTTCAAGCGATTCTCATGCCTCAGCCTACTGAGTAGCTGGGATTACAGGCGCACGCCTGGCTAATTTTTTGTATTTTTAGTAGAGACGGGGTTTCACCATGTTGGCCAAGATGGTCTCCAACTCCTGGCCTCAAGTGATCCTCCTGCCTTGACCTCCGAAAGTGCTGGGATAACATGCGTGAGCCACATCGTCTGGGATGTGAGGAGCCCCTCTGCCTGGCTGCCCAGTCTGGGAAGTGAGGAGCGTCTCCGTCCGGCCGCCATCCCATCTAGGAAGTGAGGAGCGCCTCTTCCCGGCCGCACATCGTCTGAGATGTGGGGAGCGCCTCTGCCCCGCCGCCCCGTCTGGGATGTGAGGAGCGCCTCTGCCCGGCCGCGACCCCGTCTGGGAGGTGAGGAGCGTCTCTGCCCGGCCACCCCGTCTGAGAAGTGAGGAGACCCTCTGCCTGGCAACCGCCCTGTCTGAGAAGTGAGGAGCCTCTCCGCCCGGCAGCCACCCCGTCCGGGAGGTGAGGGGCGCCTCTGCCCGGCCGCCCCTACTGGGAAGTGAGGAGCCCCTCTGCCCGGCCACCACCCTGTCTGGGAGGTGTGCCCAACAGCTCATTGAGAACCGGCCAGGATGACAATCGCGGCTTTGTGGAATAGAAAGGGGGGAAAAGTTGGGGAAAAGATTGAGAAATCGGATGGTTGCCGTGTCTGTGTAGAAAGAAGTAGACATGGGAGACTTTTCATTTTGTTCTATACTAAGAAAAATTCTTCTGCCTTGGGATCCTGTTGATCTGTGATCTTACCCCCAACCCTGTGCTCTCTGAAACATGTGCTGTGTCCACTCAGGGTTAAATGGATTAAGGGTGGTGCAAGATGTGCTTTGTTAAACAGATGCTTGAAGGCAGCATGCTCGTTAAGAGTCGTCACCACTCCCTAATCTCAAGTACCCAGGGACACAAACACTGCGGAAGGCCTCAGGGTCCTCTGCCTAGGAAAACCAGAGACCTTTGTTCACTTGTTTATCTGCTGACCTTCCCTCCACTATTGTCCTATGACCCTGCCAAATCCCCCTCTGTGAGAAACACCCAAGAATGATCAATAAAAAATAAATAAATAAATAAATAAATAAATAAAATTTAAAAAAAAAAACATGTGTGAGCCACAGAGCCCGGCCTTAGGGTTTCCTTTTTAAGGATGCGTTACATTCCATTACATGTAGAGACCACATTTCCTTGACCCATTCATCTGTTGATAAACATTTAGGTTGTTTCCATATCTTGGGTATTGAGCAGACCTGCAGTGAACATGGGAGGGCAGGTATCTCTTCAAGGTCCTGATTTCAATTCTTTTGAATAAATACCCAGAAGTGGGATTGAAGGATCATTTGAGAGTTCTATCTTTAATGTTTTGAGGAAACCCCATACTGTTTTCCACAGTGGCTGCAGTGTTTGATGTCCCAACTAGGATTGTATATTATACATTTTGAATTTTTTTTTTTTTTGAGATGGAGTCCCACTCTGTCTCCCAGGCTGGAGGGCAGTGGCGCCATCTTGGCTCACTGCAACCTTCGACTCCTGGGTTCAAGGGATTCTCTTGCCTCAGCCTCCCAAGCAGCTGGGATTACAGGCATGTGCCACCCCACCCGGCTAATTTTTTTGTATTTTTAGTAGAGACAGGGTTTCACCATGTTGGCCAGGCAGGTCTCAAACTTTTGACTTCAGGTAATCCGCCCGCCTTGTCTTCCCAAAGTGCTGGGATTACAGGCATGAGCCACTTCACCCAGCCTGAATATTAACCGGTTATTAGATATGTGGCTTACAAATATTTTTCTTATGAAATCTTAAGCTGGGTGCGGTGGCTCACACCTGTAATCCCAGCACTTTGGGAGGCCAGGACGGGTGGATCATTTAAGGCCAGGAGTTTGAGACCAGCCTGGCCAACATGGGGAAATTCCGTCTCTACTAAAAATACAAAAAAATTAGCTGGGCGTGGTGGCACATGCCTATAATCCCAGCTACTCAGGAGGCTGAGGCAGGAGAATCCCTTGAACTCAGGTGGTGGAGGTTGCAAGGCTGCAGTGAATGGAGATTGTGCAACTGCACTCCAGCCTGGGTGACTCCATCTCTTAAAAAAAAAAAAAAAAAGAAAGAAATCTTAATTACATAGGGTTGTTTCTCATGTGTATGTGGTTTAATTTTACATAAGAGCCAGGCACAGTGGCTCACGCCTGTAATTCTAATACTTTGGGAGGCCAAGGCAGGAGGATTGCTTAAGCCCAGGAGTTGGAGACCAGCCTGGCCAACATGATGAAACCCTGTCTCTACTAAAAATACAAAAATTAGCTGGGTGTGGTGGCGCACACCTGTAAATCCCAGCTACTTGGGAGGCTGAGGCAGGATAATCTCTTGAACCTGGGAGGTGGAGGTTGCAGTGAGCTGAGATCGCACCACTGTACTCCATCCTGGGGGAGAGAGTGAGTCTGCCTCAAAACAGAAACAAAAACAAAAAAAAACCTCAGCCCCTCATCTCGGGTAGACCACACTAGGAAAAGTGTAGCATAGTGACATTGCTAGGCTGAGGGTTCAATCTAGTTCCAGTTCTCTACTTCCTGGCTGTGTGACCTTATACAAGTAACTTCACCTCTCTGGGCCTCAATGCCCTTATGGGATTAATAAGGCCCAGTTTGCAGGGTTCTTAGGAAGACTCTTTTGAGACCATGGAGTTAAAACATCCTCAGCACAGGGCAAGTAGATAGGGCATTGGAGGGCTTGTGAGGAGTACCTAAGGTTTAGCCCCTGCCCTCTCCTGCAGACCCTGCCCTCTCTGGAAGCCCCTACCCTCTCCCGCAGCCCCTTCCCCAGAGTAAAGAAGCACTCAGGAGAGAATTTTCTGTAGGATTTTTATTGGTGGCACCTGGGGCCACATGGAGGGAGTCCTCAGCACAGGCGCTGGGGTGTGGGAAATTTCAGAGGCCCCTCCTGGGATGTCACCCTTCAGGTCCTCATGAGTCAATCTTGAGTTTCTCCTTCACTTTCTGAAATGTCTCTGAAAACCACTCCCTGTGGGGAGGAATAAGGAAGGGGGTCACTGTGTGCAGCTACCTCCCAGGCTGTCCAAATTCTGCCTGCTACCTGACTCCCACCTCTTCCCCTTGCAGAATCTCCATCCCCACTGTCTGTGGGATTAGGAGGACCGCTGGGCTGGGTGGGCCAACTTCTGTGCCTCAGTTTCCCAGATGGACCAAAGCACGTTGAAGTCTAAACACTTTACCCTTGGCTGGGCATTTGGCTCACGCCTGTAATCCCAACACTTTGGGAGGCCGAGGTAGGCTGATCACTTGAGGTCAGGAGTTCGAGACCAACCTGGGCAACATGGTGAAATGTCATCTTCACTAAAAATACAAAAAATACCATGTGTGGTGTCACACACCTGTAGTTCCAAGTACTCATGAGGCTGAGGCAGGAGAATTGCCTGAACCCGGGAGGTGGAGGTTCCAGTAAGCCGAGATCGCACCACTGTACTCCAGTCTGGGTACATCTCAAAAAGAAAAAATAAGGCCGGGCGCCGTGGCTCACGCCTGTAATCCCAGCACTTTGGGAGGCCGAGGCGGGTGGATCACCAGGTCAGGAGATCGAGACCATGCTGGCTAAGAATACAAAAAATTCTACTAAGTAAATTCTACATTCTACTAAGAATACAAAAAATTAGCTGGCGTGGTGGCAGGTGCCTGTAGTCCCAGCTACTCGGGAGGGTGAGGCAGGAGAATGGCATGAACCCGGGAGGCGGAACTTGCAGTGAGCCGAGATCAGGCCACTGCAATCCAGCCTGGGTGACAGAGCGAGACTCCGTCTCAAAAAAAAAAATTTAAAAAGAAAAAAAAAAAAAAAAAAAAAAGAAACACTTCACCCTGGCCTGGCTTTCAAGGCCTGCCATCTCTTGCTACCAATGCCTTCCTTTTTTTTTTGAGATGGAGTTTCGCTCTGTCACCTGGACTGGAGTGCAATGGCACTGTCTCGGCTCACTGCAACCTCTGCCTCCCAGGTTCAAGCCATTCTCCTGCCTCAGCCTCCCGAGTAGCTGGGACTACAGGTGCCTGCCACCACACCCAGCTAATTTTTGTATTTTTAGTACAGAGAGGGTTTCATTATGTTGAGCAGGCTAGTCTCGAACTCCTGACCTCGTGATCCGCCTGCTCAGCCTCCCACAGTGCTGGGATTACTGGCGTGAGCCACCGCGCCAGGAGTTTTTTTTCTTTTTTGGCATGGAGTCTCGCCTTGTCGCCCAGGCTGGAGTGCAGTGGCATGATCTCGGCTCACTGCAACCTCCGCCTCCCGGGTTCAAGTGATTCTCCTGCCTCAGGCTCCCGAGTAGCTAGGACTACAGGAATGCACCACCACGCCCGGCTAATTTTGTATTTTTAGTAGAGACAGGGTTTCTCCATGTTAGGCTGGTCTCGAACTCCTGACCTCAGGTGATCTGCTTGCCTTGGCCTCCCAAAGTGCTGGGATTACAGGTGTGAGCCATTGTGCCTGGCCTCCAAACGATCTTTCTAAGTTTATGCCTGGCTCTATTTTCCCTCCCTCCCTCCCTTCCTTCCTCCCTCCCTCCCTGTCTTTCTTTTCTCTTTTCTTCTCTTTTCTTTTCTTTTTTTGTTGAGACAGGGTCTCATTCTGTTACCCAGGCTGGAATGCAGTGGCACAAACATGGCGCACTGCAGCCTAGATCTCCTGGGCTCAAGCAATCCTCTCGCCTCAGCCTCCCAAGGAGCTGGGACTACAGGCATGGGCCACCATGCCCAGCTAATTTTTTTTGCATTTCTATTAGGGACGGGGTTCTCGCACTCCTGACCTCAAGTGATCCACCCACCTCGGCCTTCCAAAGTGGTGGGGTTACAGGTGTGAGCCACCGTGCTCGGCACGTTCTTCACTGTTTTATTCCCCACATTGAAACAGTTTCCAGCACTTAGCAGATGCTCAGTAAATATTTTTGAAAGAACGAATGACTCTCTAACTTGCCAAAGGGGGCAAGGGTGGGTTTCATGATATACTGAGCATCTACATGTACCAGACACCCTGTAGGCCTGCTCCTTTACTTCCCTGTAGAACCACCAGTTTATAGGAGAGGAAACTGAGGCTCACAGTAATGCCCCTCTGTCAAGATCACACAGGAAGGGGTGCTACTCCAGCCTGGGGACCCAGGTCTGGCCAAGCTTGGGGCCTTCATTTTCATTACCTCACAAAACCATCTTTTTTTTTTTTTTTTTAAATGGAGACAGGATCTCGCCATGTTGGTCAGGCTGGTCTCGAACTCCTGGGCTCAAGCAATCCTCCCATCTCAGCCTCCCATAGTGCTGGAATTACAGGTGTGAGCCACCATACCTGGGCAAGACCATCTTGTTTTTTTTTTTTTTTTTTTTTTTTTTGAGACAGAGTCTCCTTCTGTCACCCAGGCTGGCACAATGTTGGCTCACTGTAACTCCCACCTTCCTGGTTCAAGCAATTCCCCTGCCTCAGCCTCCCGACTAGCTGGGATTACAGGTGCACGCCACCATGCCTGCCTAATTTTTTTGTATTTTTAGTAGAGACAAGGTTTCACCATGTTGGTCAGACTGGTCTCGAACTCCTGACCTCAGGCAATCAGCCCACCTCGGCCTCCCTAAGTGCTGGGATTGCAAGCATGAGCCACCGTGCCCAGCCCAAGACCATCTTTTAAAATATGGCCTGGATGGGAGTCAGGGAAACTGTCCTTGAAGTCTGAGCACCTTGAGATCTAGCTGTGTGACCAGAGGGATGTTGTCAGCCTCTCCAGGACTTGTTTTTTTTTCAATCTGTTCATCTTGGACCATCTGCCAGGGCTCCACCCAAAAACACACCCCAGCTCTCCCGTGCCCTGGGAAGGGTTCTAACCGCATCTTGGCAGAAAGTTCACTCTGTTTGATGCGGCTGATGAGTTCCCGAGCCTTGTCCTCCAGTGTGTTTCCAAACTCCTTCAGCTTATCCAAGGCACTGGAGACGTCTGGGGTCCCCTGGGCTGGGGCTGGGCCTGCCAGGAAGATGGGCAGGGGTTCAAAATTTGTTTTTTTTTTTTTTTTTTTGGAGATGGAGTCTTGCTCTGTAGCCCAAGCTGGAGTGCAGTGGCATGATCTCGGCCTACTGCAACCACCACCTCCCGGGTTCAAGCAGTTCTCCTGCCTCAGCCTCCCAAGTAGCTGGGATTACAGGTGTGCACCACCACACCCAGCTATTTTTGTTTTGTTTTGTTTTGAGACGGAGTCTTGCTGTGTCAGCCAGGCTGGAGTGCAGTGGTATGATCTCGGCTCACTGCAACCTCCGCCTCCCGGGTTCAAGTGATTCTCCTGCCTCAGCCTCCCGAGTAGCTGGGCCTACAGGCGCGTGCCTCCACACCTGGCTAATTTTTTTGTATTTTTAGTAGAGACGAAGTTTCACCATGTTGGCCAGGCTGGTTTCGAACTCCTGACCTCAAGTGATCTGCCCGCCTCGGCCTCCCAAAGTGCTGGGATTACAGGCATGAGCCACCCTGCCCGGCCAAAAATTTGTTATTGGAACCCCCTTAGGTTGGGATACCGGGATGGATAGAGATCCTTGGGGATCATGTGGTTAGAATGGGGAGGAATGGCCGGACGCGGTGGCTCACGCCTGTAATCCCAGCACTTTGGGAGGTCGAGGCAGGCGGATCACAAAGTCAGGAGATCGAGACCACGGTGAAACCCTGTCTCTACTGAAAATACAAAAAATTAGCCGGGCGCGGTGGCGGGCGCCTGTAGTCCTGCTGAGGCAGGAGAATGGCGTGAACCAGGGAGGCGGAGCTTGCAGTGAGCCGAGATCGCGCCACTGCACTCCAGCCTCGGCGACAGAGCGAGACTCCGTCTCAAGAGAAAAAAAAAAAAAAAAAAAAAGAATGGGGAGGAATACTGGAGTGACCTGGTGGGGCTCAAGCTGCTGGGAATTGCCTTACTCAGCACTGACCTCTCCCAGAGCCCCCCACCCAGCTTACCCACTTTCAAGGCTGTCGAAGCAGGACAGCCAATCCCAGAGGTGTGGGCCTCAATACGTCATCGGTTGCTAGTGCTCTCCTGCGCAGATTTGGCGCCTGCGGGACTGAGCCTGGGAGAACCTGGAGACCCACCCGACCACGATGAGGCAACCACGACCCAGAAGGGGCCCCGGAGCTCTCAGAGGTCCTCTAAGCCGGGACCCCAGGCCTGTAGCCACCTTCACTCTTCCAAATCTCCAACTCCGCAATTCTCCCATCCCACTTTTACCTTCCAAGACGATCGACAGAACCACCACCAGGACCGGGAGCGACAGGAAGAGCCTCATGGCGAGGCCGGAGGGGCACTCTGGAGGCAGAGGCAGGGGTTCAGGGGATCAGTGGCACCCTCCTCCCTCCCTACCTCCCTCCCACGATCCCCTCATCTCCCTTTTTGAGTTTCTTGCAGAGTGTAGGCGGGTGTCCCTCCCAGGCACTCAGCACCAACCTGAATCCTTGCTGGAGGGCTTGGTTGGGAGGTCCTGTCCTGCCCGCAGGACCTTTATCAGGCTGGGGAGGGGGCGGGGCAGGTTGATGTTGATCTCCCTCCTCCTGAGCCTTCCCCTGACCGCCTGCCTCCCTCTGTCCACCCACGTTTTTCTCCTCTGCCCCTGTCCCGTGAGCGTTGGGGTCAGGTGGGGTCCCGGGCACTTCCCTTAGCCCCAAAGCCCCTCCCCGTTCAGCACTCTCACCTCTCAATCTTCCTGACTCTGTGGGGTCCTCAGACCACCTTAGTCCCTTTCCCCACTCAGAATGTAGCAGGAGGAGCCGCAGACAAAATTCCTCAGACGCTGAGTTAAGGAAGGGGTTTATTCGTTCGGGGAATGGGCAAGATTCCTGTCTCAAGAGCCGAGCTCCCCGAGTGAGCAATCCCTGTTCCTTTTAAGGGCTCACAACTCTAAGTGGGTGCACGTGAGAGGGTCGTGATCGATTGAACAAGCAGGGGATGCGTGACTGGGGGCTGCATGCACCGGTAATTAGATCGGAACAAAACAGAATAGGGATTTTCACAGTGCTTTTCTATACAATGTCTGTAATCTATAGATAACCTAACGGATTAGGTCAGGGGTCAATCTTTAACCACCAGGCCCAGGGTGTGGCGCGGGCTGTCTGCTTGTGGATTTCATTTCTGCCTTTTAGTTTTTACTTTTTCTTTCTTTGGAGGCAGAAATTGGGCATAAGACAATATGAGGGGTGGTCTCCTCCCTTAAGAAGACAGCCTTGTCCTGTCCCTGTGGCCATCTTCCCTCAGGGGTCTCCCAGTAATAACCCTGTGATCTCATCCCCCCCTCATTCACACCGTGTCCCTAGATCACCTCTTTCCCTCACTTCCCCTCTCTCAGCAAGCCTCCTCAGCCCCAACAACTTTTCCTTTATGTTGCTGGGTCTCCCAGTTGGCCCGGCGCTCCTACCCTGCGTGCCACCTCCAATTTATTCCAGACCAGCCCTTGAAGCACCCCAGACCACCGTGATATTCTCTGGGCTCTTAACTTCATGGTTCTCAGTCTCCCTTTTTTGGGAGGGGAACGGGTCGCCTTAGCTGGATGACACTGCAAAAACCTCACCTGCATTAGCCAGGCATGGTGGCTCATGCCTGTAATCCCAGCACTTTGGGAAGCTGAAGAGGGAGGATCACTTGAGCCTGGGAGTTCGAGACCAGCCTGGGCAATATAGGGAGACCTCATCTCTACAAAAAAGTTCAAAAATTAGCCGAGCGTGGTGGCGCATGCCTGTAGTCCCAGCTACTCAAGAGGCTGAGGTAGGAAGATTGCTTGAGCCCAGGAGTTCGAGGCTGCAGTGAGCTGTGATTGTGCCACTGCACTCCAGCCTGGTGGGACAGAGACCCCATCTCAAAAAATTAAAACCCTCAGCTGCAAAGCTCTGCGTGTATGTCCCTTCTTCCCTTCCACCGGGCCTCACCCCCTTTGGCTGGCTACCTCCCCCAAACACTCTATCTGCTTTTATTCACCCTCTGACGCCCCTCCTGGCACCAAGCCTGCTTCCCACCATCACTACATCCGTCCCCCAAGGCTGGAGTCCAATGCCTTCCCCACCAGCTGCCTTTGACCGCCAGTGACCCTGGCAGCTGGTGGGGAGGGTGTCCTCCGCCTAGCCTCAGACTCTAGGTTGGCTGGCCTTGTGCCCCCGCAACCACGTGTCAGCCTGGCAGTAGGGGGATGGTTGTGAAAAGGACAGCATAGACAAGACCCTGGCAGGATTGCAACATCCCTCTGGCCAGCTCAGAGCTTCCAGTCCCTGTCAGCCCCAGGGGCCCCCCTACTTCCCCAACTAAGCCCAGCACCCCCCAAACATCCACCCAGATGTCTGCTTCCCAGACCCCACAAGAATAGCATAACAATGCTCCTGCTTTTCCAACCTCATCCTCCCCTCTGCTATAGGGGTTTCTCTTTAATAGATGGGGAAACTGTCGCATAACCAAGAACATCCAGTAGGGCTCAGCGAGGGGCAAAGATGGGGGCTACTGGCTGGTTGCAGTGGCTCACGCCTGTATTCCCAGAACTTTGGGAGGCCAAGGTGGGCGGAGCACTTGAGGTCAGGAGTTCGAGACCTGCCTGGCCAACATGGTGAAACTCCGTCTCTACCAAAAATTCAAAAATTATCCAGGCATGGTGGTGTGCACCTGTGGTCCCAGCTACTCAGGAGGCTGAGGCAGGAGAGTCGTTTGAACCCATGAGGTGGAGGTTGCAGTGAGCCAAGATTGTGCCACTGCACTCCAGCTTGGGTGACAGAGTGAGACTCCGTCTCAAAAACATAAAAAAAATTTAAAAAAGGGGGCTCTTTGTCCTTCTCCTTCCCAGGCTCCAGGATGTCTCTGTGGATGGTTGCTGGGTCAGCTCCTGTCCCATACGACTCCCTGCCAGCCTTTGTTCTGGAACCTCCTTCCCATCCTTGTCCCACCTCTGGATCTGACTGGGGATGTGGTGAGATAGGGCACCCTGTCTGCTTAGACATCTTCATAGGTTGGTGGGGCGTGGTGGCTCACACCTGTAATCCAACTACTTTGGGAAGCTTTGGCAGGAGGATCTGCTTGAGCCCAAGAGTTTGAGATCAGCCTGGGCAACATAGTAAGACCCCATCTCTACAAAAAAGTTTAAAATATGGCCAGGCATGGTGGCTCACTCCTGTAATCCCAGTGCTTTGGGAGGCCGAGGCGGGTGGATCACCTGATGTCAGGAGTTTGAGACCAACCTGACCACCGTGGTGAAACCTCGTTTCTACTAAAAATACAAAAATTAGCCTGGTGTGGTGGTGTGCGCCTGTAATTCTAGCTACTCAGGAGGCTGAGGCAGGAGAATTGCTTGAACCCGGGGGGCAGAGGTTGCGGTGAGCCAAGATGGTGCCACTGCACTCCAGCCTGGGCGACAGAGTGAGACTCCATCTCAAAAAAGAAAGAATTAGCCAGGCATGGTGGTGGGTGCCTGTGGCCCCAGCTACTCAGGAGGTTGAGGCAGGAGGGTTGCTTGAGTTGGAGGCTGCAGTGATTGATGATCGTGCTACTGCACTCCAGCGTGGTCGACTGAGCAAGGCACTGTCTCAAAAAAAAAAAAAAATTCTTAAAGGTGAGAACTCAAGGTTCGATTCTTCAGGTGGGAGATGTGGCTGATGCTGATTCTCTCATTGACATCTGGGGAAACTGAGGCTCTGAGAGGGTGCTGCTCCAGCTCCTGGACATACGGTGAATCAGCAGCAGGCCCAGCAGACCAGGCCCCCTGCCTGTGAGCACACTGACCCTTCCCCTCCTCACTCAGCCCTGGTGAGTCATCTCCAGGGGAGGGGTGCTGCCTCCACGTGGGTGATCAGAGCAGTGCCAGGGAAAGCACCAAGTTCAGGGTGTGCAGGAGCCAAGATGGGCAGAGGGACAAGCAGATGTTGCAGCTGGCCCAGGAGATACAAGCTCAAGTCTCAGCCTGTCCCCCGTTGGTGGGAACCCTCCTCCCCGTCTCTGAGAACTGAGGGGGTGGGAGGAGAAGAGAGTGCCGGCGGCTCCTGGGCTTCCATCCAAGCTTCCCCTCTCTGAGCGCCAGCTCTCGTCTCAGCATGGGCCTGGTGCAGACTCCGACAGAAGAGCCGCTCCCTTCTCTTCCCAGCCTGGATTCAGCACCCAGTAGGCTTGTTGGGAAACATGAGGGGTAGACATCACAACTGGAGGAAAGGATGGAGAATGAGGGATGGTCCGGGTGAGGTGGCTCATGCCTGTAATCCCAGCACTTTGGGAGGGTGAGGCAGGCAGATTACTTGAGGTCAGGAGTTCGAGACCTGCCTGGCCAACAATGCCGAAGCCTTGTCTCTACCAAAAATACAAAAATTAGTCGGGTGTGGTGGGACACGCCTGTAATCCCAGCTACTCTGGAGGCTGAGGCAGGAGAATTGCTTGAATCTGGGAAGTGGAGGTTGCAGTGAACCAAGATTGCACCACTGCACTCCAGGCTGGGCAACAGAGCAAGACTCTGTCTCAAAAAAAAAAAAAAAAAAAAAAAAAAAAAAAGAAAGAAAGAAAGAGAATGAGGGTTGGGCAGGGAAACCCAGTTCACAGTGGGTGAAGGGACAGCTAGCTCAGAGGGAACCGGAGAAGCAGAGAGCTCAAACCAAACTGAATGGCAGAAGAAGAAATCCAGATGAAGGGGGTTGGGGGAGAAACAAGCAGGCCGGGGAGAAAGAAAAGAAACCGTAGGAGGGAGAGATAAAAGATAGAAGTGGAGGAAAACAGGAAGCCAGAGTCTCCTGAGGAGAACAGGGAGAGACAGAGGGGTGGGATGGGGTGCAGGGTGGGTGGGAAGGAGGCAGATATCAGATAAGACTGGAGGAGAGAAGGGGGAGAATAATGACAGCAGAAAAAAAATGAAAATAGCTTAGAATAAAGGCACCAATCTCAGGTCATTTGGAGTTGCAACTCTGAGGAACAAGTATTATTAAGTTGGGCAGGCCGGGCTCGGAGCCCCATGCCTGGAATCCCAGCACTTTGGGAGGCCGATGGCGGAGGATCTCTTGAGCCCAGGGGTTTGAGACTAGCCTGGGCAACATATTGAGACCTTGTCTCTACAAATAATAATAAAAAGCTGGGTGTGGTGGTGCTAGCCAGTAGTCTCAGCTACTCAGGAGGCCAAGGTGGGAGTATCGCTTGAGCCCAGGAATTCCACATCAGCCTGGCCAACAAAGCCAGACCCCATCTCCACACACACCACCCCCCCCCCCAAATTAATCCTAGTGGTATGCGCCTGTAGTCTCAGCTACTGGAAAGGCTGAGGCGGGAGGATCACTTATCACTTGAGTCCAGGAGGTGGAGGCTGCAGTGAGCTGTGATGGCGGGTGACAGGGTGAGACCTTTCCCTGCCCCCTAAAAAAGAAAGAGGGGCAGAGGCCGGGCATGGTGGCTCAGGCCTGTAATCTCAGCACTTTGGGAGGCCGGCGGGTGGATCACTTGGTCAGGAGTTTGAGACCTGCCTGGCCAACATGGTGAAAGCTCGTCTCTACTAAAAATACAAAAATTAGCCGGGTGTGGTGGTGTGAGCCTGTAATCCCAGCTACTGAGGCAGCAGAATCGCTTGAACCCAAGAGGCAGAGGTTGCAGTGAGCCAAGATCGTGCCACTGCACTCTAGCCTGGGTGACAGAGCCAGACTCCGTCTAAAAAAAAAAAAAAGGGCAGAGAGAAAGATACACACAGACACAGATGGAGAGGAGGGGGCTGAGAATTGTGTGGCCAGTATGTGGGCAGAAAGAGAAACTGAGGCTGGGGCTTAGAGGAAATCACAGGGGGAGGCCAGCAGATGCGTGAAACTTGGTGAATCTTTATTAAACTAGGGTCCACCCCAGGAGGACGGCTGGGGCGGGGACAGGGTCTCCCGCTGCAGGCTGCGCGGAGGCAGGAGGCACGGGGTGGCGTGGGGTCGCATGGCTGCAGGCTTCGGCGTTCAGTGATTGTCGCTGGGCACAGGGGCGGCGCTGGTGCCCACGGCAGCCTGCACCTTCTCCACCAGCCCGGCCCACTGGCGCTGCATGTCTTCCACCAGGGGCTCGAACCAGCTCTTGAGGCGGGCCTGGAAGGCCTCGGCCTGCAGGCGTATCTGCTGGGCCTGCTCCTCCAGCTTGGCGCGCACCTCCGCCACCTGCTCCTTCACCTCGTCCAGGCGGTCGCGGGTCCGGCTGCCCATCTCCTCCATCCGCGCGCGCAGCCGCTCGCCCCAGGCCTGGGCCCGCTCCTGTAGCGGCTGGCCGGCCAGGGAGCCCACAGTGGCGGCCCGCACGCGGCCCTGTTCCACCAGGGGCCCCAGGCGCTCGCGGATGGCGCTGAGGCCGCGCTCGGCGCCCTCGCGGGCCCCGGCCTGGTACACTGCCAGGCGCTTCTGCAGGTCATCGGCATCGCGGAGGAGCCGCTTACGCAGCTTGCGCAGGTGGGAGGCGAGGCGCACCCGCAGCTCCTCGGTGCTCTGGCCGAGCATGGCCTGCACCTCGCCGCGGTACTGCACCAGGCGGCCGCACACGTCCTCCATGTCCGCGCCCAGCCGGGCCTGCGCCGCCTGCAGCTCCTTGGACAGCCGTGCCCGCGTCTCCTCCGCCACCGGGGTCAGTTGTTCCTCCAGTTCCGATTTGTAGGCCTTCAACTCCTTCATGGTCTCGTCCATCAGCGCCCTGCGGCCGAGAGGGCGGGAGGGTGTCGCACAGTGGGAGGCGGGGAGAAGGGCTGGGATGGGGCGGGCGAGATGGGGATGAGCCAGAGAGACCCAAGAGGGAGAGAAGGAACGGGGCAGAGGCCGAGAGAAGGAGACAGAGACAGATGCAGAGAGCAGATGCAGAGGGCAGAGGCAGAGACGAAGAAGGAGCTAGGAGGCCGGGCAAGGTGGCTCATGCCTCTAATCCCAGCACTTTGGGAGGCCGAGGCGGGAGGATCGCTTGAGCCCAGAAGTTCAAGACCAGCCTGGGCAACACAGTGAGACCCCATCTCTCTGTCTCTATATAAAAGAGCTAGGGAAGGACAGAGACAGAGCCAGGACGAGTGTGAGAGACTGAGTCAGAAGGGAAGAGAGAGAGACAAAGCTGAGAGAGAGAATTCCAGAGAGCTAAAGCCAGGAGTCAGAAATGGGAAGAGGAAGCTAGAACCAGCAGAGACCCAGGCCCCCCAAGACTTAGCGACAGGGGCAGAATGAAACCTGGACCTGGGGAGGTATAGCCGCCCACCAGGAGGGTCAAGGGCCAGGATGGGGACACTCACCTCAGTTCCTGGGTGACCTGGGAGCTGAGCAGCTCCTCCTGCACCTGCTCAGACAGTGTCTGCACCCAGCGCAGGTAATCCCAAAAGCGACCCAGTGCCAGTTCCCAGCGCTGGCCGCTCTGCCACTCGGTCTGCTGGCGCAGCTCGGGCTCCGGCTCTGTCTCCACCGCTTGCTCCACCTTGGCCTGGCATCCTGTGTGGAACAAGTTCAAGGTGGGTCAGGGTCCTTCTGACCCCGTCCAGGCATCTAGTACCTAGGGGCACACAGAAGGTGCTCCACAAATGCTTCTTTGGAGCCATGGTGGGCAGGGTGAGGGGGGAGTCGGTTTAATCACTTGGAAAGCATTATGTATTTATAAACAGGGTCTTGCTCTGTCACCCAGGCTGGAGTGCAGCGGCCTGAACATGGTTCACTGCAACCTTGACCTTCTGGGCTCAAGCGATCCTCCTGCCTCAGCCTCCTGAGTAGCTGAGAGCACAGGTGTGTGGCACCATGCCTGGCTAATTTTTGTATTTTTAGTAGAGACAGGGTCTCACTATGTTGCCCAGGCTGGTGTTGAACTCCTGGGCTCAAGTGATCCTCCCACCTTGGCCTCCCAAAGTGCTGGGATTACAGGGGTGAGCCACCGCGCCCAGCGGAAAAGCATGTATTGAGTGTCCTTGTGTGCCCCAGGCAGGGCTGTGTGGGGGTGATGGAGAATAAAGATCACAGCTGCCCCGTGTCTGGTATTCACTATCTGCCTGCAATGCATTAGAAACCTCTAACTCCCAGCCAGGTGCGGTGGCTCACGCCTGTAATCCCAGCACTTTGGGAGATCGAAACGGGCAGATCACCTGAGGTCAGGAGTTCCAGACCAGCCTGGCCAACATGGTGAAACCCCGTCTCTACTGAAAATACAAAAAAGTTAGTCGGGTGTGGTGGCATGTGCCTGTAGTCCCAGCTACTTGGGAGGCTGAGGCAGGAGAATGGCGTGGACCTGGGAGGCGGAGCTTGCAGTGAGCCGAGATCCCGCCACTGCACTCCAGCCTGGGCGACAGAGCGAGACTTCATCTCAAAAAAACAAAACAACAACAACAAACAACAACAACAAAACAACTTCTAACTCCTATCTCAAGGATGGGGGAAACCGAGGCCCAGAGAGCGTCAAATCGCTGTTCAGAGCCAGGAAGCAGCACAGAAGCCTCAGAAGAGGGGGCCCAGGGTCTGCCTGAATGGGGCCAGGAGGTTGAGGTGAGGATGAGAGGGGGAGGAGCGGGGGGAACCGAGCAAGCCCCGCCCCCATACCTGCCAGGAATGTGACCAGCAACGCAGCCCACAGAACCTTCATCTTCCTGCCTGTGATTGGCCAGTCTGGGGAAGGAGAAACTGTCAATCAACCGCCAGTGAGGACTCCTCCCACCCCCAGCCCGGCCCCAACCCGGCCTCACCCCAGGTTAGCCTTCCAAGCCTTGTTGCATTATCTGCAACAGCCTAATCCCAGCACATTTACCAAGCCGCCCCCAACCCATTCCCTATTTAACTCCCTCCTGGTCTTCTCTTATCTCCCCATCCCCAGGTCGGCCTCCATAGAAAATTCCATCTTCCTCTCCCGGGGTTCAAATTCCATCCCCCCACCCCCTCCCCACCGCCGGTTCCATCTCAGTCCCAGTCTCGCATTCCTCATTCTCCCTTCACATTCTAAGCTCCAACCTCACAGTTAAGCGCCGTGTTCCATTTATGAGCTAATTCAGTCCTCATTTTAAAGTTCTCCAATCGACGGCTAGCTACCGTGTCGCTGCCCCTGGCTCCCCAGTTATGGAGATCTGAGGACACTGGGGACACCCAGTAGGTGCTCGATAAATGATAGTGACAACTCGTGGAGTCCTGCTATGGCTTACATCCCAGTCCAGCTGCTCTCCCCACCCCACCTTCTAGCGGGTCGGGTCGTCTCTGCTGCCCAGCCCTTCCCAGGTCCAGTCCCCTGCTGCTTGCCTCACCCCCGCTCCTCCTCTCCCCAAGCCCGACCCCGAGTAGCTCTCCTGAGACTACCTGGAGGCCAGGGGTTCCCAGGGTCCCAGCTCTTTCTAGAGGCCCCTGAGCTCATCCCCGTGCCCCCGACTGCGCTTCTCACCGGCTCCTGGGGAAGGACGTCCTTCACCTCCGCTGGGGCTGAGTAGGACTCAAGGATCCCAGACTTGTCCAATTATAGGGCTCCCCCTGTCCCGCCCCCTCCCCCAGGGATAGGGCGGGCTGGGCCAGCCCCCAGTCACGAGGTGGGCTGTTCTCCCCCTGCCCCAGGCACAGCAGGGCAGAGGGAGGAAGGAGGTGGGGCATAGAGGTCTTTTGACCACCCCCCACAGTCCCCAGGAAGGGAGGACACCTCGCCCAGTAATACAGACACCCTCCTCCATTCTGGGGGCCAAGCGTGGAAGGGGAATGTGGAGGCTGCCGCCCAGAGTCCTCCTTTCCTGACCCTGTCCTTTCCTGTGCCTGGATGAATGTAATCTGGAGAGGGGGCTGGGGATCTGGACTCCTGGATCCCAGAAAGAAAGTAGGGCTAGGGGGCTGGACAGAAGTGGGATGGGAGGGGCTGGGGGCGGTAGCTCACGCCTGTAATCCCAGCACTTTGGGAGGCCACAGTGGGCGAATCACTTAAGGTCAGGAGTTTGAGACCAGCCTGGCCAACATGGTGAAACCCCATCTCTACTAAAAATACAAAAGTTAGCCAGGCGTGGTGGCGGGCGCCTGTAATCCTAGCTACTTGGGAGGCTGAGGCAGGAGAATCGCTTGAACCCGGGAGGCGGAGGTTACAGTGAGCCGAGATCTCGCCACTGCACTCCAGCCTCAGCAAGAGGGAGACTGTCTCAAAAAAAGAAAAAAAAGAAAGTGGGGCTAGGCGGCTGGACAGAAGTGGGATGGGAGGGGTGGGAACAGTATGATGCACCTGCTAAAAGTCGAGGCTTTGCAAATGGGACCTGGGTTTTAATCACAGCTTCCTCTTTGGTTGTGACCTTGAGCACAGGGGAGCCCCCTCCCCACATGTGAAATGAGATTCCAGCACCTCCCCCTGGCTGCCACAGGTATTGTGGTTTCCAGGGGCTTGAAGCCGTGCTTCTGGGTTAAGGTTAGGATTCTGGAGTCAAATTGCCAGGGCGTGAATCCTGGCTCTGCCAGTTGCCAGCTGTGTGACCTTGGGCAAATGACTTGTCCTCTCTGAGCATCAAGTTCCTTTGCTCATCAGACTGGGAAAGCAGCGGCACGGGTATGTTTGGTGACAAGCTAACGTGTATTGAGCATGGAGGACAGCCCTGGCACACAGCGGTCCTATGTTAGGGCTAGCAATGGACAGGCCACAGTGAACGCTCAGACGCTGTCACTTTCCTAAGCCCTGTTATAAATCCCAGATGTTTCAGAGGAGAAACCCGTGGTTCAGCAGCAAGACGAATGGCAAAACCACACAGTGAGAACTGGGAGAGACTGGGACTCATTCCTGGCTCCTGGAGCGGGTGGGATCAGAAGATTCTGCGGGTCAGGGGAGGCTGAACTCCTGGTTCGAGAAGGAACCCCCAGTGCCGGGCCGGGCCTGTTTGCTTTGGCTGGCAAGGGGTGGCTGAGGTGGGGTTGGTAACCTGGGGTTGGTTCTACTCAGCAGCCTCCTTCCCCAGACCCTGGGGGCAGACAGGGTTTCAGTTCCTGGAGGCTCGGGAGTCGTGGTGGGCATCAGCTGACCCCAGCCCTAGGTTGGCAAAATCCAGACAGCACCAAGTCCTCAGACACAGGTGACCCAACTCCCATGGCTGGCCTAGGCCCCTCCTCCCAGGCCTGCGAGTCCTTGAGCCCCTTCTCCCTGACACAGCAGTTCCTAGTACCCTAGTTGTTCTGAAGCTGTTCCAGTAGCTTGAACCCTCTCCCAGCTCCCTGCCCCCATCTCTGCACTCAGAGACAGTGTCATCTCTGCTGCTGCAGTCTGCAGGGACAAAGTCCTCTATAGCCACTCCGGCCAGGTCAAGCTGGGGGCAAGTGACCTTGAGACCCTACCCTCAGGCAAGGGAAGGCCCGTAGTGTCCCCCAGCAGGGCAGATGTTCCGGATGGGAAGATAGCGACCCCAGGCCACGCTGCGCCCCTCTGAGCCGGACTTAAGGCAGCATCAAGGATCCGCTGCTTTCCGTGCTCCGGCCCTCTGGCGCCCCCTGCAGGCGGCTGGGGGAAGGTCAGGGCGGCCAGACTCCGGATGAAATGCTCAAAACAGGCCAGACACACTTGAGAAAACGGAGGCCTCCCATCGTTTTTTTTCCCACGTATATTTTTTGTTGTTTTTTGTTTTTTTTCTGTAAAATGTCCCGGTTCTTCCATAACTTATAAACATGATTTATACCGAGGAGATGGGAAAGTGGACGGGGCAGGGTGGACTGACCGGGGATGGGGAAGCTCCTCTCGCTGCCCCCTCGGGGCGGGCCCAGGCCCTTTGGAGGATGGGGACGCCAGGACACTCCTCCCTGAGGTTGTCTGGCCGCCTCTGCCCCTGGTGCTCAGAATCCTGCGTGCCCCTCAATTCCGGAATCCCTCCCGGGACCCCAGGCCCACTGGGCATGCTGCCCCTGCTACTCAGAATCCCGAAGCGCCATTCAGTTCCAGAATCCCCTCCTCAGCTGCTGGGGTGGCGGGGTCCCTCCTTTCCAATGTCCCCCCCGACCCCCAAGGGGGGAGGGAAGGGAGGGGGGCTCAGGTCTCCCCTCTGTGGCAGGGGGAGGTGGAGGTGGAGGTGGAATCGGAAGGGCGTGGAAGGCGGGGGCCAGGAGGGCTCAGCCGATGGTGAGGCCAAAGCCACACTGAAACTTGTTCTTGCGGTGATTCAGGAAGGCCCCAAGGGCCAGTGTCAGGGGCAGGGGTGGGAGCTTCTTCTCCAGCGTGGCACCCACGATCCAGTTGCTATCCACAGAGCCTGCAGGGAAGAGCTGAGGTGAGAGGCGTGCCAGCTTCCCACCATATCCATGCAGAGTTCCTGGCCACCTTGGATACCAGCCACATGCCGACAGCTTCCAGACCTTTAACCACACTGCTCCTGCCACCCTGAAACCCCATCACACCAACAACTTCACGCTGGAGCAAATGGCTCACTCCTCCTCTGCTCTCCGCTCAGTGACCCCTGCCCTCTGAAAAGCCCTCTAGACCCCTGGGTTCCCCCAACCTAGTCCTGCCCACTCTGCGGATGAATCTGTTCCTCTCACTGAGTCCCGTGAAGACAGGGCTGGTCACCGCTGTGGCCCCAGCAGTGCTCAGCAGGAGGCTCAAACACCCAAAATCTGTGAGCCACAGATATCCAAGAAGACTTAAGACTGGACATTGGGACTACGACCAGTGTGCCTGAGATGAGGTTCTGGATTTAGTTGTGACCTTGAAACCTCTGGAAGCCTCAGTTTCCACTAACGTAAGATGAATGGGGCAGGCTCGAGGCTTCCAAAGTGCCTTCTACCCTGGCTGGGTGTGGTGGCTCACACCTATAATCCCAGCACTTTGGGAGGCCAAGGCTTGAGTCCAGGAGTTCGAGACCAGCCTGGGCAACATGGTGAAACCCCCATGTCTCCCAAAACTATCAAAAAAATTAGCTGGGCCTGGTGGCATACACCTGTGGTCCTAGCTACTCAGGAGGCTGAGGTGGGAAGGCTGCTTGAGCCCGGGAGGTGGAGGCTGCAGTGAGCCGCAGTTGCACTGCTGCACTCTAGCCTGGGCGACAGAGGGAGACCAGTCTCAGAAAAATAAGAGAGTCAAGTGCAGAAAAATAAGAGGGGATGGACAAAGCTCCAGCTTGGCCCAAACACCCATCAGATGCTCCACCAGATTTTTTTTAACATTTATTTATTTATTTCATTTTATTTTTTTTGGAGATGGAGTCTCACTCTGTCACCCAGGCTGGAGTGCAGTGGTGCAGTCTCAACTCCCTGCAACCTCCGCCTCCCAGGTTCAAGTGATTCTTGTGCCTCAGCCTCCTAAGTAGCGGGGACTACAGTTGCAGCACGCTACCACACCTGGCTAATTTTTGTACTTTTAGTAGAGAGGGGATTTCACCACGTTGGCCAGGCTGGTCTCCAACTCCTGGCCTCAAGTATTCTACCTGGCTTGGCCTCCCAAAATGCTGGGATTACAGGCGTGAGTCACCACGCCTGGCTGCTCTACCTACTTTTTTTTTCCAAGCATAAAACATAGTAGAGGGTTGTCCACCTACTTTTTTTTTTTTGAGATGGAGTCTTGCTCTGTCACCCAGGCTGGAGTGCGGTGGCACGATCTCGGCTCACCGCAAGCTCCGCCTCCTGGGTTCATACCATTTTCCCGCCTCAGCCTCAGTAGTTGGGACTATAGGCACCCGCAACCACACCCGGCTAATTTTGTTTTTGTATTTTTAGTAGAGACGGAGTTTCACCGTGTTAGCCAGGATGGTCTCAATCTCCTTACCTCGGCCCGCCTTGGCCTCCCAAAGTGCTGGGATTACAGGCGTGAGCCACCGCACCCGGCCCCACCTACCTTTTAACAAGTGTTCCCTGGTAATGTGGAGGCCCACAGGGTGGCAGCACACTGTCCTCCAGCACCTGTGGTGGCCCACACATCCACTCAGAGTTGAGTCACCTCCTGCCTGTTTCCCGCGTAGGGGAACCGAGACCTTTACCTTTGAAGAGGAGGTTGGCCTTGGGCAGGTCCAGCTGGTACCCGAAGGAGACGCTGGTGTCCTGCATCCTTGTGCTGGCCTCAAACTCCACACCCACCTGCAGCTGGAGGGGCCGGAGCAACACATGAGAATTAGCAAGTGGCCCCACCTGGACTTCCAGGCCCAGCAGCCCCTGGCAGCACCAGCTAGTCCCTGCACCCACTCACCTGGTCACTGGCTTTGTGGTAGTATGTTGCGTGCATGCCCGCCTGGCCCAACGTTACCGTTGCCAACCAGTTGTTCACTGTCAGAGAGTGGGGTGGAGGCGGGGTCTCATTACCAAGGGGATTTGGGCATCTGGGAACCCAGGCCTCCTCCCTCAGACCTGAGTGTCCAGGGCCCTAGCCCGTCCTCCCTCAGACCCAGGAGGAGTCCAGGGGCCCAGCCCCTCCACCCTCGGACCCAGGCGCCAGGCTCACATGTGTATTTCCCAGCTAGAGACATGACAGTGCCCTCCTCTCCAGGCCGCCGGTGGTAGACCAGCTCTCCACCCAGGGCCAGGCAAGGCGTGATGCTCTGGAGGTAGTGGGCTACGAGGATTCCTGTGGGCAAAATGACGATCAGTTTCCACCCACCCTGAGTGCCAGGCTAGACTCCACCTCCAGGAAGCCCTCTAGGCTCACCCCGGCTGGAGGCTTGGGCTTGCTCTCAGGCCTCCCTCAAGGGCTCCTTTCTCCTAACCCATCGCCCAGGGGTTCCCTACCGCTGAGGTCAGCGTCCCAGGCCCTGCTATGACTGCATTACCTGAAGGACCTCATCTGGTCGACACAAGCCCATGTGGTCAGCATTTATCCACCCCCACTTACAGAGGGGGTCACCACCACTTATAGAAGCTTACAGGGTAAGTCACTCACTCATGCTCACAAAATGTGTCAAGGGCAGAATCCAAGCCTCCACACCTCCCAAACCCAGGCTCTGAGCCACTCTGCTGCTGAGAGGCCATTGGGTAGAGTGGGTAAATATGCACAGCCTGGGTTCGAATCCCAGCCCTGCCACAGGCTGGCTGGTGACCATGGACGCTGGCATCATCTCTCTGTGAACCTAACTGCCTCTTGGGGTTGTGAGGAATCGAGTGCTCAGCTGTGGCTGGGACTTGCTGCACTGAGGTCCAAGTCTGCGTTCCTGTGTCCCTCCACCGTAGGGAGTGCTTGCTGAACAAGAGAACTGCCACCTTTGGGCTGCCTTTTCAAGCCTCAGGATGGAGATGGATTCACTTTGGTGTCTTTCGAGCCTAGCAGGGTACAGGCCACAAATGTGATTTTATAGGGCCAGAAGAATTGGGGAGGAAGAGAGTGGGAAATAGAGAGGGAGGGACAGGGAAAGAAAACAAGCCTGGCGTGGTGGCACGTGCCTGTAATCCCAGCTATTTGGGAGGCTGAGAAGGGAGGATTGCTTGAGCCTAGGCATTCGAAGCCAGCCCGGGCAACATGGTGAGACCCCATCTCAAAAAAAAAAAAAAAAAAAAAAAAAAAAAAAAAAAGCCAGATGCAATGGCTCATGCCAGTAATCCCAATGCTTTGGAGGGCTGGGGCAAGAGGACAGCTTGAGGTCAGCAGTTGGAGACAAGCCTAGGTGACATAGTGAGACCCCATCTCTACAAAAAATTTAAAAACTTCATCTAACTACAGATTATCATAAAAAAAAAAAAAAAAATCAAGGCCAGGCACAGTGGCTCATGCTTGTTGTAATCCCAGCAGTTTGGGAGGCCAAAGTGGGTTCATTTGAGCCCAGGAATTCGAAACCAGCTTGGGAAACATAGCGAATACAAAAATTAGTTGGGTGAGGTGGTGCACACCTGTAGTCCCAGGTACTAAGGGGGTGGACGTGGGAGGATTGCTTAAGCCCAGGAGGTGGAGGCTGCAGTGAGCCATGATAGTGCCACTGCACTCCAGCCTGAGTGACAGAGTGAGAATCTGTCCCAATAAGCAAACAAACAACAAATAAATAAATTTAAAAACGTAGCCAGGCATGATGGCACATGCTTATAGTCCCAGCTACTTGGGAGGCTGAGGCAGGAGGATCACTTGAGCTCAGAAGGTCAAGGTTACACTGAGCTATGATCACGCCACTGCACTCCAACGTGGGCAACAGAGATCCTGTTTCAAAAAATAAGAAATTTAATTTTTTTTTTTTTTTTTTGAGATGGAGTCTCGCTCTGTCGCCCAGGCTGGAGTGCAGTGGCACTATCTCGGCTCACTGCAAGCTCCACCTCCCGGGTTCACGCCATTCTCCTGCCTCAGCCTCTCCGAGTAGCTGGGACTACAGGAGCCCGCCACCATGCCTGGCTAATTTTTTGTATTTTTAGTAGAGAAGGGGTTTCACCGTGGTCTCGATCTCCTGACCTCGTGATCCGCCTGCCTCGGCCTCCCAAAGTGCTGGGATTACAAGCATGAGCCACCGCGCCCGGCCTAAAAAATTTTTAAAGAAAAAAAGAGGCTGGGCACGGTGGCTCACACCTGTAATTCCAGCACTTTGGGAGGCTGAGGTGGGTGGATCGTCTGAGGTCGGAGGTTCGAGACCAGCCTGGCCAACATGGTGAAACCCTGTCTCTACTAAAAATACAAACATTAGCTGAGTGTGGTGGTGCACACCTGTAGTCCCAGCTACTCAGGAGGCTGAGGCAGGAGAATCGCTTGAACCCGGGAGGCGGAAGTTGCAGTAAGCTGAGATTGTGATTGTGCCACTGCACTCCAGCCTGGGAGACAGTGCAAGACTTCATCTCAAAAAGACAAAAAAAAAAAAAAAAGAAAAAAAAAAAAAGAAACAACACATCTGCAGAGACAGAAATGAAGGGGGAAGAGGGACTGAAGATTCACAGTTGAGAAATCCACCACGATCGAGCAATCTCCTAGGGTGCAGCCCTGGAGAGGAAGACACGTGGAGAAGGGAAGGGAGGTTGGGGGCCACGAGACTGAGGGCACACAGAGAAGCTGAGACAGCACAGAGCAAAGCAGGTGCGAAGATGCTTCCCAGACCAAGATGACCAGAGGGGCAGACTAGGGGCCCCACAGTGGGAGCAGGCTGGCCTGCTAGCATGGAGCCAGCCTGGAGCCAGCTCTCTGGAGCTGCAGGAATAGGGGCCTTTCATACCTGCAGGCATGGCTGGGTGGAGCTCTCAGAGGGGCTGAGTGTTAGGCGGCAACCCCCAAGATGAGCCTGGTGGGTGTGAGAGAGGCCGTGAGTTCATGGCCAGTGCCCTGGTGGCATCTTCTGGGGAGGCTGAGATCAGAAGTAGGCTGCAGCTGGTCCCCATGGGCTCGGGCAAGCGACTGTGTGACTCTCCTTCCCAGAGGAGATGAAGCAAATGAATCCCCGAACCCCCCACTGGTTGTTGAATCACCATCACACGGGCGGGGCACAGTAGCTCACGCCTGTAATCCTGGCACTTTGGGAGGCTGAGGCAGGAGGGTTGTTTGAGCCCAGGAGTCTGAGACCAGCTGGGGCAACATGGCGAGACCCCCATCTCTCCCTCTCTCTCTCTTTTTTTTTTTTTTTGAGATGGGGCGTTTTGCTCTTGTTGCCCAGGCTGGAGTGCAAAGGCGTCATCTCGGCTCACTGCAACCTCTGCCTCCCGGGTTCAAGTGACTCTCCTGCCTCAGCCTCCCGAGTACCTGGGATTACACGCATGTGCCACGACGCAAAAATACAAAAATTAGCCGGGTGTGGCAGTGCGTGCCTGTAATCCCAGCTACTTGGGAGGCTGAGACAGGAGAATCACTTGAACCCAGAAGGTGGAGGTTGAGGTGAGCTGACACTGTGCCACTGCACTCTGGCCTGGGCAACAGAGACTGCGTCTCAGGGCAGAGGTATGTGAGGTGGGGCAGGGGAAGAAAAGAAAAAAAAAATCACTACCATTACCACTCTGGTCAGTGTTATCCCCTCATTCAATCAAGGGGGAGACTGAAGCCCAGAGGGAAAAGCAGCCATCTAGAGTGAGTGACTTAGAATCTCTGGCCTCTGAGTTCCAGGGACTGTTGGAACTGAGGCCATGAGACCCTCAAGTATCTTTCTAACCATCCTTCCCATCTCCTGGGCCACCCCCCCAGTTTCTCTACCCACAGCCTCCTCTCTAGTCTCATGCCCCAACTTCAAGTGACCTCACAGACAGCAGACAGAGGGATCATGTTAAAGCACAAACCTGACCCTGTTGACCCCCTGCCCAGAACCTGCCATGGCTCCCTCGTGCCCTGAGAAGATATGGGTTCCTCAGCACACCTGCAAGGCCTTGGATGGCTTGGCCTCAGCTTCAGAATAGAACCACTCCCCCTTCCCAGGCTCCCAAGTAGCTGGGACTATAGGCATGTGCCCTGCCAGCTCAGCGTCCCCAGTAGTTGGGACTACAGGCATGTACCACCATATGCCTAATTTCTAATTTTTTTTGTAGAGACAGGGTATTGCTATGTTGCCCAGGCTGATCTTGAACTCCCGATCTCAAGCGATCCGCCCACCTCAGCCTCCCAAAGTGCTGGGATTACAGGTGTGAGCCACTGTGCCTGACCTGGGACCCCCATGAGGGCAGGAATGGGCTGTCTCGGTCACTGCTGTGTCCCAGCCCAGGGCTGGGCACACATGAGGTGCTCAGAGTGAAGCAGAAAAGGAGCTGTCACCATTGGGAGGGGCTGGGGAGGCTCACGGGCTCCTGAATTAAGCTTCCATTCAAATCCCAGCTCCTCTGCTTCCTGGCTGTGTCACCCTGGGCAACTGATTTCACCCCTGGGCCTCGCTTTCCTTATCTGTGAAATGGGGGTGCCTGCGGGCATTGTCCCCATGGAGATGCCAGAGTGGAGCAAGTGGTGACTGTGCATGTGGCCCAGTGCTGAGGCCGAGAAGTCGGGCCCTCTCATGGACTCCTTCACTGGGAGGTAGTTGCTTCTATTGTGCCCAAGTGACAGATGAGGAGACTGAAGCCCAGAAGGGCTGGAACCACTTGCCGGAGGTCACAGAGCCGCCTGGAGGTAGAGACACCCTGGGTCAAGTCGGAGCTGTTGGTGGCAAGAGACTCGAGAGCTCAGCCCTGACCGGCACACGGCAGGCCCTGTTCTCACTGGTGTCTGGGGGAAGGAAGAGGCACTGGAAAGGACTAGAGACCAAAGCGTCACTGGTGGCCCTGGGCTCCAGGAGGCCAGTGCTGGGGAGCACGAAAGGACCAGGCGAGCGAGGCGGCACAGGGAACGGGGTTGCTGGCGCCGTGAAGAGCAGGGACACTGGAGTCCCACTGGCCATGTGCCCTTAGTGGAGAACCTCCTCTTGGCCTTGCAAGATGGGGACAATGGTGGACGACAGAGGGCGACATGCGCACGCAAGCCTTCCCAGTCATGTCAAGACCAGAGGGAAGAATTCCATGCAGCAGGGACAGAGTGTGCGTCGGTCCTGGGGTAGAACCAACTCGGTGGTTTCAGGAACCGTCAGAAAAGCTTGCATGGTCGGCCGGGCGCGGTGGCTCACACCTGTAATCCCAGCACTTTGGGAGGCCGGGGCGGGTGGATCACTTGAGGTAAGAAGTTCGAGATCAGCCTGGCCGACATGGCGAAAACCTGTCTCTACTAAAAATACAAAAATTAGCCAGGCATGGTGGCGCGCGCCTGTAGTCCCAGCTACTAGGGATACTAGGGAGCCTGAGGCAGGAGAATCGCTTGAACCAGGGAGGCAGAGGTTGCAGTGAGCCGAGATTGCACCACAGCACTCCAGCCTGGGCAACAGAGCAAGACTCCGTCTCAAAAACAAAAACAAACCAACAAAAAAGGCTCATGTGGTTCAACTGTAGTGTATGAGAAGATGGGGTGATGTCACCAGGTGAGTTGGGGACAGGAAATGTTTCTTCCTCATGGGGCCCCTACAGATCAGCCTCACCTAGGAGGCCTCTCTGCACCTGCTGCACCTCCAGCTTCCCTGTCTCCTGGGTTTTCTGCCATGGCCCTTCCCTTCCCTCACCCCTGTTCCTGCTTCTCCCTGCCTGGAATCTTCTTGCTCCTGTCCCCCAGCCGGGGTAGCCCCTTCTCCTCCTCTGGCAGCTCAAAAGTCAACACTTTTGAGTCTCCCTGGGCTCCTGCAGCGAGAAGTGGTGACTCTCCCTAGGCACTCCCAGGGGTCCAAGGCCAACCCTAGCTCCCCTCCCCGCCTGCACGAGTCATTCACTCAGGACTCAGCGCTCAAGAGCCTGCTCTCCACGACACAGTGGATGGCTGCACAAAGACACAAAGCTGGCAATCCGAAACTCCATCCTTCCAGTTCCAGCCAAAAACTACAGAGTCATCGCCTCCATCCGGTCTCAACAAATCCTGGCAGCTCTGCCTTCAAACAACATCCAGAATCCAACCTCCTCTCCCCGTCCACTCCCTCCCAGTGGTACCCCCTTTGGAGTCTGCTCTCTACGCCAGCTGCAGGGTCCTGTGAGAAGCTATGCCTTGGTTTCCGAAAGCCCCAGACTCACTCAGAGCGAAGGCCAAGGCTCTGCAAAGCCTTATGCAACCAGGGGACCATCCTCCCTCAAGTTCCTTTCACGAGTCCCGACTGCACTACTTGCAGGCTGAAAAGCTGTTTCCCTGGCCAGGCGAGGTGGCTCACGCCTGTCATCCCAGCACTTTGGAAGGTCAAGGTGGGAGGATTGCTTGAAGCCAGGAGTTCCAAGACCAGCCTGGCCAATACAGCAAGACCCCATCTTAAAACATTTTTTAATACAAAAGAAAATCTCAGTTAAAATTGCGCTGACTGGCTGGGCGTGGTGGCTCACACCTGTAATCCCAGCACTTTGGGAGGCTGAGGTGGGTGGATCCCTTGAGGTCAGGAGTTCAAGACCAGCCTGACCAATGTGGTGAAACCCTGTCTCTACTAAAAATACAAAAATTAGCCAGGCGTGGTAGCGCATGCCTGTAATCCCAGCTACTCGGGAGGCTGAGGCAGGAGAATTGCATGAACCCAGGAGATGGAGGTTGCAGTGAGCCAAGATCGTGCCACGGCACTCCAACCTGGGTGATAAAGCAAGACTCCATCTCAAAAAAAAAAAAAAAAAAGACTGCTCTGACTCACCCACTCATGGTCAGTGGGTGACCGTCTCACCCACTGTAGTATGTTGCCTGATGTTTCAAAATCACTCCTGCTGAGCCACTTCTCCAGTGGCAGAAAAGGAGGTTCACAAATGGGGTGGATTTGCTGGCAAAGCCAGAACTGCAGTTTTGTGACCACCCTCCAAGCCCTCCGCCTCTTACCTGAACCCACGAGGACGTCTGGGTTCCCCAGGGTGACGGCTGCTGTGAAGTCAGAGCCCCGATACTCCCCGTCCACCTGCCAGTTCACAAACTTCGACTGCTGGGTCTGTGGAGAGGAGGGGGTGTGAGGGCGGCTCCCTGCTCACGGTGGCCGAGGGGAGCAGCAGCCTCCGTGCCCCACTCACCTGGATGGCCATCTTGGACCTGAGACCGGGGCCCAGCTGGTGAATGACCTGAGCGTTGAGACTGCCACTGTTGTCCATGTCACCCACCAGTACAGGGAACGCCTGTGAGGCAGAGAGAACGGAAGGGGTCAGAGGTGGTGCACTGTGCAAGTATGTGAGATGGGCCGGGGTGAGAAGCCTAGGGTCAGAAAGCCTCGGATGGGGGTCCCCTCCTCCACGAAGTGCTCTCTGACCACCTAAGCTGAGTTAGGCTCCCCGACCTTTGGGTTCCCCCATGTCAGCCTTGCCCATCCTGGCTTGTTACTCTCTGGGAACAGTCTGTCCCCTGCCCCACGGGTGAGTCCCATGCTGTTTCAGTCATGTGTGCCAGCACAGGGCTGGGCACAGAATGTGTTGTGCAATGAAGGTTTGCAGAATAAACACATTTGCTGAAGGGAAATGACAGAAGCAGAGACCTCATTCAGTCCCCCCAACCCTGTCTGGGCCTCCAGTTTTGCCCTTCCTAATAACTAGCCCCCACATGGCCACCCCAGAGATGCCCCAGAGATTTCTACAGCGGGAACCTGTGGACCACGTCTTTCCCTTGACCAAACCATGCCATGACTCTCCACAACCCCCTAGAGAAAGTCCAAAGCCTAGTCTGGCATTCAAAGTTCTGCATGATCTACAGTCCAGCCCTTTCCACCCTGGGTCATCGCTGTCTGGTGACAGGGTGGCTGTGGCCACATCCCCAGCACTGCTCAGCATGGGGCCAGGCAGAGAGCAGGGGTTTGGCGGATGTTTGCTGGATGAAGGAATTATTTGTGTCCCAGTGCACCTCGGAGAGATGCAATCCCCATCTCCAGGCTCTCGGTAGCTGTGACCTTTTCCTGATGAGGCCGTCTTAGCTTGACATTTGGCTACAAATTTGTTATTAGAAGGATACAATGAATGGATGAAAAAGGAAGCTCACCTCTGTGGGACTCAGCTGCTTTGTCCCCACATATGTGACCCCGAAGTGGTAGTTGGACTCCCCGATTGTGCTGAGGGCTACTGTGTGGTTGACCTGGAAGGAAAGCGAGAGCTGTGACGATACTGGACAGATAGGCTTGCCCACTGAAGAGGGCAAGGACAAGGTCTCTGGGCTGGGCAGGGGATGAAGACTGGGAGGCACGGCCTGACTAAGAGACTCAGAGAAAGGAGGTGCTGCCGGTAGGCCCACAGACCTGTTCCTTCACTCCAGCCTAGCTGCTATGGGGAGACAGTACCTCTGGATTCTAGGTCCCCAAACTGAGTAGTCAGTCTGGCACTATATCTCCGAGTCTTTTCAAGTATCAGGGAGCCCAGCTCTTGAGGGAGGAGTAATTGGGCCGAGTGTGCAGATGCAGGGAGGGGGACGGCGGGGACGATCTCTGGTGGGTAAGGACACCAGGAAGGCTCACCTGAAAATGGTTACTCAACCCTTTGTTGACTGTGAGCTTGACACCCTCCATCTGAATGGGAAACAGCTCTGGAGAAGAGAAACGCTGTCACACTCCACTCCAACCCCACACCAACTCTCATCTCTTCCTTCCCTACCACCCCCAGCTCTCTCCAGAGACCCACAGCAGAACATCTCACAAAGGATTCCACCTGTAAAGAGGCAGTACAGCCTAGTTAGACAGGGCCAGGGCCTTTGCTTGCTCAAATCTCACTGCCACCAAGCTGAGCAACTTTAGGTCAAACTCATCATCTGAAAGATGGGACCCTCACCACACAGAATTGTCCCAAGGATCTAATGAGTTAACGTATAATGAACACCAGAACAGAACTCCATAAATCTCCACCACTACTACTACTCTAATTGCTCCAGGCTGGGATCCGGAGGCTTTGGGTCCCATACCCAAGGAACCTCGCTGACACCTTGCTGACACCGTGACCTTGGGCCTCAGTTGCCTTCCCGATCACAAGAGAAGTCTGGCTTGGCTGATCCCGGGGCTCCTCAGGTCCCTAAAGGCTTTTCTCTACTGCTATGACATTCCATCCCGTTTCCAGCATTTGATTCCATCATTCTAAGCCCCAAGTCCAACGTTCCACCATTCGATCCCAACATCACCTCCTAGTGCTGTTAAATAATTCCAATGGTGCGCGCCAAATCCCAGAGTCCCCAGTGTCCTCCCCCTTCCCCCGAGATCCAGGCCATCGCAGCCCAGCGGGGGCCCCTCGCCCCTCACCCTTGCACTTCCGGTGGCACTCCTCGAATGTGCCCGGGTTGGGCAGGCAGCCGCAGGCCCCATCCTCGGCGGCCCCTGAGGCGCTGGCGGTTGCAGCCCCGGGGGTCCGTTCCGAACTTCGACTCGTACTGGTGCCGGCGCCCAGGCTGCCTCCCAGCGGCGGCAGCGTGAAGCCCGGCGGCGAGGGCGGAGGTGGCGGCAGCCCCACGAGGGCCGGCGCAGGCGGCGGTGGCGGCCCTGCGGGCGGCGAGCTGGCAGCCAACACGTTCCCCATGGTCGCCTGCTAGGGGAGAGGTCAGAGGGCAGAGGTCAGGGCCCGCGCGCCCCCGACTCAGCCCCAGCAAATCCGCACCCGGCTCCGGCCCCGGTTCTCACTGGCGGCGGCGCCTGCTCCCGGCCTGGGCTCCGCTCCCACCCCGTGCGCCACGCGCAACCGAACCCGCTGCCGCCGCCGCCACCACCGTCGCCCCGCCCCACCTAGCCCATTGGTTTAGTGTGCCCTGAGGCCCGCCCACCAGCGTCAAGACTCGGTCTTCCCATTGGACTTGTGCATAAAGTCCCGCCCACTTTCCCTGAAATGTCCTTTTGTATTGGTTCTCACTCGCAGGGTAGCCACGGCGCCCCTCCCACCCTTCCCATTGGCTCGCAGCGCCTGCGCCTATTGGCTCGCGTCGCCGCGGGTTCCGGTGCTAACCCGCCATTGGTCTGTGCTGAGCATTTTGCCACGCCCGCTGAGGCATCGCCCCGCCTCTCTCCTGGAGGAGGCCCTCTTTTGATTCCGCCCCGCGGCGAGGTTGCTGTGATAATTGGTCGGCTTTGACCCTTGCAGCATTTTGATTGGCTCCAGCGTGTACGGGGTCGACCTTGGTGGCGTATCAGCTTGGTACTCTCATTGGCTAACGTTCCAGGGTCGAAGGACAGGTAAAGGTGGGTTGCGCGGCAGAGGCGGCTAGGCAGCAAGGTCAGGCCTCGCGTCCCACCAGGCACCGCGGCAGCCGGGCCCCCACCCCACCTCTGGTTCGGAGTAGCCGACCTAAAACCGGAAGTGCTGGCCCTTCCCAGAGTGCCTCGGGAGAATTCTAATCTGTTCTGCGAACCCTGCGCTGCTCCTCGTTACCCACAATGCCCTCATCACCTCTTAGCGAAACAGTTGCCTTAGACCCACCCCTTTCGTTACCCATCATGCCTCTTGTTCCTCGCGTCACTGCGGCTTCTATCTTTGGCCCATTCATTCCTCTCCCATTACCCATCATGCCTCTGCCCCATTCATTTGAGCTTCATTGCCCAGACTACTTTTAGCTCCAGCCTGCCTGCTCACTTTCGTCGTTCTTCCGGCCCTTCTCTAATTAGCCATCATGTTTTGGATCCATGAACTCCTGTCCGTTACCTCCCTTGCCCCCGGTCCCTATTTTTCCATTATTCATCACTCTGCCTCTGGCCCATTCATTCAGGTTTATTATCCGTCATGCCTTGGGCTCCTATTACAACATTATTCATGATTTTGCCTTTAGTCTACTTTTACTTGCCGTTTATTCATTAAACTTGAGCCTCTTATACTTTCGTTACTGCTTTTTTAATTTTTATTTTTTTAAAGACAAGGTTGGACTCTGTCACTCAGGCTGGAGTGCAGTGGCGCCATCATAGCTTACTGCAGCCTTGAACTTCTGGCCTCAATCGATCCTCCTACCTCAGCCTCCAGAGTAGCTGAACTACAGGTGCGTGCCACCACGCCCGGCTAACTTTCGTAGAGGCGGGGTCTCACTGTGTTTCCCAGGCTGGTCTCTTAACTCCTGGACTCAGTCGAGCTTCCCGCCTCAGTTTCCCGAAGTGCTGGAATTACAGGAATGAGCCACTGCATCTGGCCAATTGCTATTTTTATCTTTGTCCCATTCATCATACTGCTGTTGCAATTATGAATGTTCATTAAACAGCATGCCCTGGACCCCTCCCCATTCCATTACTCAACATTCTGTTTTTAGGGCTGGGCGCAGTGGCTCACGCCTGTAATCCCAGCACTTTGGGAGGCCGAGACGGGTGGATCACGAGGTCAGGAGATCGAGACCATCTTGGCTAACGCGGTGAAACCCCGTCTCTACTAAAAATACAAAAAATAAGCCGGGCGTGGTGGTGGGCGCCTGTAGTCCCAGCTACTCGGGAGGCTGAGGCAGAGGAATGGCGTTAACTCAGAAGGTGGAGCTTGCAGTGAGCCGAGATCATGCCACTGCACTCCAGCCTGGGCGACAGAGCGAGACTCCGCCTCAAAAAAAAAAAAAATTTTGTTTTTGATTGATACATTTTTGCTCATTACTCTCTCAATTCTTATTTTGTATCTTTGGTCCCTTTGTTTTTGTCTTTAACTCTCTTGACCCCAGTTCACTGATTCTCTCAAGCCCTTAGACTCCTTCCTCATTCCCCTTCATGTCTCACCCCATCCCCTTCACATCCCACAGAAAAGGCAAGACCTGGTCAAAGTATAAATTCATATTTTGTAGGAAATGTAGTTTACAAAACAGTATCAATTGCTACCCCCAATTCAGATGACCCACTTTCCCCGGAAGGGGGATGTTTAGGTCCTATTCCACTGGGCAAGGGTAAAATGATTCAGTAGTCTTCCAGGTTAACAGTAAATTCTTCTCCCAAGGCTGGGGCCATCAAGGCACAGTCTGTATGAGGCTCACCCTGTCTGACCCTAGGCTGGGGCTGCTTGCTTGGTAGGCAGGAATTGGGGTGGGGGTGGGGGCTCAGGGAAGGGTCTGGACCCTGAGACTTCTGCTTACAGGAGGGTGCTGGGAAAACCCTGCCTTGGGCTGGGGAATCCCCTCTTTCCCACCTTTGGGGAACAGGGTGGGGAGGGGGTAAGTGGGACCCTGCTGCCTGGAGGGCTCAGGTCTGAGCAGCAGGGAGCCCTCAGCGCCCACTCCAGCAGACCTATTGGGAATTTACTACCTGAAGACAAATTATAGGTCTAGGGTCTTCTTTGTGATTTTGGGGGAGTCGAGGCATTGGGGGGTGAGAGGTATGGTCTAAGGTCACAGTCTGGGAGAGGAGTCCTTGGGATCAGAGGTTGTGCAGAAGCACCTTCCCCACCTCCTGCCTCATGAGATAAGGTTGCCAGGATTCCATTATCACGGTGAATTTCTCTGGGCTCATGGGTTAGGGGTCATAGTGGAGCCACCAAGGTAGACATCACAAATGGAATGCATATGTGTTAACTGACAGTGGCCTGGCCAGAGGTCAGGGGGCACTAGATCCTTGGCAAGAAAGCTAAGGGATCAACAGGTGAGATGTGAGACGCCAGGCGCATGGCAGCTCACACATACATGGCCCGGGACATGACAAAGCCTTTGCCCTGGTAGGAATCAGAGGGGCTGCTATAGGACAGAGCATCATAGATGGGGTTGATCTTGTCCAGATACTCTTCCTCCTCCTCCCCCTCCTCATCCTCTAGATCCAGGGAAACGTCTTCCACAGCAGGTGGCCCTGGAGGCACCGGGATGGGGGACCCCAGGCTTGTGGCTCCAGGGTGCAAGGGTCCTGACCGTTCTTCCAAGGTGGGCAGCTCATGGTATCGAGGCATTTCCTGGAGGTAGAGAGAGGACAGGAACTCAAGATCACTTCCTACGCACGACACAGATTACCAATCTGCTCTTGACCCCAAAATCCTGACCGCTCTCTCCCCATGCCAACAAGATGCCACCTCACTCCTTGTCCCCTGAGGCCATATTGCACTGGGACATTCATTCAGCCCTTCCTTAACCCAAAGCCCAGCTCGTGCAACTCACCCTGTTAATCCTGGGACTCACTTTTGACACTCGATCTCTGCAAATCTTTCCCCATGAACCTTTCACCTCAGTCTTGACCTCAAATACTTAACCTTGGGCTCTAAACAGTCCTTTGAACCTTGAGCGCAACCTCAGTGTCTGACCCCTGACCTCCAGTAGACCACTGAGGGGAGTGACTTGATTTGTCTTGTCCCAGCTTCAGGCACAGTATCCAGCAAATGTAGATAATCAATTTTCTTTCATTCTGTTTTTTTTTGTTGTTGAGACGGAGTTTTGCTCTTGTCTCCCAGGCTGTTGTGCAATGGTGCAATCTGGGCTCACTGCAACCTCTGCCTCCCGGGTCCAAGCGATTCTCCTGCCTCAGCCTCCCAAGTAGCTGGGATTACAGGCGCCCGCCACCACGCCCAGCTAATTTTTGTAATTTTTAGTAGAGACAGGGTTTCACCATGTTGGCCAGGCTGGTCTTGGAACTCCTGACCTCAGGTGATCCACCTGCCTTGGCCTCCCAAAGTGCTGGGATTACAGGCGTGAGCAACCGCACCCGGCCTTTTTCTTTTTTGAGACGGAGTCTTGCTCTGTTGCCTAGGCTGGAGTGCAGTGGCGTGGTCTCAGCTCATTGCAACTTCTGCCTCCTGGGTCCAAGCGATTCTCCTGCTTCAGCCTCCTGAATAGCTGGGATTACAGGAGCATGTCACCCATGCCTGGCTTATTTTTGTTTTTAGTAGAGAAGGGGTTTCACCTTGTTAGCCAGGGTGGTCTGGAACTCCTGACGTCAGGTGATCTGCCCGTCTCAGCCTCCCAAAGTGCTGGGATTACAGGTGTGAGCCACCATGCCTGACCAGATAATCAATTTTCATTGACCTAATGACTTTTCCTCTTTTTTTTTTTTTTTGAGATAGGGTCTCACCCTGATGCCCAGGCTGGAGTGTAGTGGCACAGCCCCAACCACCTGGGCTTAAGCAATCCGCCCACCTCAGCCTACAGGCATTTGCCACCACATCCAGGTAAATTCAGTATTTTTGTAGACGCAAAATGTTGCTGGGTAGCCCATGTTGCCCACGCTGGTCTCGAGCTCCTAGGCTCAAGGGGTCCAGCTACCTTGGCCTCCCAAAGTACTGGGATTATAGACCAGAGCCACCATGCCCGGCCCAGGTGATTTTATTTATTTGGTTTTATTTATTTTTTTGAGACGGAATCTTGCTCTGTTGCCCAGGCTGGAGTGCAGTGGTGTGATCTTAGCTCACTGTAACCTCGGCCTCCTGGGTTCAGGCGATTCTTCCTCCTCAGCGCCCCGGGTAGCTAAGATTACAGGCTCGCACCACCACACCCAACTAATTTTTTGTGTTTTGAGTAGAGACGGGGTTTCACCATGTTGCACAGGCTGGTCTCGAACTCCTGACCCCAAGTGATCCTCCTGCCTTGGCCTCCCAAAGTGCTGGGATTATAGGCGTGAGCCACCGTGCCCAGCCCCCAAGTGACTTTAAATTCTAACCTTGTGACCTTGGGCCTTTTCACCCCTGACCTCCCCCATGGAATCCTGAACACATCTCAATGCATTAAGCACCAACCGGGGACACACCCTTGACCTTGAGTTATGACCTTTAGTCTTTGACCTCTTTTGCCAGGCCTGACCCCTGGCCCTTCAACCCAGACCCCCAACCCACCTTTGTCTTCCCATGAGCTCCTACCTGCTCAGTGCATGAGGCGCCAGCATCAAAGTAGGGGGTCTTGAGTGGGCTGTGCTCCGAGGCCCCCAGAGTGAAGAGCTGGGAGGGCTGTAGTGGGAGAGGGGCGGGGAGGTCAGGAACTGCCCCCACCACCCAGCCAGCTTCTCCCTGCCAGGCCCCTCCCAGCCCTGGGGTGGGTGTGGAGGTGGGGATAGCTTGGGCTCCAGGGAAAGTGCTCACCATCTCCTGTGCCTCCAGCTTCGCTTTTGGGGTCGGTGGCTTGTAGGAGGGAGGTCCCTCCAGGCTGTGGGGTAGGAGGTAGGACAAGTGGAGATTAAGACCCAGGCATCCCTCTGACTCCGGGGTTATGGCACATGCTGTTCCCTCTACCTGGGTCTCCCTTTCCCCTGCCCCCTTTTCTTGCCTGGAGTAAGAGTTTTTATTCATTCCATGAATTCCTCTTTTTCCCGGAAGCCTTCAGGTTTCCCCAGTGGATCAGGAATTCCTGTTACACGGACATACCTAGCTGTACTTCCCCCTCAGGGCACTTACTGAATTTGTACTTGAAATGTTATTTATAATTACCATGCCCCACTGTGAGCTCTGGGAGGGAAAAAAGATCTGTGTTGGGCTGGGGGCAGTGGCTCACGCCTGTAATCCCAGCACTTTGGGAGGCTGAGGCGGGCGGATCATCTGAGGTCAGCAGTTCGAGACCAGCCTGGCCAACATGGTGAAATGCCATCTCCCCAAAAAATACAAAAATTAGCTGGGCATGATGGTGCACGCCTGTAATCCCAGCTACTCAGGAGGCTGAGGCACAAGAATCGCTTGAACTCGGGAGGCAGAGGTTGCAGTGAGATGAGATCACTCCACTCCAGCCTGTGCAATAGAGTGAGATGCCATCTCAAATTAAAAAAAAAAAAAAAAAAAAAAGAAAGAAAGATCAGCCAGGCGTGGTGGCTCACGCCTGTAATCCCAGCACTTTGGGAGGCCGAGGTGGGCAGATCACCTGAGGTCAGGAGTGTGAGACCAGCCTGACCAACATGGAGAAACCCTGTCCCTACTAAAAATACAAAATTAGCCGGGCGTGGTGGCGCATGCCTGTAATCCCAGCTACTCAGGAGGCTGAGGCAGGAGAATTGCTTGAACCCGGGAGGTGGAGGTTGTGGTGAGCCGAGATCGCGCCATTGCACTCCAGCCTGGGAAAAAAGAGCGAAACTCCACCTCAAAAAGAAAAAAAAAGAAAAGAAAAGAAAAGAAAAAAAAGAAAGATCTGGGTCGTCAGCAAGGTGTCTCCAGAATCCACTATGAGGAGTTCAGTAAATATTTGTGAAAAGAATGAATGAATAAATGAAGTGCCTTCCTGTCCCTCAAATTAGGTTAAAGTTCCTGTCCCTCATTCTACACACCCACAGACCAAAGCATACAGTAATGACAGGTGCTTACGATGCATTCTGTCAGCTCAGATGTCCCCTCTTCCAGGAAGCCCTACCTGACCATCCAGCCTGGGTCAGATGCCCCCTCTGGCTTCTCAGAGCTTGCTCAACTGCCCTATCCCATCACTGGTCATGCTACACCATCACTATCTGGAGACAGTTTTGTCTCCTCCTCCATATTGTGAGCTCCAGGCCGTCTCGGACACAGTGGGTCACAGCATGGAGCTGCACACAGAGGAGATCAGCAGCAAGTTATTGGTTTGAACTAACTAGATGATTAAGACAGTGGTGTAACAGACCTTCCTGTGCATCAGAAAAACTTAGAGAGCTTGTGGTAAATACAGATTCCAGGCTGGGCATGGTGGCTCACGCCTGTAATCCGAGCACTTTGGGAGGCTGAGGTGGGTGGATCACCTGAGGTCAGGAGTTCAAGACCAGCCTGGGCAACATGGCAAAACCCTGTCTCTACAAAAATACAAAAACTAGCTAGGTGTGGTGGTACGTGGTCCCATTTACTTGGGAGGCTGCGGTAGGAAGATTGGTTGAGCTCAGGAGGCGAAGGTTGCAGTGAGCTCAGATTATACCACTGAACTCTAGCCTGAGGGACAGAGTGAGATCCTGTCTCAAAAAAACAAATTTTGCATAGCTCGCATACCTCAGACTGCTCTGAGCTATTTTTCTTTTCTTTTTTTTTTTTTACAAGGTCTCACTCTGTTGGCCAGACTGGAGTACAGTGGTGTGATCATAGCTCACTGCAGCCTCCACATGCCCCCACCCCCACCTCAGCCCACCCAAGTAGCTGGGACTACAGGCATGGGCTACCAGGTCTGGGTAATTTTTGTATTTTTTTTGTAGACAGGTTTCGCCATGTTGCCCAGGCTGGTCTCGAACTCCTGAGCTCAAGTTATCTACTTGGGTTGGCTTCCCAAAGTGCTGGGATTACAGGTGTGAGGCACCGTGCCCAGTCTTTTATTTTTTAAGATACAGGGTCTTGCTCTGTCACCTGGGCTAGAGTGCAGTGGCATGATCATAGCTCATTGCAGACTTGAGCTCCTGGGCTCAAGTGACCTCCCACCCCAGCCTCCTGAGGAGCTGGACCACAGGTGTGCACCACTTTGCCTGGCTAATTTTGTTTGTTTTATTTTTTTAGAGATGGTGTCTCACTTTGATGTTCAGTCTGGTCTCGAACCACTAGCAACAAGAGCCTTGGCCTTCCAAAGTGCTGGCATTGGCTGGGCGCAGTGGCTCATGCTTGTGATCTTAGCACTTTGGGAGGCCGAGGCGGGTGGATCACTTGAGGTCAGGAGTTCAAGAGTAGCCTGGCCAACATGGTGAAACTCCGTCTCTACTAAAAATACAAAAATTAGCCGGGCGTGGTGGCGCGCATCTGTAATCCCAGCTACTCGAGAGGCTGAGGCTGGAGAATCGCTTGAACCAGGGAGGCGGAGGTTGCAGTGAGCCGAGATGGCGCCTTGGCACTCCAGCCAGGGCGACAGACCAAGACTCCATCTTAAACAAAAACAAAAACAAAACAAAGTGCTGGGATTAGAGGCAGGAGCCACCCTGCCTGACCCACCCTGCCTGACCAGTGTTACTCTTTATCTTCAGGTTTCTGGAATTTGTGATACAAAGAGCAATGGATAGCCAATCAATAGCTTACGTTATTTTAATGTAAATTCTCCATAACAATTTAGGAACCGCCCTTTCTTCTTTTATTAACAACTGGCCAGCCATGGTGGCTCACGCCTGTAATCCCAGCACTTTTGGAGTCTGAGGAGGGGGGATCCCAAGGTCAGGAGATAGAGACCATCCTGGCTAACACAGTGAAACCCTGTCTCTACTAAAAATCCAAAAAATTAGCTGGGCATGGTGGTGGGCGCCTGTATTCCCAGCTACTCCGGAGGCTGAGGCAGGAGAATTGCTTTAACCTGGGAGGCAGAGCTTGCAGTGAGCCGAGATTGCATCACTGTATTCCAGCCTCGGTGACAGAGTGAGACTCCGTCACAAAAAAAAAAAAAAAATGTAGTAGGATCCTGGGCTCCGAGGAGTCTTTGCAGAGCGGAGCGGTCAGAGCCACCCTGCGTGGCCATTTTTTTTTTTTTTTTTTTTTTTTTGTAGATGGGGGTAGTCTTCCTATGTTACCCAGACTGGGCTCAAATTCCTGGGCTCAAACGATCGATCTCCCCACCTCAGCCTCCAAAAGTGCTGGGATGGCAGGTGTAAGCCACTGTGCCTGGCCCCCAGCTAATTTTTAAATTCAATGCCATACTTTATAGCAGAGAGAAACCCATACCTCCCTACTCCATTTAGACCCCAGTTCCTTTAGGTCTGTCTGTTTCACACAGCCATTATGGAGAATTTTCTCCCACCCTCACCCCTACCCCATACTCCTCAGTTCTTCGACCCCTCTCCCATCCCCGTCTCAGGGCCCATCACTTACTCTTCGTCCTCCTCTGCCCCCTGCAGCGTCTGCTCCTTCCGCTGCTGCCGGCAGATAAGGATGCCCGTGGCAGCCACAGCAGTAGCAATGATGGCGGCGATGATGCCCCCGATGATGCCGCCTGTGGCCCCTGCGCCTGCTGTGTTGGGGGTCTCTGCAAGGAGAGGGACAGCGTGAGGGGGTCTCCAGGAGGAAGCCACAGCTCCTTATTCCAAGCGACCATCCCACCCCACATCATCGCCTGCCTGTCTATGTCCTCTCCCATGGGCAGGGGACATTCTTTCATTCAACTCAAACTGCTGAGCATGAGGAAGGAGCGAGGATGTGTGCCCCGCATGGGAGATGAGTGGAGAACAAAACATACAAAGTGTCTACCTTCATGGAACTTTGATTCTGGTTGGGCAGGGAGAACAACAGTAAGCAAACCAGTACAATAGCTCACATGCCAGATGGGAGTAAGTCACGGGGGATACAAAAATATACAGTGCGGAAGTGATAGGAGGTGCAAAGTGGGGTCCCCGAAGGTAGTGGGAGGGCCTCTACCTTACTGTAAGGTGACAACTGAGCAAGGGCCTGAAAGAGACACCGGGGATGAGTCATGAGAGTGTCTGGGGGTATCGCAGGCAGCGCAAACAGCCAGCGGCCCTGCAGGAGGCTTGTGGGGCTCTATGGTTTTTTTTGAGACGGTCTCGCTTTGTCACCCAGGCTAGAGTGCAGTGGCATGATCACCACCAACTGTAGCCCCAATCTCCTGGGCTCAAGCGATCCTCCCACCTCACCCTCCGGAGTGGCTGGAACTACAGGCATGTGCCGCCAGGCCCAGCTTTTTTTTTTTTTTTTTGAATTTTTTTGTAGAGATGGGGTTTTGCCATGTTGCCCAGGCTGGTCTTGAACTCCTGGGCTCAAGTGATCCTCCCGCCTCGGCCTCCCAACGTTCTGGGATTATGCCGTGCTCGGCCTGCCTTGTATTGTTTTTAAAGAACAGCAAGTAGACTGTGTAGCTGGGGCAGAATGAGGCGGGGCAGAGTGGGAAGATGAGAGGAGAGGAGACAGGACCAGGGGCGGCTAGAAGACAGAGAATGCGGGGACAGAATTCTGGGATCCAGAATCACCTCTGGGGACTAGAATCTCCTTCCACTTATCAGGAAGGGGGTTAGGGCTTGGGGCAGTGACTGACGCCTGTAATCCCAGCGCTTTGGGAGGGCGAGGCGGGCGGATTGTTCAAGACCAGCCAGGGCAACGAGCACAAGACCTCATCTCTAGAAAAAATTTTAAAAATTAGCCGGGGGCTAGCCGGGCGCGTTGGCTCACGCCTGTAATCCCAGCACTTTGGGAGGCCGAGGCAGGTGGATTACCTGAGGTTGGGAGTTTGAGACCAGCCTGACCAACATGGAGAAACCCTGTCTCTACTAAAAATACAAAATGTTAGCTGGGCATGCTAGCGCGCGCCTGTAATCCCAGCTACTCAGGAGGCTGAGGCAGGAGAATTGCTTGAACCTGGGAAGCGGAGGTTGCCGTGAGCCAAGATCGCGCCATTGCACTCCAGCCTGGATAAGAGTGAAACTCCGTCTTAAAAAAAAAAAAAAAAAATTAGCCAGGGGCCAGGCACAGTGACTCACACCTGTCATCCCAGCACTTTTGGAGGCTGAAGTGGGAGGATCGATCGCTTGAGCCCAGGAGTTTGAGCCCAATCTGGGTAATATAGGGAGACCACCCCACTTCTTAAAAAAAAAAAGGCTGGGTGCGTTACTCAAGAGGCTGAGACAGGAGAATTGCTTGAACTTGGGAGGTGGAGGGTGCAGTGAGCCGAGATCGTACCACTGCACTCCAGCCTGGGTAACAGAGCTAGACACCGTCTCAAAAAAAAAAAAAAAAAAAAAAAAAAAAAAGGCAAGACAGGAAAAGGGGTCGAGAAGCGAGAAGCCTGTTTGCTCCTGGGCCTCTCCTTCCTTGCTAGCACCTCCCGTTTCCATTTCTCAAGTCTTTCCTAATGGAAGAGTTTTTGGAGTGGTTACCCGTTTACTTGCCAATTTCCATACTAGACTGTGTGCCTGAGGTTCGGCACACAGTAGGTGTTTGCTGGGTGTGTAAGGAGGACTCAGCATGGCACTGAAGGATCCACTGTGTGCCAGGCGGACCCAATTCCCCGCCCCTGCCCTCCGGTTGTCCGGGTGGGGTGGGTGGGTGAGTACAGACAACAAACAACCAGAGGAAGTAACAAGTATGGAAGGGCCCGTGGGGGTCACGCATGCATCGGCCTCACTCTCCAGATGAGGAGGAAGCTTCCAGAGGACGCTGGACTGTTGGATCTCCACTGCTCCCGTTCCACAGCCTGGCATCCTCTGGAGGGCTTCAGAGGGTGGGGGAGTGAGAGAGAGAGACTGCCCCTCGGTCCACACACACACCTTCATCCTAAACATACTGCTGCTATTCTTGTGGTCATTATGGCCGTGCACACCGGAGGACGGCACTGGGTCTGTGCAGGCCACAGCTGCAGCCCCAGCACTGCCTGGCACAGGGCTTGGTGGGGTCTGTGGAGGTCAATGAGGCTGCATGAGGGCATCACGGGCATGTCCTTACTGGGTCCCACGACAGCCTTGTGAGGCCGATGGAAACACCTGCCCCGTGTTACAGAGGAGGCATGGAGGCTTGGGAGAGCAGAGGTGACGCGGGTAAAAACCTGTCCCTTACTGAGCCTGGGAGTTCAAGGACCAAGGGCCGCCCCTCCCCCCGTCTTTGCTTTTCCAGTTGAGAGGAGCTGGAGGGAGCTGCCGCCACTCCCAGGGAGCCACTGAAAAGTCCCCTGGGGTGATCCCTGGGGGCAAGGATGGAGAAGGAGGGGAGCCACAGTCGGGGTGGCCAGAGGTGGGACTTCCCCAGCACCCCCCGCCTGCCCCATGCCCTCAGGGCCCCTAAGAATGGGAGTGGGGAGCAGCCCTCCCCTCCCGAGACCCCCAGCAACCTGGGGGAGTTGAGGTCTGAGGCTCCACTGGATCACAGCCCTCTGGCCTCATTCTCTCAGGACGCAGGGAACCTGGCTGAGCCCCTGCTGTCCCCACCCCCACCTCCACCCGAGGGCCCAGGAGTCCAGAGAACTCCTGCCTCTGATGGGTCTGGCCACACCATCCAGAAAGGCAGCCTCTGTCCTGGGACCCAGGAGTCCAAATGTCCAGGCCTCTGAGTCCCCAATCCAGTGACCTGAATCCTAGTTGCACGAGCCTTGCGGTTCTCGGCCATCCAATGCGTCTTTCAAGGATCCAAGTGGTCCGAGCCCCACAGCCTTCCCCAGTCTAACCCCTGCCAGGCTCTCGTTCCCCGGGGGCGTGGATCAGCTCTTCCCAGCCCTGGGACCTAGGAGTCCCTGTCCCACCCTCTCTTTCCCCAACATGCAAGGAGGGGGTCTGATGTATTACAAGACACCCCTGATGTTTTCCTCCAAGGCATTTATTAACTCCTGAGTGTCACGGGGCCAGGGGAAGGCTGGAGCCAAAACCAAGTCTCTGGGGGCGGGGGTCCTCTCTGGATCCCCACTACTCAGCTCCCCGGGCTCCCCATGCAGCCCTAGAGACGGGAGAAGTCCAGTGTGCTGTTCCACCTCCCTCCAAGTCCCAAGAAAGTGGGAGGCAGTGTTCCACTCCAGTGTCGTCCAGACGAACAAGTCCAACCAGTCTGGAACCCTAGGCCGGCGTGGTCAGGTCGGGGGCGGGAGGGCCGGGCCTGGCTCTGTCTCTGTCTGTGTCCAGGTCACACATAAACTGCCCGCCGTGAGATGAGGGAGCCGTCCAGCTGGGACTCCATGTCATCCTCGAGTGCTGGGGGTGGAGGCAACATGAGGCCTTTCTCTGCCTTCTCTTCCTCCTCCTCCTCCTCCTCATCCTTGCCATCTGGTTCCATGGGACCAGGGACTACTGGTGTCCAGAAGACGGGGTCCCCATTTCCCAACACCTGAGCTTTCGGATCGTAGAATCCCCCGTCGCCACTGGCTCCTCCTCCTGCTCCTCCAGGGCTCTTCCTCCTCCTCCTCACCCTCAGCAGGATGAAGGCCAAGGACCCCCCAGCCAGAAGCAGCAGCACCAGCAGTGTCCCCCCCACGGCCCCCCACACCAGCGGGCCCACATCTCGGGGCGAGGCCCTGGGGGTTTCTGAGGAGAGAGAGAAGGAGGGGTGAGAGAGAGAGAAAGGGAGACACAAGATCACGAGGATCGCTCTGGGGAGTGAGGGGGTGGGGGAGATGCAGGATAGGCGGGGATGGAGGGAGCGGGAGTGACCAGAATGAGGGGGTGACTCTGGGCAGAAGAATGGAGGAGGAGGAGGAGGGGGGTGGGGAAGCAGAAGCCCCTCCGCCCTTCGCTACAGCCTGAGCACCACTTTGTACAAGGAGGGGGATGCCAACCGGTGGTCCCCAGGTGTTAGTGTTTTGCAAAATTTAAATTGCTAGCCAACCTTTCAAAAATCAGGCGATTTCACTTAAAAATCCAGGTTTCTCTTAGGGGGACAAATCAGATCTAGCAACACCAAACTCCCATGTCTGGCGATCGCCGTAGCCGAGTGGAAGCTGGCTATTTGGATGCAATAGATCTGGCCGCCCGGTCACTGGCCAGGACCCTGGTGCCATCTGACTTCGCAGCCCTCCCTGAATGTGCTGTGGGGTCCTCACAAAGCTATGAGCTTGGGGGCCACACCCCCTCGGGGGAGGACAGCTGGGTTTCAGTGGGAGGCTGTCTGATCCCAAAGCTCTCTGCAGAGGGCCACAGATTCCTGATAATTCTGCCCTCTTGAGTGGCTGGGAGCATTTATTCCAAGTGCCGTGGCTGCCTCATCTCTAGGCCACTTATCCCCAGTGTGTAAAATGGGGTTCTCACAGACCGGGACAGTGGGACTTCCTTAGTGCTCCCTGCAGGGGCTGAGCAGGTGGGGATGGGGGATGGGAGGTAGTGGGGAGGCGGAGAGAGAGAGGAAGCCATGAAGTGCTGAGGAGGGCAGTGTGAGCAGGGAGGGATGGGGCTCCTGGGCCCCAAGCCAGGGACAGAAGTCAATGTAACCAGAACCTACCCACATCCACTTCCCCCATCCCTGCATGCAAGGCATAACTGGGACAGACGGGGGTGGGGGGTTCACCCACACCTGACCCCACCTCTACACCTCGACACACAGGAGGGGCTGAGACCCAGGAAGGACATCTGTTTCTGTTGTTTTCAAACAGGGGGTCATGACCCAGCGGGCTGTCAAATCAGCTTAGTGACTCACAAATAGCATTAAAAAAAGGAGGATAAAATCTTTTTTGGTAGGGGGTAGGGTGGTATATATGTCTCTAACTATACACTGGGTTGAGGAGTGAAACAGATTTTTCTCCTGTGCTGGTCACTAACTGGACCAGGTTGAGCCTATCTTGGGAGGCTTGTCTCTGTTTCTGGAGGTGGCATTGGTGTTTTGGAACTCGAAGCTGAGTCTGTTCATATGTCTAGGGTTCAAAGCTCTGAATCAGGCTTAGTGTGCTGGCTCATACCTGTAATCCCAGCACTTTGGGAGGCCAAAGCTGGAGGAATGCTTTGAGGCCAGGAGTTCAAGACCAGCCTGGCCAACATAGCGAGACCCTGTCTCTATTAAAAATAAAAAGTTCTCTGAGTCTCCCTAAAGATAGATCTGTCCTGTGGTGCGGCGTTCGTATCCTATGTTCGTGCTGCTGTGGACTCCATACTGTGTCTCTGTGACGACTCTGTGTGTGCCTGGATGTGGGTTCGTGGCTCAGAGACCCTCTGAGAGTGACCCCAGGAGCTTTGAGTGTGTCTCCTCTGGCTGTGGCTGTCGGGGCACTCACTGCTTGAGACGGGATTTCTAGAGTGCTTGGAGCATGCACGTTTCTGCAGGCATTATCTGAAGGCACGTGTCTTTGTAATGGTGTTATTGGCTGGGGGTGGCCCTGTGGCCACTGTCGTGGGTAGGTGGGGGTGTCTTTCCACAGCGCTGAGTCTTTCTCTATTGCGTCTGTGTTCTGCAGGCTCTGACCTTGGAGCCACCTGCTGGGTGTGTGGGCAGGGGATCAGCTTGTCAGGTGTATCTGGGGTAGAGGTTAGGGGTGTATTTCCAGTTCGGTGTCTGTCTGGGCGGGTGGAGCTGACCCTCCCCTGGGTGTGCTACTGAGGGCAGGGACTGTGGCTCATTCACCATTGTATTCCCAACCTCAGCAAGAGTGCCTAGCAAACAGGAAACACATATTTGTTGAATGAGAATCTCCCTAACGGACTTTCTGGATAATTTCGGAGGAGTTTCGGGGAGTTTCGGGAGGGTTCCTGGGAAGAAGCTCCTCCCAGGATGTCTTTGATTTTCCGTCTGAGGGTCTGTGAGTGAGGGATGACATTCCTCCGTGTGCAGCCGTTGCTGTCCTGGATTAGTTTTGCCCCCAGCGTGTCTGTGTGACGTCTTCCTCCGGGGACTTATGTGCATCCTCACGCGCCAGGCGAGCCCAGAGCGGGACAGCTGTCTCTCTGGGTTTGCTGTCTGTGACAGTGTTTCCCGTAGGGGTGTCCTATCTCCCTGGCTGTATCTGGATTCCTGAAGAGGTGTCTGTTTTCCCTCGGGTGTCCCTGCAAGTGTGTGTGCATTCTAAGATTATGACTCAGTAAGGGGGTCTGCTTCTGTCCCTCCGTGGCTAGTCTGTCTGCATGACAGGGACAGCCCCTGTCTGGGAGTTTGTCCCTACACCTTCAGTCATGTTTCTGGGGGGCCTGCACATTGCGTGTTTGCACAGGTGTGCTGCATGGACCGTCGCCCTGGCGTGTTTCTAAGAATGTCTTTTTCTGGCCAGGCGCAGTGGCTCATGCATATAATCCCAGCACTTCGTGAGGCCGAGGCGGGTGGATCACCTGAGGTCAGCAGTTCGAGACCAGCCTGACCAATATGGTGAAACCCTGTCTCTACTAAAAATACAAAACTTAGCCGGGTTTGGTGGTGAGCGCATATAGTCCCAGCTACTCAGGAGGCTGAGGCAGGATAATTGCTTGAACCCGGGAGGCGGAGGTTGCGGTGAGCTGAGATTGCGCCACTACACTTCAGCCTGGGCGACAGAGCGAGACTCCATCTCAAAAAAAAAAAAAAAGAATGTCCCTTTCCAGGTGTCATCTGGCTTCGTTCAGTCTATCTTGGCTGGTGCCACTGTCCTCCTGGGTGTGTGTCTTGGTGACAATGGGTTTGAGCGTGCAGGGTTACCATCCAGGTGAGTGTCTGGATTCTGATGCATCTCTGCAACAGAATTTCTCAGCACAGGGAGTGTCTGTGGCTGTGGATCCTGCCAGCTGTGGCTCTGACAGGAGGGGTCTCTGGCCCTATCTCCAGGACCCAGGGGTCTCTCTGTCCCAGGAAGCATGGCTCTGTTAACAGTCCCGGCCGCGCTCTAGGTGTGTGGCCCTGCAGTTGTGAGTTTGACCCAGTTTCCATCACTGGGTGATGGTCTGGCTTTGTGCTTTTCCTCTTTGGCTCCGTGCCTTGGGGCCGGATTGTGTTTCTGGGGGTGGGAGCTCTTGGTTTCTGTCTCTTTGAAGTTTGCATGCCTGACTCTAGGTGTGCGTCTTTCTCAGGAGCTGGAGCCCAGGGCAGCTTCCTCGGGTCTATTCGTGAGGACCCTACCCAGGCCTCTACTTTCTAGGAACCCCGAGCAAAGTCCTCAACCCCCCAACTCTGCTGCCTTCACCTACCCCGACACCCCAAATCCAGACCCCAGTCTGAGGCCACGAGGGGAAGGCCAACCCTCATCTCCCCTCAGCCAGGCAGGTCTGCATCCCTCCCAGGTCGGCGGCGCAGCCTCCCCCAGTGCAGCCCCAAGTCCTGAAGGGCAGAACTCCAGGGGAGCGGACCCAGGTCTCCACACACGGCCCCCAAGACCCACTCACCTCGGACAAAGATGACCTGCTCAGCGCGGCCCATGCCCACGGCATTGGTGACTGTGCAGACGAAGGTGGTATTGAACAGACTGTCCACTGCGTGGATGACCAGCTGGGAGCCCTGGGCCACTGCGGAGGTCGGGAAGGTGCCTGAGGTCCTGGAGGGGTGTGGGGTCAGGTGAGAGGGATACCAAGGTCGAGAGGGGAGCACAGGCCTCATCCCTAAAGATACACCCACCAGGAGCCAAGCTCCAGGGACCTAAGTACTCCCGGAGACCCCAAATTGCCAAAATGCAAGCTCCCTTCATCCTGGAGGACTTAGGAATTTAGGCCCAGCCCCTCCTCCCTCAGATCCAGGAGTCCAGGCCCCCAGCCCCTCCTCCCTTAGATCCAGGAGTCCAGGCCCCCAGCCCCGCCTCCCTCAGACCCAGGGTTCTGAGACCACGTGACTCACGTGCTCCAGTCATAGCCCGTGGGCTCTGGGTTGCTGCGGACGTCACAGCTCAGGGTGGCATCAGTACGGCCGAGGTACCAGTTGTCATCATAGCCGGAGATGGACACTTCAGGAGGGTCTGGGGGAAATGGGGGGACTGGATCAGCAAGGAGGAGAATCCCAGAGCGGGTGGACAAGTTAGCAGATAGACAGGAATGCTAAAGAAACGGGGCGGGTTGGCAGGAGGTACAGCAGTCAAAACTGTCTGGGGCAAATCAGTCCAGGCTGTTGTGTGCTGATGTCAGTGTAGACACTGTTCAGGGAAACCACTGTGGATAATTTTGTGGGAGTTATTGTTCAGTGCTGGCAGTGCCTAAGGGAGCCACTACAAATAATGTGTGTGTGTGTGTGTGTGTGTTTTTGAGACAGGATCTTGCTCTGTTGCCCAGGATGGAGAGCAGTGGGGTGATCCTGGTTTACTGCAAACTCCACGTCCTGGGCTCAAGCCATCCCTCCGCCTCAGCCTCCCAAATGGCTGGGATTACAGGCATGTACCACCACGTCCAGCTAATTTTGGTATTTTTAGTACAGACAGGGTTTCACCATGTTGCCCAGGCTAGTCCCGAACTCCTGACCTCAAGTGATCTGCCCGCCTTGGCCTCCCAAAGTGCTGGGATTGCAGGTGTGAGCCACCGCACCCGGCCTGTGTGTGTGTTTTTGGCATGGAGGGAGGATGTCAAAACAGGGTTTGGGCAACCAGTGTAGGTCCCGGGAGGAAAGTGGCACAGACGAGGCTCAGGGGAGCTGTTGCACTTATGGGCGCACGTGATGCATGTTGCCTGGGGGAGCTGGTGTAGACTTGGCTTAGGGAATCTGTGTAAGTGGAGGCATTGCCTGGGGAGCTAGTGTAGACAACATTGAGTTGGGATATGTGGTCATTTTGGACAGTGGTGGAAGAGGTGGTTAAGCCAGTATTTGAGGGATTCTGTGTGAAGAGTGCCAGGGTGGCCTCTCTGGGTAACATTACGAGGTGTGAGTATAGGCAGTTTCTGGAAGAGCTAGCAAAAAACCCAGTGGGAGGGGTCAGGATCAACAGGGCCCGGGGGGTGGAGCCTGTAATGTAATATATAATATAATGTAATTATATTATATTAAATAACAATAATAAATAATGACAAAATATATGTTAATATATAATATATAATTTATATATTTTATATAATATATAATATATAAAAATATAATAATAAATAATAAATAATAAATACAATGTAAATAATATCAAGGATCAGGGGTCGGTGTAGAGACTCTGGGAGACTCAGTATAGATGGCACCTAGGGAAGTCAAGGCAGAAGTATGGGAAGGTGTGGAGACGATGTTAGGTTGGGCAGTGTAGACATGTAGACATGTGGACATGGCCCAGCATGATTGATCTAACGGTCCAGGGGCAGTGTCAACCGGGGTCCATGGGAGCCAGAAAAGACACTGTTGGGGGCAGCTCTTTGCTGGTAAACCAACTCTCTGGGGAATAAAAGAAGCCCCCATTTCTAGGGTTTGCCAATTTCCTTGGTGTAAATATTCCCCAAGGTTGATTTCAAGCTACCGAGAAGACTTCATTGGATGTGGAATTGGAAAGAAATGTATCAAACTGGCTCTTGCAAGCCCATCCCAGGTTACCACAGACTAGGCACAGCATGCAGGAACCCAGTAAAGCCAATGTAGACAATGAGGGGGAAGTATGTAGATTTGCCCATGGGAGCCAGTGTAGACAATGGCAGGAAGGTAGTGCAGAATTTGGCTTCAGGGAACCCACGTAGACAACATTCAGAGACAATGTAGACAGTGCTTTAGAGAAGCCAGTGTAGGCAGTTTTGATGGGGGAGGGGTCACCCCCGATACACTCACAGCGTACAGAGAGGGTCACAGGTATCAGGGCTGGTTCCTCGAAGCTCTCATGCTCCACTTTGCAGGTGACCGTGACACCATCTGCTCGGCCCGAGGGCACCAAGGTGAAGCGGCTGGTGACAGTGACAGTTCCGGCCAGGGTCCCTGACACCTGAGTCTCTTTGGCTTCCCAGTCCAGGGATGAGAGCCAGGAGATCCGGGCAGGTGGGCGGCCCTCTTTGGAGATGCAGAGGGCCACTGTCGTAGGGTCCTGGCTGAACGTGACCTTCTGGGCCTCAGCTTGGTTCTTGGGCTTGGCTGGGGAGAGGAGGAGAGGGGGTGCGTCACTCCTCACCGGCAGTCATTCAACAAACACTCAGCAGAGGAGCAGGGTGGTTAGGCCCTAACTGCCGGGGTTCCAATCCCAGCTCTGCTGCTTATCAGCGGCCTGGCTTGGGATAAGTGGTTTTGCAACTCTGTAGCTGTTTCTTGTTTTGTAAAATGGGGATAATGAAAGTACCCACCCCTAGGATTGCTGTGTGAATTAAATAATACATTGATAGGTAAATGGCTTAGGGTAATGTCTGGCCTGCACTGCCCTATCCAAGTGTTGCCCATTTTATTTTACTTTATTTATTTTTTAGAGACAGGGGCCCGCTCTGTCACCTGGTCTCGAGTGCAGTGGTGTGATCATAGCTTGCTGCAGCCTGCACCTCCTAGGCTCAAGTGATCCTCCCGCCTTGGCCTCCAGAGTAGCTAGGACCATAGGCATGCACCACCATGCCCGGCTAATTTTTAAATTTTTTTGTAGAGATGAGTTCTTGCTATGTTGCCCAGGCTGATCTCAAACTCCTGAGCACAAGCCATCTTCCCACCTCGGCTCCCCAAAGCTCTGAGGTTACAGGCGCCTGGCCTGGCCATTTCGGTATACTGTCTCTTCGCCCTGCCAGAGATGCAGAGACAGGGTCCAAAAGCCTAGAGGAGGCTGAGATTTAAAAAAAAGCTGGTCGGGCGTGGTGGTTCACACCTGCAATACCAGCACTTTAGGAGGCTGAGGAGGGTGGATCACTTGAGGCCAGGAATTTGAGACCAGTCTGGCCAACATGGTGAAAACTCATCTCTACTGAAAATACAAAAATTAGGATGGGCGCAGTGGCTCATGCCTGTAATCCCAGCACTTTGGGAGGCCCAGGTGGGCAGATCACCTGAGGTCAGGAGTTCTAGACTAGCGTGGCCAACGTGGTGAAACCCCATCTCTACTAAAAATGCAAAAATTAGCTGGGCGTGGTGGCAGGTGCCTGTAATCCCAGGTACTCGGGAGGCTGAGGTAAGAGAATTGCTTGAACCTGGGAGGCAGAGGTTGTAGTGAGCCGAGATCGTGCCACTGCACTCCAGCCTGGGTGACAGTGAGACTCTGTCTCCAAAAGAAAAAAAAAAAAAAGGAAAAAAAAAAAGCAAATCAAGGCCGAGCGAGTAACTGAGTACTGTGGTTCAAAGGTCCAGCTGGAAAGGCCCCCTGTTCCTTTTCCTGTAATCACCATTAGATGATTGAATGACTGGAAGTGTGATAAAGGCAGAAAATCTCAAAGCCGTTTCTTTTTTTTATACCCTTTCCACCTCATTCTCTTGGAAAACATGGAAAAAAATCACAAAAACAAAACTCCAGGAAGAATAGCAGCTCATGCTTATGATGTGTGTCCCCCACCCAGACTCACATCTTCTGTTGCTTTCTGGACCTGGGTATCCACCTCTGAACTTCTCAACACGGTCTGACTCTCCTCTTCTTCCCAGCTCTCCCTTCCCACCGCCTTCTCCCCTGACCATCGTGGAGCATCCAACAAGCCTCCCCACATCCTCCTGGCCGCCCTCCAAGCTGTTAGAATAGTGACTCAGGGCCCGAGCCCACCACTTCCCCATGGCCACCTCCCCTGGCCACTCCACATGCTCCCCATCCACGCCCTCCTCAGTCTCTGCCTCCACCCACTTTGGGGTTTTGGTTGGTGATTTTGTGCCTGGATTGCTTTGGCCTCCTTCTCCAGACCCCACTCCAAGCCCCACTTCGTCAAGGGCACTTTCCTGACCGCCGACTCTGGCCAACTATTCCTTGGTGGCTCACGCATCATGAAGACAGAGGCTTTGGCTGTTTTGTTCCTTACTTCTGCACCAGTGTGTATACGGAAGCTCTTGAGGTTATCTCTCTCTCTCTCTTTTTTTTTTATTAATTTGAGACAGAGTCTTGCTGTCACCCAGGATGCAGTGCAGTGGTGCAATCTCAGCTTACTGCAACCTGCCCTTGCTGGTTTCAGCAATTCGCCTGCCTTAGCCTCCTGAGTAGCTGGGATTACAGGTGTGCGCCACCATTCCTAGCTAATTTTTATTTGTAGTTTTGGAGACCCTCTCTCCAAGAAACAAACAAACAAACAAAAGCTCACTTGCAAGAGCTGCTTGCCTTGGCCCCTGCTTGAAGTGTATATTCAGGGCAACTTCAATCTATGCTCCCAGGTGGTCATCCTCAAGCTTTGGGCTTGATTAAACCCTACACTTAATCATATTTTCTTTTCTTTTTTTTTTTTTTTTTGAGATGGAGTCTCGCTCTGTCGCCCAGGCTGGAGTGCAGTGATGCGATCTCGGCTCACTGCAAGCTCCGCCTCCTGGGTTCATGCCATTCTCCTGCCTCAGCCTCCCAAGTAGCTGGGACTACAGGCACCCGCCACCACGCCCGGCTAATTTTTTTGTATTTTTAGTAGAGACAGGGTTTCACCGTGTTAGCCAGGATGGTCTCAATCTCCTGACCTCGTGATCCGCCTGCCTCGGCCTCCCAAAGTGCTGGGATTACAGGCGTGAGCCACTGCGCCTGGCCCTTAATCATATTTTCTGAGTCTCATTATTTATTTATTTATTTTGAGACAGAGTTTTGCTCTTGTTGCCTCTCAGCCTCCCAAAGTGCTGGGATTACAGGTGTGAGCCACCGTGCCCAGCCCTGAAGTTATCTCTGGATGAGAACAAATGATTGCACAAGAAGAGAGGCGTTTGTGAGGGTGGGGAGGAGAAGAGCTGTCCTTTGTATTATGGAAAACGGCTGTGGTTTCATGTGTTACTGGAAAGGGAAGTGTTTACTCAAGGATAGCACAGGGTGACCTTCTCAGACGCTCTGGGCTGAGAAGGGGGAAGAAAAGGCATCCAGAGTGACGTGGCTTCTGGGAAGTTGCCTAGGGAAGGTGGGCTCCCAGGGGACTTCCAACATATTTTTTTTTTTTTCCAGACAGAGTCTCACTCTGTCGCCCAGGCTGGAGTATAGTGGCGCGATCTCGGCTCACTGCAAGCTCCGCCTCCCGGGTTCAAGCCATTCTCCTGCCTCAATCTCCCGAGTAGCTGGGACTAAGGCACCCGCCACCACGCCTGGCTAATTTCTTGTATTTTTAGTAGAGATGGGGTTTCACCGTGTTAGCCAGGATGGTCTCGATTTCCTGACCTCGTGATCCGCCCGCCTCGGCCTCCCAAAGTGCTGGGATTACAGGAGTGAGCCACCACGCCCAGCCTCAAGATTTAAAGAAAGAGCATTCGTAGCTGGATGTGGTGACTCATGCCTGTAATCCCAGCTATGCAGGAGGCGGAGGTAGGAGGATCCCCTGAGCCCAGGAGTTCGAGTCTAGCCTGGACAATGTAGTGAGACTTTGTCTCAAAAAAAGAAAAAAAAAAAAAAAGAAAAAGGAAAAGAAAAAAAAGCATCCTTCAAAAAAAATCTTCCCTGCCTTCTCTATTTTTGCCAAGTATCAGTCACCTTCCCGCTGGGAGTCCTATTTTTTTTTTTTTTTTTTTGAGACAGGGTCTCGTGCTGGAGTGCAGTGGTGCAATCTTGGCTCACTTGCAATCTCTGCTTCCCAGGCCCAAGCGATCCTCCCACCTCAGCCTCTTGGGTAGCTGGGACTACAGGTGTGTGCTACCATGCCCAGCTAATTTTTTTTTTTCTTGTAGAGATGGGGCCTCACCATGTTGCCCAGAGTGGTCTGAAACTCCTGACCTCAAAGCGATCTGCCCACCTTGGCCTCCTAAAGTGCTGGGATTACAGGCGTGAGCCACCGCACCAGGCCTGGGACTCCTCTCTGATCCTGCTTCCCCCTCAATCCATGGGCAAGCCCAGCACCTACTATCTTCTAAAAACACCACTATATGCCGCCCGCTTCCCTCTGCCCCCCACTGCCTCATCCGTCTTCCCAGCAATGCCTCTTCTCCCCTCTCGTCCCAGCTCCCTTCTACCTCCGTCCACTCCTCCAATCACTCCTCATACTGCTGCCGGTCATTTTTTGCAACCTCAAACGTTTGTCCAGATCTCTCCTGTGGCTTGACACCTCCCATGGCTCTTAACCATGCTGAGGGCATAGTCCAGCCTCCTCGCCTCCACCTGTGAAGCCCGTGTAATGTGGCCCCGCTGAGGGTCACCCAAGCCCTTGCCTATCCTCACCAGCCCCCTTTCCATTCCTGGAACGCGCCCAGCTCCCATCTCATGCCCACCTCCCAGGTTTCTGTGCCCGTGCCCCTCTGCTATGCCCAAAGGTAGCTCCTTCTCAGACTCCAGGACTTGACTAAGACGCCTTCCCTGCACATCCTATCTCAATGAGGCCACTATGTCCCCTACTTCTAAGCCGTTTTACTTCCTGCCCGGACTGGACTTGTTTTAAGACAGGGTCTCGCTCTCTTGTCCAGGATGGAGTGCAGTAGCACAATCACAGCTCACTGCAGCCTCAACCTCCTGGGCTCAGGTGATCCTCCCACCTCAGTCTCTCGAGTAGCTGAAATTACAGGTAAGTCACTGAGCCTGGTTAATTAAAACAATTTTTTTTTCTTTCCTGGCCAGGCTCAGTGGCTCATGCCTATAATCCCAGCACTTTGAGAGGCCCAGGTGGACGGATCACCTGAGGTCGGGAGTTCAAGACCAGCCTGGCCAACATGGTGCAACCCCGTCTCTACTAAAAATACAAAAAAATTTAGCTAGGTGTGGTGGTGGGAGCCTGTAATCCCAGCTACTTGGGAGGCTGAGGCAGGAGAATTGGTTGAACCTGGGAGGCGGAGGTTGCAGTGAGCCGAGATCGCGCCACTCCACTACAGCCTGGGTAACAAGAGCAAAACTCTGTCTCAAAAAAAAAAAAAATTTTTTTTGTCATTGAGACAAGAGTCTTACTATGTTGCCTAGGATGGTCTCAAATTCCTAGGCTCAAGGGATCCTCCCACCTCGGCCTCCCTGAGTGCTGGGGTTATGGGCGTGAGCCACAGCACCCGGCCCCACCCGGACTTTGTAGTTGCCTTACCCTGTGGTTTCTCAGCTCCCATTCTTTCCCCTCCCAACACAGCCAGGAGGAGCTGGTGAGAACCCAAGCCAGATCAAACCTGTCTGCTGCTAAGAACCTACTACAGCTCTTATCCTCCCTGGGCAAAAGCCAAAGGCTTCTTATAGTCCACAAGGCTTTTGCCAATCTGTCCCCATCCTCTCCTTGACTTTATTGCTTCCTACTTTCCCCCACTCATATGTCTCCAGCCACCCTGACTTCCTTCCTGGCCCTCAAATACTCCAGGTATTCCTGTCTCAGGGCCTTTGTACTTGCCATTCCGTCTGCCTGGAACGCTCTTCCCTTAGATACCCAGAGGGCTCCTCCTCTCCTAGTTTCTGCCTAAATATCCCCAGACCTCCTTAGCTAGAATTGCAACTTGGCCCTCTCCAACTTCCATGGCCCCTTTAACTGCCTGACTTACTCTTTTATTTATTTATTAGAGATAGGGCCTCACTCTGTCACCCAGGCTAGAGTGTAGTGGCATGATCACAGCTCACCGCAGCCTCAAATTCCTGGTCTCAAGCGATCCTCCCACCTCAGCCTCCCAAGTAGCTGGGACCACATCTGCGCACCACCATGGGCTCAAGCAATCTACCTGCCTCAGCCTCCCAAAGTGCTTGGATTATAGTCGTGAGCCACCACACCCAACCTCAATACTTTTTTTTTTTTTAGACCGAGTCTTGCTCTGTCACCCAGACTAGAGTGCAGTGGTGGCACAATCTCGGCTCACTGCAACCTCTGCCTCCTGGGTTCAAGCGATTCTCCTGACTCAGCCTCCTGAGTATCTGGGATTATAGGCACGGGCCACCACACCCAGCTAATTTTTTATTTTTCGTAGAGACAGGGTTTCACCATGTTGGCCAGGCTGGTCTTGAACTCCTGACCTCAGGCGATCTGCCCATCTCGGCCTTCCAAAGTGCTAGGATTACAGGGGTGGGCCACTGCGCCCAGCCAATACTTATTTTTTTGTTTTTCCCAAGAATGCCTGGTTGCCTGCCACATCCTCAGCACACAGAAAAGCATCTGGCACGCGGTAGGTGCTTAATGAACATTTGCTGATGGATGGAAACCCACAGAGAATGTGAACCTCACAGCTGAAGCCAAGAGAGAAACTGACCCGCAAGGGGATGCTCCCACACCGCGGCCCTCCCACCTCCTTGCCTCCCGCCCTTACCCTGCTCACCTATGACTCTGAGCCAGGTCATCCCTCGGACGGACCCCTTGGGGAAGGTGGCAAACTCGCAAGTGTAGTTGCCCTCGTCCTCCACCGTGAGCCCGTGGAGGGCCAGCGTGGCGTCCTGGAGCTCTGCCTCTGTGTCTTGCCCAGTGCTCTGCTTGGCAGAGACGAAGGACAGCCGCTCGCTGCCAGGCTTCGGGCTGGGGAAGCTGGGACCCATCTTAGGGTGGAAGGCGGCCACATTCTGGTGGTTCGCAGGTGCATCTGGGCGCTGCCAGGTCACCAGGGAGATGTACAGTCCAGGAACAGGTGGCAGCAGGTGGCACGGCAGCTCCACGGTGCCCCCGAGCTGGCCTCGCACCTCGGGTAGCACTTGAACTCGCACATCCTGGGCTCCTGGGCAGAGAGGACAGAGAGTGAAGTAGTCGGGTGGGGGAGGGACCCAGACACCTCCAGGCAGGGCCACCACGAAGGGGGCCCCACGGGAAATGCAGGCTCCGCATGCAACGTAGGCAGCTTCGCAGCATCCTGATTCCAAAAAAGCCACCTGGAAAAGACATTTTAGGGAAGACTAAAATGACTATTCTATTATACAACTATAACGTGTACTATGAGTTCATATTACATATGATTTTGGAATTGCTGTTCATGTTCCGAGGTGTGATAATTAAATTGTGGCTGTGCACACACTATTTTTCCCAGAAGATATGAAGTCGCAATGTCATGATCTCAAGTTACTCCTAAATGGTTCAGCAAAAACCAAAATATGTCACCCATTGTCAAGTGGGTCTAGGTGGAGAAGGTGAGGGAGGCTCCAGGCCATTCTTCTTTTTTTTTTTGAGACGGAGTCTTGCTCTGTTGACCAGGCTGGAGTGCAGTGGCGCGATCTCGGCTCACTGCAAGCTCCGCCTCCTGGGTTCACGCCATTCTCCTGCCTCAGCCTCCTGAGTACCTGGGACTACAGGCGCCTGCCACCATGCCTGGCTAATTTTTTTCTTTTTTGTATTTTTAGTAGAGATGGGGTTTCACTGTGTTAGCCAGGATGGTCTCAATCTCCTGACCTCGTGATCCGCTTGCCTCAGCCTCCCAAAGTGCTGGGATTACAGGCGTGAGCCACCGCGCCCGGCCACCAGGCCATTCTTACCTGTATTTGTATGTTTAAAAGTTGACATGATGGCCAGGGTAGTGGCTCAAGACTTCAATCTCAGCACTTTGGGAGGCCAAGGTGGGAGGAATGCTTGAGCCTAGGAGTTCAAGAACAGCCTGGGCAACAGAGTGAGACCCTGCCTTTAAAATTAAAAAAGAAAATAAAAAAATAAAAGTTTTCTTTTCTTTCAACTACATTTTTTTTCTCAGACAGGGCCTCACTTTCACCCAGGCTAGAGTGCAGTGGGCCACCCAGCTCACTGCAGCCTTGACCTCCCAGGTTCAAGCTGGGACTACAGGCATGTACCACCACACCTGGCTAATTTGTATTTTTTGTTTGTTTGTTTTGGTAGAGACAATGTCTCGCTATGTTGCCCAGGCTGGTCTTGAACTCCTGGACTCAAGTGATCCTCCCACCTCAGCCTCTCAAAGTGCTGGGATTATAGGCGTGAGCCACTGTACCCAGCCCACCCCAAAATTTTCATAAGATTTTTTTTTGGGGGGGGGGAATCCTCTGAAAATAAATCAATAAAAAAAAACTTTCATAAAATACATTTTAAAACATTTAAAGGCTGAGTATTGTCTTCATCCCCCCTCAGTAATATACTTTCTCTCACCTTCCTATGAAACCTACAGACCTCCTACATAGCATTTTTTCTCAAGTTTCTTTTTTTTTTTTGAGACTGAGTCTCGCTCTGTTGCCCAGGCTGGGGTGCAGTGGAGCAATCTTGGTCACTGCAACCTCCATCCCTGGTTCAAGGGATTCTTGTGCCTCAGCCTCCTGAGTAGCTGGGATTACAGGCGCCCGCCACCATGCCTGGCTAATTTTTGTATTTTTAGTAGAGATGGGCTTTCACCACGTTGGCCAGGCTGGTCTCGAACTCCTGACCTCAAATGATCAGCTCCCCCCTTGGCCCTAAGTTTCTATTTTTTTATTAAAATAAAAATTTTAAAATTATTATATTTTTAGCAGGTGCAAGTGCCAGTTTCTTACATACATATATTGCATAGAGGTGAAGTCTGGGCTTTTAGCATATCTATCACCTGAATAGCAAACAGCGTACCCAACAGTTAATTTTTCTTTTTCTTTTTTGAGACAGGGTCTCACTCTGTCTCCCAGGCTGAAGTGCAGTGGCACAATCTTGGCTCACTGCAACTTGAGTGGCTGGGACTGCAGGCATGTGCCACCAGTGCCCGGCTAATTTTTGTTTTTGTAGAGATAGGGTTTTGCCATGTTGCCCAGGCTGGTCTCAAACTCCTGAACTCAAAGTGAGCAGCCCGCCTCAGCCTCCCAAAGTGCTGGGATTATAGGCATGCACCAATGCACCTGGCTTCCAACAGTCAATTTTTCTTTTTTTTGAGACAGACTCTCGCACTGTTGCCCAGGCCGGAGTGCAGTGGTGTGATCTCGGCTCACTGCAACCTCCACCTCCCAATTTCAAGCAATTCTCCTGCCTCAGCCTCCCGAGTAGCTGGGATTACAGGCGCACACTACCATGCCCGGCTAATTTTTTTTTTTTTTTTTTTTGTATTTTTAGTAGAGACGGGGTTTCACCATGTTAGCCAGGATGGTCTCAATCTCCTGACCTCGTGATCTGCCGCCTCGGGCTCCCAAAGTGCTGGGATTACAGGCGTGAGCCACCGCGCCCGGCCAATTTTTTAATATTTTTAATAGAGATGGGTTTTCACTATGTTGGCCAGGCTGGCCTCGAACGCCTGACCTCGTGATCCACCCGTGTCGGCCTCCCAAAGTGCTGGGATTATAGGTGTGCGCCACTGTGCCCAGCCTCCAACAGTTAATTTTTCAACCCTCACCTGTTTCCCTCCCTCCCACCTTTTGTAGTCTCCACTGTCCATTATTCCAATCTTTGTGTATCTGCTGTTTAGATTCCACTTATAAGTGAGAACATGTGGTATTTGACTTTCTATTTTACTCAGGATAATGGCCTCCAGTTCCATCCGTGTTGGTGCAAAAGACATGATCCCATCCTTTTTTATGGCTGTGTAGTATTCCATGGTAGACATATACCACATTTTCTTTCTTTTTTTTTTTTATTGTTCCAGGATACATGTGCAGGTTTCTTTTTTCTTTTCTTTTTTTTTTTTGAGACGGAGTCTCACTCTTTTGCCCAGGCCTGAGTGCAGTGGTGCCATCTCGGCTCACTGCAAGCTCTGCCTCCTGGGTTCACACCATTCTCCTGCCTCAGCCTCCCGAGTAGCTGGGACTACAGGTGCCCGCCACCACACACAGTGAATTTTTTTGTATTTTTAGTAGAGACGGGGTTTCACCGTGTTACCCAGAATGGTCTCGATCTCCTGACCTCGTGATCCGCCGCCTCGGCCTCTCAAAGTGCTAGGATTACAGGCGTCAGCCACAGTGCCCGGCCTGTACATTTTCTTTATCCAGTCTATCCATGATGGGCATTTGGATTGAGTCCATGTCTTTGGTATTGTGAATAGTCCTGCAATGAACATACGCATACATGTATCTTTGTAATAGAATGATTTATATTCTTTTGGGTATATACCAGTAATGGGATTGCTGGGTCAAATGGTATTTCTGGTTCTAGATCTTTGAGGAATCGCCATACTGTCTTCATAATAGTTCAACTAATTTACATTCCCACCAACAGTGTAAAAGCATTCCTATTTCTCCACAACCTTGCCTGCATCTGTTGTTTCTTGACTTTCTGATAATGGCCATTTTGACTGGTGTGAGATGGTATCTCATTGTTTTGATTTGCATTTCTCAACGATCAGTGATGTTGAGCATTTTTTTCATGTTTGTTGGCTGCATGACTGTCTTATTTTGAGAAGTGTCTGTTCGTGTCCTTTGCCCACTTTTTTAGGTTTTTCTTTTCTTGTAAATTTGTTTAAATTCCTTGTAGGTTCTGGATGTTAGACCTTTGTCAGATGGATAGATTGCAAAAATGTTCTCCCACTCTGTAGGTTGTCTGTTCACTCTGAGGATAGTTTCTTTTGCTGTGCAGAAGCTTTTTAGTTTAATTAGATCCCATTTGTCAATGTTTGCTTTTGCTGCACTGCTTTTGGCAATTTCGTCATGAAATCTTTGTAGATATAGACCACATTTTCTTTATCCAATCCTCCATTCATCGATGGACACTTAAGTTGATTCCATATCTTTGCTGTTGTGGATAGTGCTGCAATAAACATACAAGCGCAGGTGTCTTTTTGATATAATGATGTCTTTTCCTTTGGGAGGATACTCAGTGGAATACTGGACCAAATGGTAGTTCTATTTTTAGTTCTTTGAGAAATCTCCATGCTGTTTGCCATAGAGGCTGTACTAATTTACATTCCCATCAACAGTGGGTAAGCGGTCCCTTTACTCCAAATCCTTGCCAGCATCTGTTTTTTTAGACTTTTTAGTAACAGACATTCTGACTGAGGTGAGATGGCACCTCATTGTGGTTTAAATTTGCATTTCTCTGATGATTAATGATGTTGAGCATTTTTTCATGTTTGTTGGCTGCCTGTATGTCTTCTTTAGAAAAATGTCTCTTCGGGTCCTTTGCTCATTTTTTACGTAGTTTTTTTTTTTTTTAAACAGCTTTATCGAGATATAAATTCTTACGCTACACAATTCACCCATTTAAAGTATACAATTAAGGCTGGGTGCAGTGGCTCACACCTGTAATTCCAGCACTTTGGGAGACCGAGGTGGGTGGGCCACTTGAGGTCAGGAGTTTGAGACCAGCCTGGCCAACACGGTGAAATACCCTGTCTCTACTAAAAATATAAAAATTAGCCGGACGTGTTCACTTGAACCCAGGAGGCGGAGGTTGCAGTGAGCCGAGATCGCGCCTCTGCACTCCAGCTTGGGTGATAAAGTGAGACTCTGTCTTGAAAAAAGAAAAGAAAAGAAAAAACAATATATATATATAATTTTTTTATAAAAAAGTAAAATAAAAAATACAGTACAATTCAGTGGCTTTAAGTATATTTGGAGTTTTACATCTGTTACTATAATCAGTTTTAAGGTATTATTTTTTGAGACAGGATCTCACTCTGTCCATGCTGGCGTGCAATGGCGCGATTTCTGCTCACTGCAAACCGTCTCTGGGGCCGAAGTGATCCTCCCACCTCAGCCCCCCAAGTAGCTGAGACTACAGGTGCGAGCCACCAAACCCAGCTAATTTTGTATTTTTTGTAGAGATGGGGATTCATCATGTTGCTTAGGCTCCTGAGCTCAAGCGATCCACCTGCCTCGGCCTCCCAAAGTGTTCGGATTACGGGCATGAGCCACTGCGCCCAGCCTGGGCATTTTTATAATTCCCTAAGTAACCCCCTTATCCATTAAGCAGTCACTTCCCATTCCCCCAGCCACGATGCAACTTTCTGTCTCTGTTGATGTGCCTGTTCTGGACATTTCATGTAATAGACTATGTAGCCTTTGTGTCTGGCTTCTTTCACTTGGCATCTTGTTTTCCAGGTTCATCCATCTGTAACACGTGTCGGCGCTTCACTCTTCTTTAAGGCTCAATAATATTCCACTACATGGACGGACCACATTTTGTTTATCCATTCAGCCGCTGATAGGCATTGAGGTTGTTTCAACTTTTTGGCTCTGATAAATAAAGCTGCTGGGATCATGCAAGTTCAAGTTTTTATGTGGACGCATGTTTGCAGTTCTCAGCCAGCCTAAGTGGTTTCTCACCTTTTTTTTTTTTTTTTGGAGACGGAGTCTTGCTCTGTCACCCAGGTTGGAGTGCAGTGGCACGGTCTCAACTCACTGCAACCTCTGCCTCCTGGGTTCAAGCGATTCTCCTGCCTCAGCCTCCTGAGTAGCTGGGATTACAGGTGCGAGCCACTACGGTCCGGCTGATTTTTGAATTTTTAGTAGAGACCAGAGTTCACCATGTTGGTCAGGCTGGTTTCAAACTCCTGACCTCAGGTGATCCACCCGCCTTGGCCTCCCAAAGTGCTGGGATTACAGGCGTGAGCCACGGCGTGTGGCCCATGTTTTCTCACTTTTAATATAAACAAGAACAAGAACAAATCTTCCTCTGCTGTGCACGGCAGTACAGCATGGCGACTGAGTGGCCCATAGTTCATGGGTTTGAATCCTGGCTCTGCGACCTTGTGCAGGCCACTTAACCTCTCTGTGCCTCAGTTTCCCCAGCTGTGATGTGAGGTTAATAATAGTGCCTGCGTCCCAAGGGCTGTTTAAAGATTAAAGAATAGCTGTGGAACACTCAGCATAGGGCCCCAGGAAATGAGAGGTCAGTGCTTGCTAAGTAAACATAGGAAGCTCAGTTTAATTACAGGTGGCCTTGGCACTCAGCCCCCAGGCCAGGAAAGGCCAGGGCACAAGCCTCATTTCGAGGGCCAACACCACTGCCCAGCTCTGTCTGATGGAGATGGGCCATGGAGGCGGTGCACAGGCCCTGGCGTCATACACACAGGAACCCCAGGGAACACCATCCTAATGAGTAACTCTTATGAGGGGTCCCCGGTGGAAGGCAGTCCCCTTGGGTGGGGACAGGCCGAGGATCTTTGGGTAAGAAATCATCAGTAAATTATAGCAATACAAGAACAGAAATTAAAAATAAAATAAGGCCAGGTGTGGTGGCTCACACCTGTAATCCCAGCACTTTGGGAGGCCGAGGCAGGAGGCTCACTTGGGGCCAGGAGTTTGAGACCAGACTGGCCAACATGGCAAAACCCCATCTCTACTAAAAATAGAAAAATTATCTGGGTGTGGTGGCAGGCACCTGTAATCCCAGCTACTCAGGAGGCTAAGGTGGGAGAATTGCTTGAACCCGGGAGGTGGAGGTTGCAGTAAGCTGAGATCATACCACTGCACTCCAGCCTGGGTGACAGAGAGAGACTCGGTCTCGGGAGGGGAAACAAAAAGAAAAGAAAGAAAGAAAAAAGGCTGGGTGCTGCGGCTCATGCCTGTAATCCCAGCACTTTGGGAGGCCGAGGCGGATGGATCACCCTGAGGTCAGGAGTTCGAGACCAGCCTGGCCAATATGGTGAAACCCCGTCTCTACCAAAAATACAAAAATTAGCTGGGCGTGGTGGCGGGCCCCTGTATTCCCAGCTACTTGGGAGGCTGAGGAAGGGGAATCACTTGAACCCAGAGACCTCGCCACTGCACTCCAACATGGGCGATAGAATGAGGCCCTGCCTACCTTAAAAGAAAAAATGTAAATAAATATAAAAAAAAAAGCCATCAGCGAAGACTGAAGTGTGACATAAATACATCATCTCCACACAAGTCCCACAAACTCAGGTGTGTCACTTGGGGGAAACAAGTCAAACAAACTCAGGTGTGTCACTTGGGGGAAAAATGAGGCTTTTCCAGTCCAGAGGGGCCACCCCCACCCAACTTGAGAAAAGAAAAATAGCTCAGATCAGTCTGAGCTATGCGAAATGTATCAGGCCCAGGGAGACTGTACAGTGAATAGGGGACTTCGGTCACACGCCTCCTCCACCCATGCCCGAGGCAGTGGTTCCTGCACAGCTGCCCTCCCCATTAGCTTCTTGTTCCTGGAATTTGTGATACAATAAACAGTGCATAGCCAATCAATACCTTCTGTTATCTTTTTTTCTGAGCCAGACCTGCAGATACCTTATGCTGTTTCAATGTAAATTCTTGGTAACAATTTAGGAACTCTCTCTTCTTTGTTCCTTAAAAATCCACTTGCAGACTGGGTGCGTTGGCTCATGCCTGTAATCCCAGCACTATGGGAGGCCGAAGTGGGTGGAGGATCACTTGAGGCCAGGAGTTTGAGACCAGCCTGGACAATATAGTGAGACTTCATCTCTTAAAAAAAAAAAAACAAAAACAAAAACCCGGCACGATGGCTCACGCCTGTAATCCCAGCACTTTGGGAGGCCAAAGCAGGTGGATCACCTGAGGTCAGGAGTTCGAGACCAGCCTGGCCAGCATGGCGAAATCCCATCTCTACTAAAAAAATAAACATTACCCGGGCATGGTGGCAGGTGCCTGTAATCCTAGCTGCTAGGGGGGCTGAGGCAGGAGGATTGCTTGAACCCGGGAGGTGGAGGTTGCAGTGAGCAGAGATTGTGCCACTACACTCCAGCCTGGGCAATAGAGCAAGACTCCGTCTCAAAAAAAAAAAATAGCTGGGCAAGATGGCTAGGGCCTGTAGTCCCAGCTACTAGGGAGGCTGTGGCAGGAGAATCACTCAAGGCCAGGAGCCCGAGAAACTGACGCTGCAGTGAGCCATGATCACACACTGCACTCCAGACTGAGTGACAGGGTGAGACCCTGTCTCAAAAAAAAAAAAAAAAAGTCCACTTGTAATCACAGCTAGTCAAAGGGTTTATTTGGGGCAACTTGAATCCACACTCCGGGGTGGCCATCCTCAAGCTTTAGGCTTGAATAAACTCTATACTTAATCCTATTTTCTGAATCTTGTTATTTAACGCTGACACCCTTTCCAGCTGGCAGCCTTGTCTCCAAGCCCAACTTCCTCCATCTGTAAAATGGGGATGTTTCAGCCACCCTCCAGGGTCCCTTGTGCCAGTTCCAGGGAAGGACTTGCTCATGGGGGATGTTCACGGGGCGTGGCCCAGGTGAGCAGAGCAGCAGGGGTCAGCCGCCTGCTGCAGGCCAGATCTGACTGTGGTGCATGTTTGCTTTGGCCCACAGAGTGTTATTTCAGTTGGGAAGTAGCAGCCCACACAGAAGGCCTGGAGATTGCTGTCTAAAGCTCCAGACAGAAGTCCGGATATGTGGCTCCTGGGGGCAACAGCTGGGTGGGGCTGAGGAAGGACATCACCCCCCTCCCACAAGGCACACTCCCTTCCGGCTCCTCCAGATTCCCCAGGTGCTGGGACTTATCACCCGCCTGGCCCCCAAAGGCACTAAGGTTGGGATCAGGGTGGTTAAGCGCTCTGGCCCCTTCCTAGCTAGGCAAGGGGGGAAGGCCACTCAATGAGGGTCAAGGAAAGCCATTTGGGCCTGTGTGAACTGCAGAGACAGCAAAGTAGGCTGGGGCCGAGGAAGTTAGTTTCCTCTTTGTGGCAAGTGGGAGCCGTTGCGGGTTCTTCAAATAGAGAATGACTTAACTTCATCCAAGGAGGCCTGAGGGGAAGGTGGTGGGCTGAGCAGAGATAGATGACCAGACAGCAAAATGACACAAAAAGTTGGCAATGAAAAGAACAAGAGGTTAAGACTGAGACTGAGTGTTGGGGAGGAGGCTAATAGGTCTTAGGATTTTATTTTTTTGAAACACATTCTCGCTGTATCACCCAGGCCAGAGTGTAGTGGCGCCATCTTGGCTCCCTGCAACCTCTGCCTCTGGGTTCAAGCAATTCTGCCTCAACCTCCCGAGTAGCTGGGATTACAGGCATATGTCACCACACTCAGCTAATTTTTGTATTTTGAGTAGAGACAGGGTTTCACCATCTTGGCCAGGCTGGCCTCGAACTCCCGACCTCAGGTGATCTGCCTACCTTAGCCTCCCAAACTGCTGGGATTATAGGCGTGAGCCACTGTGCCCCACCAGGATTTAAAATTTTAAAATGGAAGGGATTTGGTAGTAGGGAGAGAGGGAGGGATCAGGAAAAGGCAGAACCTGGAAGAATCTGGCTGTTCTTTCACATCTTATAGGTCAAATCCAAAAAACAAATAGTTACTCAACAAACAGGTCCTGGGTGCTAGAGGGTCTGCCCTCTCCAGCCCTGAGGTTTGTCTGTGTTTTTCCCCTACTGTATCCCCAGCACCTACAACAGGGCCTAGCATGTAGTAGGTGCTCAGTAAACACTGCCAAGTGAATGAATGTTGCTAAGTGTGGATGCTGCAGAAGTAACAGGACAAATCAGGTGCTTGTTTTCCAGGGTTGACATCCAGATTGCAGGGGGTACAAATATTGCACAAATAATTATCACCAAGAATGCCTGGAAGACGGAGTAGGGGTGGTATGGGAGGAACCTGAAGAGGCTTGACCTGTCTGAAGGAGGGAGGGACGATGAACGAAAGAAGAGCTTCCTGGAGGAGGAGACCTGAAAAGCTGAGCCCCAGGTCCCTGGAGCCCCACACCCTTCACCTCCTCCAAGTCCCTGGGTCTCTGGGATTCAGAGTTTTTTTCTTTTTTTTTTGAGACAGATTCTCACTCTTTCGCCCAGGCTGGAGTGCAGTGCCACTATCTCGGCTCACTGCAACCTCCGCCTCCCAGGTTCATGCCATTCTCCTGCCTCAGCCTCCCGAGTAGCTGGGACTACAGGCGCCCGCCACCACGCTCTGCTAATTTTTTGTATTTTTAGTAGAGACGGGGTTTCACCGTGTTAGCCAGGATGGTCTCGATCTCCTGACCTCGTGATCTGCCCGCCTCGGCCTCCCAAAGTGCTGAGATTACAGGTGTGAGCCACTGCGCCAGGCTGACTCAGAGTTCTTTTTTTTTTTTTTGAGACGGAGTCTTGCTCTGTCACCCAGGCTGGAGTGCAGCAGCGCGATCTCGGCTCACTGCAACCTCCGCCTCCCGGGTTCACCCCATTCTCCTGCCTCAGCCTCCCGAGTAGCTGGGACTACAGGTGCCCGCCACGACGCCCGGCTAATTTTTTTAGTAGAGATGGGGTTTCACCATGTTAACCAGGATGGTCTCGATCTCCTGACCTCGTGATCCGCCCGCCTGGGACTCCCAAAGTGCTGGGATTACAGGCGTGAGCCACCGCGCCCGGCAACTCAGAGTTCTTTTTAAAAAAATTTTTTTTGAGGTGGAGTCTCACTCTGTTGCCCGGGCTGGAGTGCAGTGGCGCAATCTGGGCTCACTACAGCCTCCGCCTCCCCAGCTCAAGTGATTCTCCTGTCTCAGCCTCCCAAGTAGCTGGGATTACAGGCATGTACCACCATACCCAGCTAATTTTTGTAATTTTAGTAGAGATGGGGTTTCGCCATGTCAGCCAGGCTAGTCTCGGACTCCTGACCTCAAGTGATCCACCCGCCTCGGCCTCCCAAAGTGTTGGGATTATAGGCATAAGCCACTGCACCTGGCCAGATTCAGAGTTCTTGACTTAAGGAGCAGTCCTGTGGCTTCCAGGGGCCCAGATCTTCCTTCTAAGGGAGGCTCCCCTCCAATCCTCCATTTAGGATGGCATCTGAGCACTACTGGATTTGGAGGATTAAAACAAAAAAACCGACTTTAGGATGGGGCGGTGGCTCAAGCCTGTAATCCCAGAACTTTGGGAGACCAAGGTGGATGGATCACTTGAGGCCAGGAGTTCGAGACCAGCCTGGCCGACACAGTGAAACCCTGTCTCTACTAAATATACAAAAATTAGCTGCATGCCTGTAATTCCAGCTACTTTAGGGAGAGTCGCTTGAACTCAGGAGGTGGAGGTTGCAGTGAGCTGAGATTGCGCCACTGCACTCCAGCCTGGGTGACAGAGTGAGGACTCGGTCTCAAACAAACCCACCACTTTTAGCTTCTTGTGGGGCACACTCCTCGGGGGGTTCTTTTACCCCGAGATACTCCACCTCAGCTGCCACCTCCTCTCCCCTCCCTGGTTGACTGCTCTTCCGCCCTTTTGCCCTGTTACGTTCTCTGTCTGCATAGTGCTTCTCACCATCTCACACACTAGATATATCACATCCTCCTGGAAACTGACTGCCAGCGCCACGAGGGCAGGGATCTTCTGTCTGTTTTGCTCACAACCTGTACCCTCAGTATCTGCAAGAGAGATTGGTACCTAGTAGATGCTCAGTACTTGCTGAATAACGAATGAATGAGGTTCTAAAATCCCTGGGCGCAATGGCTCACGCCTGTAATTCCAACACTTTGGGAGGCCGAGGAGGGCGGATCACGAGGTCAGGAGTTTGAGACCAGCCTGGCCAACATGGTGAAACCCCGTCTCTACTAAAAATACAAAAATTAGCCGGGCGTGGTGGCGGGCCCCCGTAATCCCAGCTATTCAGGAGGCTGAGGCAGGAGAATCACTTGAACCTAGCAGGCGGAGGTTGTAGTGAGCTGAGATTGCAGCACTGCACTCCAGCCTGGGGGACAGAGTGAGACTCCATCTCAAAAAAAAAAAGGGCCAGCTGTGGTGGCTCACGCCTGTAAACCCAGCACTTTGGGAGGCCAAGGCAGGCAGATCACGAGGTCAGGAGATTGAGACCATCCTGGCTAACACGGTGAAACCACGTCTCTATTAAAAATATAAAAATTAGCTGGGCGTGGTGGCAGGCCCCTGTAGTCCCAGCTACTCGGGAGGCTGAGGCAGGAGAATGGCGTGAATCTGGGAGGCAGAGCTTGCAGTGAGCTGAGATCGCGCCACTGCACTCCAGCTGGGGGGACAGAGGGAGACTCCGTCTGAAAAAAAAAATCCCATTGCTGTAAGTTCCCCATTCTGAATTTCTAATTCCAAATGAATGAATAGGATAGTTCAGGCCCTGTGGGGTTAACATTCCTTTTTTTTTTTTCTGGGATAGGATCTCACTCCGTTGCTCAGGGTGGAGTGCAGGATCCCAGCTTGCCGCAGCCTCAACCTCTTGGGTTCAAGCAATCCTACCACCTCAGCCTTCTCAGTAGTTGGGACTACAGGCGGGCACCACCATACTTGACTAATTAAAAAAAATTTTTTTTTGTAGAGAAGGGGTCTCACTGTTTGTTGCCTAGGCTGTTCTCAAACTCCTGAACTAAAGCGATCCTCTTGCCTTGGCCTCCCAAAGTGCTTGGATTACAGGCGTGAGCCACCGCGTCCTGCCTACAGTCCATTTTTAAGGCATTTTCACCTCTTTCTCTCTCACCTCATAAGCAATCTATCAGGAAACCCTGTCACCTCCTTCTTTGACATTTATCTAGTTAGACCACCTCTGACGCCTCCCCAGTCCCTGCCCTGGTCTAATCCACTGCCACTTCCCACCTGGAGGACTGCAGTTGTCCTTGTGGTTTGTTCCTATGCACAGCTAGAAGGATCCTGCTAGAAAGTGCAGAACACGCCCTCCTCTGCACAGAGCCCTCAGGAAACAAGCCCAAGTCTTTTCTGTTTTTTTTTTTTTTTGAGACGGAGTCTTGCTCTGTCTCGGGCTCCTGCCTCAGCCTCCTGAGTAGCTGGGATTACAGGTGGTGGCTACCATGTCTCAAAAAAAAAACAAAAAAAACAAAAAGAGAAAGAAAAAACCCTCACAGGCTGGGTGCAGTGGCTCACCTGAGCTCAGGAGACCAGCCTGGGCAACACGGTGAGAGCCCGTCTCTACTAAAAATACAAAAATTAGCTGGGCATGGTGGCACCTGCCTGTAATCCCCACTACTTGGGAGGCTGAGGCACAAGAATTGCTTGAACCTGGGAGGCGGAGGTTGCAGTGAGCCAAGATCACACCACTGTACCAGCTTGGAAGACAGAGTGAGAGAGTGAGACACTATTGCCAGCTTGGGCAACAGAGTGAGACTCTTGTCTCAAAAAAAGAAAAAAAAGAAAAAAGAAAGAGCCCTCAGTGGGGCAGGGGTCTCGGGGGGAGGCGCCGGGATCAGGGTCGGGGCTGTGGGGACGGAGGATGGCGAGATTGGAAACACACTCAGAACTTGGAATGGGAAAGCAGGACCAGCGGTGGGGGTGACAGGGAGAAGCTGGGAGGGTTGGGACTTGGAGGCTGACAGGGCTGCGGAGGTAAAGGGGACAGGGGTGAGGGCCGCTGCCCAGACGCTCTGCATGTCAGGTGGAGGCAAGGGAGATACAGCCAGGAGGTTGGTCAGCCTGGAGTGAGCCCCCATCATCCAGCACACTGCTAGGCAGGGGCTGTGCCATGAACTTGGCCAGGACATGGCCAGCACCATAGCCAGGGGACTGTGGCCATGGGAACACCAGCCTCCCTCAGTGTCACTGGGCAAGCCAGACTGGTGACAGCTTCATGAAGTGTGAGCTGGGTCCCCAGACACACTTCCTCTCCCTGTGGACTGCACCTGCAGGCTTCCTGTGGTGGCAGAGTGGAGGCTGCCCAGGGTGTAGTGTGAGCCCATGGGAGAACAATGGGGACAGACACAGCTTGAGACCCCGAGATCCAGGGATGGGTAGACCAAGGCAGCGAGGAGGGTGCAGAGTGACCTATGGAACCCTGGAGGAGAGGTTGGGGGCTTGGACTCCTGGGTCTGAGAAAGGAGGGGGCTGGGGGCCTGGATTCCTGGGTCTGAGGGAGGAGGAGCTGGAGGCCTAGACTCCCAGGTTTGAGGGAGGAAGAGCAGGGGGCCTGGGCTCCTGGGTCTGAGGGAGCAGGGGACTGAGGCTGGACCCCTGGGTCTGAGGGAGGAGGGACTAAGGGCCTGGACTCCTGGGTCTGAGAGGGGAAGGATGGGGGCCTGGACTCCTGGGTCTGAGGGAGGAAGCACTGGTGGCCTGGACTCCTGGGTCTGAGAGAGCAGGGATGGGGGCCTGAACTCCCAGGTCTGAGGGATTAGGGATGGGGGCCTGGACTCCTGGGTCTGAGGGAAGAGGGCTGGGGCCTGGACTCCTGGGTCTGAGGGAGGAGAGGCTGGGGCCTGGGCTTCTGGGTCTGAGGGAGGCGGGGCCTGAAGCTGGACACCTGGGTCTAGGGGAGGAGGAGCTGGGCTCCTGGACTCCTGCCTGGCTGGCTCCCCAGGGCCTGGCTTCCCCCGCAGATCTATAAAGCACAGCGACCCAGCCTCCCATGGCAAGGCACGTCGGGACTAGAGAAGGCCCTTGAAGGCCAGAGGCTTTGAGTACTGGCCTCAGCTGCTGCCTCAGTCACCTTGTCAGTTAATTAATTGTATTAATCACAGTGCCCAACCCCCACAGCGGAAATCCAGGAGCTGGTTCAGGGAGTGAGCAGCGGCTGCAGCAGCCAGGATGTAGGGCTGTCTGTCTGTGCCTGGATTTCTGCACCTGCCCCCTGGCCTCCTCTAATCCGTGTGTTTTGTTTTGTTTTTTTGAGATAGGATCTTGCTTTGTTGCCCAGGGTGGAGTACTGTGGTGTGATCTCAGCTCACTGCAGCCTCAACCTTCCTGGCTCATGTGATCCTCCCACTTCAGCCTTCCAAGTAGCTGGGACTATAGGCACACACCACCACCTTTGGCTAATTTTTAAATTTTTTGCAGAGACAGGGTTTCGCCGTGTTGCCCAGGCTGGTCTCGAACTCCTGAGCTCAAGTGATACACCTGCCTGGACCTCCCAGAATGCTAGGATTATAGGCATGAGTCACCATGCCTGGCTTCTTGAAAGTCTTTTAATGGTATCCCTGCTGTCTCTTAGCGTCTCTTATCTGTGTCTTCCGGGGCCTCTTCTATCTCTCTCTGTGTCTAGTTCTTAGGGTCCCTGTCCCTCTGTGTCTCCAATTCCCAGGGTCTCTCTTGGGGTCTCTGTTACTCTTTTCTCTTTTGAGACAGGGTCTTGCTCTGTGGCCCAGGCTGGAGTGCAGTAGTGCAATCAGGGCTCACTGCAGCCTTGAACTCGGTTCAAACGATTCTCCTGCGTCAGCCTCCCAAAGTGCTGGAATTACTGGTATGAGCCAATGTGCCTGGCCTCTGTCACTCTTATCTGTGTCCCCCAGAGTCTCTGGTCTCTGCTCTGTGCCTCTTATATTCTCTGTCTCTTTGTAACAGCTTTATTGAGACATTATTCCCATACCATACAATCTACCCATTTAAAGTGTACAGTTCAGTGGCTTTTGTATATTCAGAGTTAGCCATCCATCACCCGAGCAATTATAGAACATTTTCATTAGCCTGAGAAGATACCCTGTCCCCGTTAGTCACTCTCTTCCTCTTTCCTCTGTATGTCTGACATCTCCGGTCTCTTTCTCCGTCTGGGTCTCCCTGTGTCTGGAACCTGGCTCTCTGCCTTGATTCCTGGGGTTCTCTTCTCACAAGCCTTCTGGTCTACGTCTCTGTTTCTGTCTCTGACTGTGGAGTCTCCCTGCCTCCTGGGTCTCCAGTGCCCTGTCTCCCCATATTTCTGACACACCTTCTCACAGCCTGGCCCATCTTGCTGGGTCCCCTCTTCTCCTCCCCTTCCTGCTCCATTTGTCAGCACTGCTGGGACATTAAAAATGTAACAGCGTCCCAGGCAGGGGCGGGGGAGCTGGCCCATGTGCCCAGCTCCCTGTCCCTTCTGTGTTCATCACTCCCTGTGGCCCCCACATGTCGCTGGCCTTGAGGCCCCCTGTACCCTGACCTCCGTGGGTCACGGCACCTCTGCTGTCCCACAGCTGGAGTCTTTGGGGCTCCCTGCCTGTCACCAAACCCCTTTCCTTTTCCTGTCCCTGCCTTCATCTGGTATCTATGTCTAGCTCCCTTCCCCCACCCTCCTCCGTCCCATTCCAGTGTCTTTCAGCCTCATCCCTGTGTCGGTATTTCACTCCCCCGACCCTGTGCCGGCATTTCACTCCCCTTCTATCCTCTGATTCCATTCCTACACGTGTCTCTGACCCCATTCCTAAATCTGTGTCTGACCGCTTCCCTCTATTGGCCTCTGTACCCATCCTTGTAGCTCCAGCCTCTCTATATACCCACCCCCCAACTTCTCCTCTGCCCAGTCCCCCTTCCCTAATGAGAGGAGACAGCCAGGCTGCCGTCCCTCTGCTCCCCTCCCCCTCCACTACGTGGGGCTGCCTGGCGGACATGGACACACGGATGGGCAGGGAAGAAAGCTGGGGGAGGGGAGCCGGCCCAGCTGGGGGCCCAGGTGGTGCACCCGCATTCCCCGAGGAGGCCAAGCGGGGGAGGCAGTGGAGCTAGACAGGTATACAGAGAAAGACGGAGAGGAGAGAGAGAGATGGGGAGAGGAGAAGAGAGAAAGAGCTTGGAGAGGGATGGAGAGAGAAAGGGTGAGAAACGAAGAGAGATGAAGAGGGGGAAAGAAAGTGAGGGAAGGAGGAAAACAGGGAGGGGGAGGGGAGAGAGAGAGAGAGGGAGAGCGAGCACATGCCAGCCGGCCAGCCAGTGGACAGCAGAGGCGAAGGATTGGGGTGGGGGTGGTCAAGAAAGGGGCCGACAGCTCCTTCTCCAGGGGCTAAGAGGTTTCACAGGGAATCAGTGGGGCCTGGGAGCCTTCCGGATGGTCCGCAGGGAAAGGATTGTTATCTCAGTTTTTTTACGAGGGAGGAAATGGAAACTCAGAGGCACTTCCTGGAGCCCACCCGGTGCGGGGCTCTGAAGAACCGGAGCCCGGCTTCCCCGGGACCTGCTGTGAGACCTTGAGAAGGCTGCTTGCCTTTGCTGAGCCTGTTTCCTCATCTCTAAGATGGAAACAGAAACAGGACCTGTTTCCCAGGGCAAGCTGGAGCCTTCGGTGAGATCATGCACCAAGCTAACAGTAGGCTCAGGGTCTGGTGGGTTCGGAGAATTCACCCAGAGGTGCCAGTTCTGATCTCATCTGCCTATTTCTGCCTGAAGGGAGAGGCAGGGGATGGAAGCGGAGTTCCCAGCTCTGGGTCAAAGCTGGGAGGCCAGTGAGAGCCATCCTGGGGGAAATGAGGCCAGAGAGGTGGCCGGGGTTCCCCCAAGATCCCCCTGAGCTCTCTTCTGCGCAAACCCTCGGGAAACTCTAGCATCCCAGAGTTTGTCGCTGGGAATACACAACCGGGTCACCTGCAAGGGGCGGGGCCAGCGCCTCTTTCAAGGGTTCCCTCCCAGCCCCTCCCTCCCCAGGGGGGCCGCTCTCCTCCCCTAGTGGGGTGGATGGAAGGACGCCAGGGGGTCCAAGGCATAGCAATGGGAGGGACGGGGGATAAGGGCGGCGGCTCCACTCGTCCACCTCCTGCTATGGCTCTGAGGACAAAGGCGCTACCAGAGGATAGATAAGGTCCCGAAACCGGGGAGTCCGGAACCCGGAGCCAGGAGCGCCCGCCCCGCCCCTCCCTGGCTCGGCGAGAGTGAAACCAGGAAAACTTCCCCGGCGACGTCTCCGTCGCCCCCGACCATTCATAGGGAAAGGGAGGAGTCTCCCAGCCTCTGGGACTCGGGGCCTCCCGTTCTATCTGGGACTCAGGCGACTGAGACTCCAGCCTCAAGACAGAGCCTTCGACCCTTGATCATATCTGGAGCCCAAGAGACGGGGCCCGCTGCTCGCACTTCTGTTTGGATCTCAGAAGACGTTCCTCTGCCTACAATTAAGTCTGAAGCCCACGAGATCGAGTCTCCTGTCCCCCGGTTCTGCCGGGAACCCTGAAAACGAAGCCCCCTGCCCACAATTAAATCCAGAAGCTACAAGTTTGATCCTCTCTCGCCCCCAGTTTTACCTAGATCCCAGTTAGACTTAGCGCCTAGCCTCCATTCTACCAGGGACCCTGAAGACGGAGCCCCCGGCCCCTAATTTTTCTGGAGTCCACGGAGTCAGAACCCCCAACTCCCTGAGGTTCGGGGTTGGAGCTCCGAGCTCAGGCCCTTCCCCCTAAGTCGCCAGAACTCTTATCCTTAGCCCTCCAAGGGACCCGAATCAGGTCCGCTTGTCCTCAGTTCTCTCCGGGCCTCAGACGCCCAAGCCGGGAAGAAGGAAAAATAGGGGAGGGAGGTGGTCTCGCCTCTTCCTCGAGACCTTACTGCGGTAGGTGGGGGGAACATTCCCCACATTCCTGAGAGGGGTAGAGGAGACAGAGACCCAGATCCGGGTGAACTACTCGGCGCGGGGTGGGGAGGGGGCACCAGGCCTTCCTGGGATTTAACCCTTTCGGCGCGGGAATCCGAGAAATGGGGAGGGGGACAGACAAGCAGGCGTAGGATGGGCAATTGGATTAAGAAGGATGGGGGTGGTGGTGAGAGAGATGCAGAAAGGAGGGGTCAGAGTCTCCTCGAGAGAATCGGACGTGTAGGGGGTCGGAGTCTGTGGGGCCAGCCAGGAAGGGGGCACGCGAGAGGGGGCTCGGGGAGCCGGGGGTGGGCGGGGAAGGTGCTCGGCTTCCCCAGCTCGGAAGGTAAGGTTGGAGGGGGTCCGCGCGAGGGCAGGGGGCCGTCCGCTCGTCTCACCGGTTTCCAGGAGCAGCAGCAGCAGCAGCGGCCACAGCAGCGGCGTCGGCGGCGATCTCGACGGCAGGAGGGCAGCGGCCCGGGCCATGGAGGGCCCGGGAGGGGACTGGGCCCGGCCGGAGGCCCGCGGGCCACTCTGTGGGGGCCGATCGGCTGGGCGGTTTAGTAGGTGCCTGTGGGGCTCCGGCTCCGGCTCCGGGCCGGTTCCCGCTGCGCTCTAGCCTCCCTGTTCTGCTCTCCCGGCCCAGCTCTCCCCGCCCGGCTCGGCACCCCCGGCCTCTCGCTCAGCTCCGGCGGTTCGAACCCGCTGACGTCACAGGATCCACCCGCTGCTCCCCCGAGTCAAGCCGACCCTGGCTCCGGCCCCGCCCCCTCCTGGCGTTCTGACCCCGCCCCCCGGATTCCACCCCTGTTCCTCCCCGGGATTCCATTCTCGCTCCTCCCCAGGATTCTAAGGTCGCCCCTGCCAAAGAATTCTGTCTCCTTCGCTCCCGGCGTTAAACCACGCCCCCTAAGGTCTAGCCACGCCCCCTCTGCTCCCGAGTAGTTCCCACGCCCCGCCCCCTGCCTACCGGCCGCCTCGCCAAGGTCTTGCCACGCCCCTTTCGGCCCTTCCGGCCGACTCCGCCCCCACCAGCCCCGCCTCCACCAGCCCCGCCCCTCGCCCTAGCCGGAGTTCTCTCGGTCTCTTAGCTCAGTCCGTCCTGGCCTCTGTCCCACCCACAGTTCGAATCCTGCCCTTTCCTGCCTGCCCGGGTCCTCTCATCACAGTTGCCTGAGGCACGTGGGGCTTTACGGTTCTGCCCCCAGCACGTCCCGGTTGTGCGACCTCCCCGCAGGTCGAGCCCATCGCCCTGAGCCTGTTTCTCGTACCCTCGTGCGTTTCTAATCTCTGCCCCGAACTCTAGGTGTCGCTGCACTCGTTTCTTTCTGGATTTCTCTGTCTCTCTTACGTGTCTTTGTGTCTCTCTCACTCTCTTTGGGTCTTCCTCTCTGTCCCTGTATTTCTGCCTCTCTGGGTCTTTCCGTCCTCATGCTTCGGTGTCGCTCTGTTTCTGGTCTTCCTTTGTCAGTCACTGTTTCTTTATTTCAATAAAAGAGACGGGGCGGGGGGGCGGCGGGGTCTCACTATGTTGCTGAGGCTGGCCTCAAGCGATCCTCCCGGCTCGGCCTCCCAAGATGCTGGGATTACAGGCGTGAGCCACCAAGCCCGGCCTGTCTGTCACTGTTTCTGGGTCACTTGGTCCCCATGTCTCTTTCCATCCTTTGACTCTGTCTCTGTGTCTCTCTGTCTCTATCTGTGTGCCTCTCTGTCTCTGTCTCTATTTCTGTGTATCTCTGTCTCTATCGGCCTGTCTCTGTGCCTCTCTGTCTCTGTGTGCCTCTCTGTCTCTGTGTTTCTCTGTCTCTATCTCTGTGCCTCTCTATCTCTGTGCTTCTCTGTCTCTGTCTCTCCGTGTGTCTCTCTCTGTCTCTATCTGTGTCTCTCTGTCCCTGTCTCTTTCTCTGTGTCTCCCTCTCGGCGTCTCTTGTCTCTGCGTGCGAGTCTCTCTCGCTGTCTCTCTGTCCCTGCTCTGTTCTCTGCTTCCTTCCCTCCCTACCTCCCTGCGCGCCCTGGTCCTCCCCTCCCAACACCTGCTCCGCGCCGCCTTCTCACCGCAGCCACCCGCCAGGGGGCAGCAGAGACCGGCCCCCGCGCTGCGCTGGCCCGGCCGGGCTGGGTGGGGCTGGGCTCCAGTCCGGCCTCCGGACCTGGTCACTCCCCGCGTCCTTGTCCCACTTCCCCTATCTCCCCAGCCTCCTCGCGTCTTTGTGTCTCTCGCTCAGACTCGGGCCCTTTGTCTCTCCCAGCGGCTCGCCCTCCTCCCTACCCCCACCTACCTCTTCGCATTCTTTGGGCTGCCCAGGGGGAGCTGGTGAGGCCGCGCCGGGGGGCGGGATGAGGGCGCGAAGCGGGAGGCCGGGGGAGGGGGTGCCACGGAGCGCCAGTCTGGGCCCAAGTTCGTCCAGGGCCAGGAGGCGCGGAGCTGCTCAGCTGGGGGCAGGTGCTTGGGGGCTTCTTGCCCTAGCAAGAGGACCACCTAGGCTCGCCCTCCCTTCCACCTGCCACACACCTGGGCTTTCCTCCCCAGAAGGACTAGGTTTCAAGTAGCAGAGGCTGTTATCCCTCCGCATTCGAGTCTTAGTTATGATCCTTTTTTTTTTTTTTTCTTTGAGACGGAGTCTCGCTCTGTCGCCCAGGCTGGAGGGCAGTGGCGCGATCTCGGCTCACTGCAACCTCTGCCTCCTGGGTTCAAGCGATTCTCCTGAGTCAGCCTCCTGAGTAGCTGGGATTACAGGCGCGCGCCACCACGCCCGGCTAATTTTTGTATTTTTAGTAGAGACGGGGTTTCACCATGTTGGTCAGGCTGGTCTCAAACTCCTGACCTCCTGATCCACCCGCTTCAGCCTCCCAAAATGCTGGGATTGCAGGTGTGAGCCACCGCGCCCGGCACTTACGATACTGTTAATACATGTAGTCAGCACTTACCGTGTGCCAGGCACTGATCTAAGTGCACTGCGAATATTATCTCATGTAAGCCATGCAGCGCCATGGGCGATAGGGAAACTGAAGCAGAGAGATGAAGTGACTCACTGAGTTACAAAATGGCAGAGCCAGGGCGGGGCGCCCTGGCTGACGCCTGTAATCCCAGCACTTTGGGAGGCTGAGGCGGGTGGATCACTTGAGTTCAGGAGTTCGAGACCAGCCTGGCCGACATGGTGAAACCCTGTCTCTACTTGGGAGGCTGAGGCAGGAGAATCGCTTGAACCCGGGAGTTGGAGGTTGCAGTGAGCCGAGATCGCACCACTGCACTCCAGCCTGGGCAACAGAGTGAGACTCAGTCTGAAAAACATAAAATAAAATAGAAATTAAAAATAAATAAAAATAAACAAAATGGCAGAGCCAGAGCTGACTCTTCTAAGCACCTTATTTCTCTTAGTTAGTTCCTCACAGGGATCCCATGAAGGGGACACCATGGTGATCCCCATTTCACTGAAAAGTAAACTGAGGCACAGGGTGGTTGTTTGCCCCAAGCCACCCAGCAAAGACACATAGCAGGCCGGGTGCTTCTTTTGGGCCCGGATGGTCTGTGCTCTTTTTGTTTTTGAGACGGAGTCTGGCTCTGTTGCCAAGGCTGGAGTGCAGTGGCGCAATCAATCTCGGCTCGCTGCAACCTCCGCCCCCCAGGTTTGAGTGATTCTCCTGCCTCAGCCTCCTGAGTAGCTGGGATTACAGGCACGCACCACCACGCCCGGCTAATTTTTGTATTTTTAGTAGTGACGGGCTTTCACCATGTTGGTCAGGCTGGTCTCGAACTCCTGACCTTGTGATCTGCCTGCATTAGCCTCCCAAAGTGCTGGGATTACAGGGGTGAGCTACTGCACCCGGCCAGTCTGTGCTTTTAACCTCCATGCCATGTGAGCTCCAGATAGCTTGTGTCTCAGGCTTGGCACAAACTGGGTGTGAGGATGGCTGGACAAATAGGCGCACACATAATAAATGCATAGCAGCTACAGCTACTCGGGAGGCCGAGGTGGGAGGATCACCTGAGCCCAGGGAGGTTGAGGCTGCAGTGAGCTGTGATTGAGCCACTGCACTCCAGCCTGGGAGACAGAGAGATTTTGTCTCTAAAATAAATAAATACACAAATAGGCCTTGCGCAGTGGCTCATGTCTGCAATCCCAGCACTTTGGGAGGCCAAGGCTGGCAGATCACTTGAATTTAGGGGTTCAAGACACGCCTGGCAACATGGTAGAGCCCCGTCTCTTAAAATATATATAATAATAAAATAAAACAGTAAAATAAATAAATGTGCTTAATTTATTTATGTATTTAATTTTGAGGCAGGGTTGTGCTTTGTCGCCCAGGTTGGAGTGCAGATCTTGGCTCCCTCTAACCTCAAACTTCCCAGCCCAAGGGATCCTCTGCCTCAGCCTCCTGAGTAGCTGGGACTACAGGCATGTGCCACTATGCTCGGTGCATTTTTTTTTTTTGAGACAGTCTCTGCTCTGTCGCCCAGGCTGGAGTGCAGTGGCGCGATCTTGGCTCAGTGCAAGCTCCGCCTCCCAGGTTCATGCCATTCTCCTGCCTCAGCCTCTCGAGTAGCTGGGACTACAGGTGCCTGCCACCACGCCCAGCTGATTTTTTGTATTTTTAGTAGAGACGAGGTTTCATGGTCTTAGCCAGGATGGTCTCGATCTCCTGACCTCGTGCTCCACCTGCCTCGGCCTCCCAAAGTGCTGGGATTACAGGCGTGAGCCACTGTGCCCGGCTGCTCGGTGCATTTTTAAATGTTTTGTAGAATTTGATTCTCGCTTTGTTGCCCAGGCTGGTCTTGAACTCCTGCCCTCAAGTGATCCTCTCACCTCAGCCTCCCAAAGTGCTGGGATTACAGGTGTGAGCCATCGCGCCTGGCAATAAATGTGCTTTAGATCTCTCTGACCTTCTCTCCCCAATCTGAGGCCAGGTTTGTGGACCAGGACCTCTGGGTTTTAGTGCCAGCCTTGCTACTAACTTGCTTTGCAAAATCCTGGGACCCCCGTTTATCCATTGAACAAAAGAACCAGTCCCCAGGAAGTCTTCTTCTAGGAAGGCCTCTAGCACCTCCTTTCTCCTGGCCTACGAATGAGTGGGCTTAGCTCTCTCCTGGCTGTTCTTTGTGAGCAGGGATGAGCCCAGGAAGAAAGCCCCAGGAGGCTGGCCATGGTGGCTCAAGCCTGTAATCCCAGTACTTTGGGAGGCCGAGACAGATGGATCACCTGAGGTCAGGAGTTTGAGACCAGCTTGGCCTACGTGGTGAAACCCTGTCTCTACTGAAAATACAAAAATTAGCAGGATGTGGTGGCGGGTGCCTATAATCCCAGCTACTTGGGAGACTGAAGCCGGAGAATCGCTTGAACCCGGGAGGTGGAGGTTGCAGTGAGCCAAGATTGTGCCACTGCACTCCAGCCTGGGTGACAGCAAGGCTCTGCCAAAAAAAAAAGGAAAAAAAAAAAAAGAAAGAAAAAAATGCCCCAGAGGTGTAGGCTGGAGTTTCACACCCTTGGGTCACAAGCATGAGGCTGAGCACCAAGTTTGGTGACAAATGACTGGGTGGGTTCCACGCCCGCCTGGGGAGTTGACTTTTAGTGTCAAGGAGTCCCAGAGGTGGCACTTCACTGAAGAGCCATAACCACTAGAAGGTAGGGGCATAGGTAGGGGCAAAGGCTTCCTGACGGAGCTATGGAGCTGATGCCAAGTATTTTACCTGCCTGGCAACCTTTCCTTTCTTTTAGCAGCAGCAGCAGCTCCCCTAACCACTTCCTCCCCTCAGTCTTTTTTTTTTTTTTTTAATTAAGACAGGGTCTCACTCTGTCGCTCAGGCTGGAGTGTGGTGACATTACCATGGCTCACTGCAGCCATGACCTCCCTGGCTCGGGATCCTTCCATGTCAACTTCCCGAGTAGCTGGGACTACAGGCATGTGCCACTATGCTTGGCTAATTTTTCTATTTTTTTGTAGAGATGGGTTTTTGGGTTGTTGCCGAGGCTGGTCTTGAACTCTTGGGCTCAAGCAATTTGCCTGCCTCGGCCTCCCAGAGTGCTGGAATCACAAACGTGAGCCACCATACCCGGCTCTTATTCTGAGACAGGGTCATGCTCTGTTGGCCAGACTGGAGTGCAGTGGTACAATCATGGCTCATTGAAGCTTCCACCTCTCAGGCTCAAGCAATCCTCCCACTTCAGCCTCCCAAGTGGCTGGGACTATAGGCATTCGCCACTGTGCCAGAATAATCTTTTTTTTTTTTTTTGAAACGGAGTCTTGCTCTGTTGCCCAGGCTGGAGTGCAGTGGAGCGATCTTGGCTCACTGCAAGCTCTGCCTCCTGGGTTCACGCCGTTCTCCTGCCTCAGCCTCCCGAGTAGCTGGGACTACAGGCGCCCGCCACCATGCCCAGCTAATTTCTTGTATTTTTAGTAGAGATGGGGTTTCACCTTGTTAGCCAGGATGGTCTCAATCTCCTGACCTTGTGATCTGCCCGCCTCGGACTCCCAAAGTGCTGGGATTACAGGCGTGAGCCACCGCACCCGGCCAATCTTTTTTTTTTTTTTTTTTTTTCTGATACGGAGTGTCAGTCTGTTGCCCAGGCTGGAATGCAGTGGTGTGATTTTGGCTCACTGCAACCTCTGCCCCCTGGGTTCAAGTGATTCTCCTGCCTCAGCCTCCCAAGTAGCTGGGACTACAGGTTTGGGCCACGACGCCTGGCTATGTTCGCAGTTTTATTAGAGACGGGGTTTCACAATATTACCAGGCTGGTCTTGAACTCCTGACCTAAAGTGGTCTGCCCTCCTCTGCCTCCCAAAGTGCTGGGATTACAGTCGTGAGCCACCGTGCTCGGCCTGCCAGACTCATCTTTTGACTTTTTTGTAGAGACAGGCTCTCACTAGGTTGCTCAGGCTGGTCTTGAACTCCTAGGCTCAAGCAATTTTCCTGCCTTGGCCTCCCAAACTGCTGGGATTACAAGCATGAGACATGACTCCTGGTATACATATATATATATATGAGACTATATATATATGTATAGACTATATATATATATATATGTATGAGACTATGTGTGTGTGTGTGTGTGTGTGTGTGTGTGTGTGTATATATATATATATATATATATATATATATATATATATATATAGTCATTTGCAATCAAATATAACCTTACTAATAAACTATATACCCCAAAAAATCTGTACATGTCTGGGAGATGCACAGAGCTTTGTAAATTTCCAAGGGCAGGGCAAGGAGGGGCTGGTGGTGAAAGCTTTCAGAATTCTTCAGGATGTCCAGGCTTTGAAGAATAGGCAAGCTTTGTCACAGCACGGGATATGGGGAAGGGCATTCCAGGTAGGAGGGTGGTGACAGCGGGAGCAGGGGATGTGAGGGTCAGTATCTTAGAAGGTCCAGAATGCCAGCTGAAGGGCGGCTCATGCTCTGGGAACCACAGAAGGTTAAAGAGCAAGGGTAGTTTACTACCAACTTCTCTTTACTTCCTGGAGCCCCAGATCCTGAGGTTCACCCCTCCCACTTTCCTATTGCCCTAGGCCTTTGTAATGTAGGCTGGAGTTTCAACCCTTGGGAGGAGGGGTCATACTGATGTGGCCCCAGGCTGCCATCTCTATGCAAATTCCCTGGGATGCCATGCAGATGAGGGACCTTATGCAAATGTATTCCCTCCTGGTGGGGCAGGCTGGGATCCTCCACTCATTAACTTGGGGACCAGGTACTGGATGGAGAACCCTTTCCTCTTCTCTTTCCCTTCCCACTAGCCATCTGTTCACTCGCCATCCAACTCACCAAACCCCAACACCAATGTCTGCCTTTAGAGTGGTATCTCTGTATCTGGTCCCTGCCCTGGACTAAGGGAGTGTTTGTATTTTATTTATTTTATTTTATTATATTTTATTTTACTTTTGAGATGGAGTCTCGCTCTGTTGCCCAGGCTAGAGTGCAGTGGCGCGATCTCGGCTCACTGCAAGCTCCGCCTCCCGGGTTCACGCCATTCTCCTGCCTCAGCCTCCCGAGTAGCTGGGACTACAGGCGTCTGCCACCATGCTGGCTAATATTTTGTATTTTTAGTAGAGACAGGGTTTCACCGTGTTAGCCAGGATGGTCTCGATCTCCTGACCTCGTGATCCGCCCGCCTGGCCTCCCAAAGTGTTGGGATTACAGGCGTGAGCCACTGCGCCCAGCCTATTTGTTTATTTATTTATTTATTTTTGAGACGAAGTCTCGCTCTTGTCCCCCCAGGCTAGCGTACAATGGTGTGATCTCGGCTCACTGCAACCTCCGCCTCCCGGGTTCAAGCGATTCTCCTGCCTGAGCCTCCCGAGTAGCTGGGATTACAGGTGCCTGCCACCACGCCCAGCTAATTTTTGTATTTTTAGTAGAGACGGGGTTTCTACTAAATCATGTTTGCCAGGCTGGTCTCGAACCCCTCACCTCAGGTGATCTGCCTGCCTCGGCCTCCCAAAGTTCTGGGATTACAGGCGTGAGCCACCGCACCTGGCCTTTATTTTTTTTTTTTTGAGACAGAGTGTCGCCCTGTCACCCAGGCTGGAGTGCAGTGGTGTGATCTCGGCTCGCTGCCACCTCCGCCTCCTGGGTTCAAGTGATCCTTGTGTCTCAGCCTCCTGAGTAGCTGGGATTACAGGCGCGTGCCACCATGCCCAGCTAATTTTTGTCTTTTTTTTTTTGTAGAGACAAGGTTTCACCATGTTGGCCAGGCTGGTCTCGAACTCATGACTTCAGGTGATCTGCCTGCCTCGGCCTCCCAAAGTGCTGGGATTACAGGTGTGAGCCACCGCACCTGGCCTAAGGCAACCTTTTTGCTTTTCTCTGTGTCTCTTTATTTTTCCTTAGATAATCACAATAATTAACATGTACTGCACATGGACTCTGTGCCAGGCTTTGTACTAAATACTTCCCTGGTTATCTCATCAAATTCTCCCCTCCATCCTCTGATCCTCTGTGTGCATTTGCTGTATTTTTTTAAAGGGAATTTTCAATTCTGTTATATAGGGAACAAGAGCCCTATAAATAAGGACACAGACAGGTGAAATGAAGGATGGATATTAAGAAGCAACTCAAGCCGGGCGTGGTGGCTCACACCTGTAATCCCAGCACTTTGGGAGGCTGAGGCAGGCGGATCATGAGGTCAGGAGATCGAGACCATCCTGGCGAACACGGTGAAATCTTGTCTCTACTAAAAATACAAAAAATTAGCCAGGCGTGGTGGCACCCGCCGGTAATCCCAGCTACTCGGAAGGCTGAGGCAGGAGAATCAGTTGAACCCGGGAGGCGGAGGTTGCAGTGAGCTGAGATCGCGCCACTGCACTCCAGCCTGGGCAACTGAGCAAGACTCCGTCTCAAAAAAAAAAAAAAAGCAACTCATGAGACCTGTTAGACATACTAAGAATGTGAGCTGAACACAGATGGGAGGGATGCAGGGATCCAGTAAGCTCCAAGCATTCATGCGTCCTGTGGGCGACACCCACTCTGCTCCATGAGTCCCAAGCCCAAGACACAGGTAAAAGCTGTGGCTGCCAAGCAGGTGATCAGCCAGCTACAGTCATCTAGCTTCTCATGTTTATTTTTGTTGTTGTTTTGAGACGGAGTCTCGCCCTGTTGCCCAGGCTGGAGTGCAGTGGCGTGATCTTGGCTCACTGCAAACTCCGCCTCCCGGGTTCAAGTGATTCTCATGCCTCAGCATCCCCAGTAGCTAGCATTACAGGTGTGCCCCCCTACCCCTGGCTAATTTTTGTATTTTTAGTAGAGATGGGGTTTCACCATGTTGGCCAGGCTGGTTGAGAACTCCTGACCTCAAGTGATCTGCTTGCCTCGACCTCCCAAAGTGCTGGGACTACTGTTATTTTATTTTTTGAGACAGGATCTCGCTCTGTTGCCCTGGCTGGAATGCAGTGGCTGGATCACGGCTCACTGCAGCCTCAGCCTCCCAGGCTCAAGGGATCCCCCTACCTCAGCCTCCCGAGTAGCTGGGACTACAGGCGTGTACCGCCACATCAGGCTAATTTTTGCATTTTTTGTAGAGACAGAGTCTCTGTTTGTTGCCAGGGCTGGTCTCGAACTCCTGGGCTCAAGTGATCCTCCTGCCTTGGCCTTCCAAAGTGCTGGGATTACAGGCCTGAGCCACAGCGCCCAGCCTGTTTTATTTTTTGAGTTTTGCACAACATCTTTTGTTTTAATCAAATCTCTTTGTTTTACTCCCATAGATTTGGCTTCAAAATTGAAGATCTAGATTCCATGTCCAGAGAAAGAGAGAACCTGATGAGTCTTGAGAACAAGACCAGGGACAAGATCTCTGAGCTGGAGTTCAAGGTCAACAGCCCACTTTGGTTAACAAGAGGCACCTCCTGGCTGTCCAGTGCTTCCTCGTGGAGGAGTCAACTGCTTCTCTTGGGAGGTGGAGGGTGTTCCCATCCAAGTGCCTCCTCAGGCCCTAGAGAGTCAGGGATTGGTTGCAGTTCCTGAAGTCTCTTCCTAGGTCTGTGGACCTTCTAAGGAATTCCACTGACCACTTTCCCCACTGGAGTCCAGCAACACCATTAGGATGTGAATTATTATTATTATTATTATGTCTTGGAGACAGGATCTTGCTCTGTCTCCCAGCCTGGAGTACAGTAATGCCATCATAGCTCGCTGCAGCTTTGACTTTCTGGACTTGAGCGATCCTCCCACTCTGAGTAGTGGGGACTGCAGGTGTGTGCCACCATGTTTGGCTAATTTAAAAATTTTTTTGTAGAGATGGGATCTTGCTGTGTTGCCCAGGCTGGTCTTGAATTCCTGACCTCAAGTGATTTTCCCGCCTTGAGCTCCCAAAGTGCTGGGATTACAGGCGTGAGCCACTGTGCCTGGTGGGTTGTGAAGTTTGTTCATTGATGTCTCCCCAGTGCCTGGCACACAGTAAACACTCAATACACTTTTTATTTTTTTGAGACGGAGTCTCGCTCTGTTACCCAGGCTGGAGTGTAGTGACTCGATCTCAGCTCACTGCAACCTCCGCCTCCAAGTTTCAAGTGATTCTCCTGCCTCAGCCTCCCGAGTAGCTGTGACTACAGGCATGCACCACAATGCCAGGCTAATTTTTGTATTTTTAGTAGAGATGGGGTTTCACCATGTTAGCCAGGCTGGTCTCGAACTCTTGACCTCAGGTGATCAGCCAGCCTTGGCTTCCCAAACTGTTGGGATTACAGGCGCGAGCCACCACGCCCTCTGAACTTTTCTTGAAGGTATGATTGCGTGAATGGAGGAATGAATCCTCAGGTGTGTTTTGCCAGGGGCTGGCCAGGCATGGCTTTCCCAGTAGGTGCTCTATTGCATTGGAAAGGTGGAACAGGCTTGACTTCCATGTTTGTGAATATAAACTGGCCTCTTAGGTCTTTCTTTCCTCCAGTCTTTCCTCCTCAGGCATAGATGGTAAACAAAATGTCACCAACCTCACCAGCAAAGTGCTCATTTCCCTGGGGCCAGAACATGATGTACACAGACACAAATTTAGCATATTTGATATCATGATATCATGCCCACCTGGTGGGGTCAGCTGGGTGGGCTGCCCACCTGGGCCCCAAACCTCTCTCGCACTCTTCCTGGGAATCTATCCTTTTGCTGAGACTGCAGGCTATGCCTCTTGGAGGTGGTAAACAGAACTTCAAGGGGCAGAGACAGGTACATGAGGCACCACACAGACCCACTGACCCAGTCTGGCTCCAGGGTTAAACAGATCTTGAGACAATGAAAATAAACTTAGCAATAATCAAAGCTTTAAAGTAAAAGCTTCTATATATATGTGTGTGTGTGTGCGCGTGTATATACACATATATATGTATGTATTTATTTATACATATATAAATATATATGCGTGTATATATGTACATATAAATATATAAAATTAAAGAGATGTGGGAGGCCGGGCGCGGTGGCTTACACCTGTAATCCCAGCACTTTGGGAGGCCGAGGCGGGTGGATCACAAGGTGAGGAGATCGAGACCATCCTGGCTGACACGGTGAAACTCCGTCTCTACTAAAAATATAAAAAATTAGCCAGGCGTGGTGACGGGTGCCTGTAGTCCCAGCTACTTGGGAGGCTGAGGCAGGAGAATAGCGTGAACCCGGGAGGCAGAGCTTGCAGTGAGCCGAGATCGCCCCACTGCACTCCAGCCTGGGCGACAGAGTGAGACTCCGTCTCAAAAAAAAAAAAAAAAAAAAAGAGAGATGTGGGAGGTCGGGCGTGGTGTCTCATGCCTGTAATCCTAACACTTTGGGAGGCCAAGGCAGAAGGATGGCTTGAGCTCAGGAATTCAAGACCAGCCTGGGAAACATAGTGAGATCCCATCTCTACAAAAATAAAAAATTAGCCTGGCGTGGTGGCACATGCCTGTGGTCCCAGCTACTCGGGAGGCTGAGGCAGAAGGACTACTTAGCCCTGGGAGGTTAAGGTTGCAGTGAGCAGTGATTGCACCACTGCACTACAGCCTGGATGACAGAGCGAGACCTTGTCTCTAAATAAATAAATAAGGCTGGGCGAGGTGGCTCATGCCTGTGATCCCAGCACTTTGGGAGGCCGAGGTGGGCAGATCACCTGGGGTCGGGAGTTTGACACCAGCCTGGCCAACATGGTGAAACCTTGTCTCTACTAAAAATACAAAAATTAGCCAAGCATGGTGGTGCACACCTGTAATCCCAGCTACTCAGGAGGCTGAGACAGGAGAATCCAGGAGGTGGAGGTTGCAGTGAGCTGAGATCGTGCCATTGCACTCCAGCCTGGGCAACAGAGCAAGACTCCAACTCAAAAAATAAATAAATGAATGAATGAATAAATAAATAAGTAAATAAATAAATACATGAAGGTGCTGGGTGTCACTGCATTGTTTCTTTCTAGACTTTCCTCTGTCTCTCTGTTTCTGTCACTATCTTTGGGTCTCTTCGTGTTCCTAAATTTCTGTATCTCTGGGTCTTTCGTTCCTTATGCTTCAGCATCCCTCTGTGTTTCTGGTCTCTGTTTGTCACTGTTCCCTTTTCCTTCCCTTCCGTCCTTCCCTCTGTGGCTCAGGCTGGAGTGCACTGGCCAGATCACGGCTCACTGCAGTCTCCACCTTCCTGTGACTAGGTGATCCTCCCATCTCACCCTCCGGAGTAGCTGGGACTACAGGCTCATACCACCACACCTGGCTAATTCTTTTGGATTTTTTGTAGAGATGGGGTTTTGCCACATTGCCCTGGCTGGTCTTGAACTCCTGGGCTCAGGCGATCTGCCCACCTCTGTCTCCCAAAGTGCCGGGATTACAGGCATGAGCCACTGCAGCCTCCAATTATAATATGTGCTTCTCAAATACCGGTTCCTATTTATTTGATGCCATTAGTAGGTTAGAAAGTATAATGTAAGCTGGGCGCTGTGGCTCACGCCTCTAATTCCCTTCCTTCCCTTCCTCCTTTTCTTCCTCCTTCCTCCCTCCCTTCCTCCCTTCCTGCCTTCCTCCTTTCCTTCCTCCTCCCTCCCTCTCTCCCTTCCTCCTTTCCTTCCCCCCCTCCCTCCCTCCTTCCTTTTCTTTCTTCTTTTTGAGACAGAGTCTGGCTCTATCCCCCAGGCTGGAGTGCAATGGCGTGATCTTGGCTCACTGCAACCGCCGCCTCCTGGGTTCAAGTGATTCTACTGCCTCAGCCTCTCTAGTAGCTGGGATTACAGGCGTGTGCCACTACACCTGGCTAATTTTTGTATTTTTAGTAGAGATGGGGTTTCACCATGTTGGCAAGGCTGGTCTCGAACTCCTGACCTCAGGTGATCCTCCTGCCTTAGCCTCCCAAAGTGCTTGGATTACAGGCGTGAGCCACCACGCCCGACCCAATTCTTTCTGATATATACCCAGAAGGGGAGTTGCTGCATCATATGTTAAGAAATTTTTAAATAAATAGATGTTATGAAGCAGCATATTAAAAAAAATAAACAATGTAGTCAAATAGAGTTTCTCCAAGGAACTTGGCAATTTTAAATATTTAATAATTTATGCCAGGTGTGGTGACTCATGCCTGTAATCCTAGCACTTTGGGAGGAGGCCGAGGCAGTCGCATTGCCTGAGCCCAGGAGTTCAAGACCAGCCTGGGCAACATGGTGAAACCCTATCTCTACAAAAAGTACAAAAATTAGCCAGGTGTGGTGGCATGCTCCTGTAATCCCAGCTACTCAGGAGGCTGAGATGGGAGGATCACCTGAGCCCTGGGATGTTGAGGCTACAGTGAACCGTGATTATGCTACTTTACTCCAGCCTGGGTGACAGAGTGAAACCCTGTCTCTTTTTTTCTTTTGTTTTAAGAAACCGTGTCTCAGGTGTGGTGGCTCACGCCTATAATCTCAGCACTTTGGCAGATTGAGGCAGGAGGATAACCTGAGGTCAGGAGTTCAAGACCAGCCTGGTGAACATGGTGAAACCCCGTCTCTACTAAAAATACAAAAGTTAGCTGGGCGTGGTGGCGGGCGCCTGTAGTCCTAGCTACTTGGGAGGCTGAGGCAGGAGAATCACTTGAACCCAAGAGGCAGAGGTTGCAGTGAGCTGAGATCGTACCGCTGCACTCCAGCCTGGGCGACAGAGCGAGACTCCATCCCCCCATCCCCCCAAAAAAGAAACCTTGTTTCAAAGAAAAATTTAACATTTTCTACCCACTTAATAAAGTGACACTGTATGAAAAAATTTAAAAAATTCACATAACAGATTAAAAACCTGTTAAATATATTTATATATACACATGTAAACGCACATGTGACATACGTACTTTATTTTATTTTATTTATTTATTTATTGAGACAGAGTTTTGCTCTTGTTGCCCAGGCTGGAGTGCAATGGTGCGATCTCAGCTCACTGCAACCTCTGCCTCCTGGGTTCAAGTGATTCTCCCACCTCAGCCTCCTGAGTAGCTGGGACTACAGGTGCCCGACACCATGCCAAGCTAACTTTTGTAGATTTAGTAGAGACGGGGTTTCACCATGTTGGCCAGGCTTGTCTCGAACTCCTAACCTCAGGTGATCCACCTGCATTGGCCTCCCAAAGTGCTGGGATTACAGGCATCAGCCAACATGCCTGGCCATGGACTTTATTTTAAAATGGGATCATATTCTAGATCTGCATTACCCTGTAGAAATTTCTGTACTGGGGGCCGGGCGCGGTGGCTCACACCTCTAATCCCAGCACTTTGGGAGGCTGAGGCGGGCGGATCACGAGGTCAGGAGATCGAGACCATCCTGGCTAACATGGTGAAACCCCGTCTCTACTAAAAATACAAAAAATTAGCTGGGCGTGGTGCGGGCGCCTGTAGTCCTAGCTACTCGGGAGGCTGAGGCAGAAGAATGGCGTGAACCTGGGAGGTGAAGCTTGCAGTGAGCCGAGATCGCCCCACTGCACTCCAGCCTGGGTGACAGAGCAAGACTCCGTCTCAAAAAAAAAAAAAAAAAAAAAAAGAATAAAAAAGAAATTTCTATATTGATGGAAATGTTTTATATCTGTGCTGTCCAATATAGTAACCACAAGCCACAATTGTCTGTTGAGCAGTAGAACTGTGGCTATTGTCACTGAAGAATGAGATTCTACATTTTATTTAGTTTTAAGTAGTTTACGTTTCTATAGCCACATATGACTAGGGATACCGTATTAAACATCAAGGATCTAGAAAGTATTTTCTGAAACATATCACTCACTCAACATTACATTGGTAGCTTCACTCCGATTTTATTTTATGTATTTGTCTATTTTTTTGAGACAGGTTCTTGCTGTCATCTAGGTTGGAGTACAGGGGTGCGATCACAGCTCTCTGCAGCCTTCATCTTTCTGTCACAGTCTCCCGAGTAACTGAGGTTACAGGCACCGGCCACCACGCCTGGCTAATTGTTTGTATTTTTAGTAGAGACGGGGTTTCACAGTGTTGGTCAGGCTGGTCTTGAACTGCTGGTCTCAGGGGATCCACCCGACTCTGCCTCCCAAAGTGCTGGGATTACAGGTGTGAGCCACCTTGCCCGGCCGAAGTTATTTGTTTTTTTTGAGACAAGTTCTTGCTGTCACCTAGGTTGGAGTACAGTGGTGCGATCATATCTCACTGCAGCCTCCCTCTTCCCGCCACAGCCTCCTGAGTAGCTGGCACTACAGGCTCGTGCCACTATACTCAGCTAGTTAAAAAACTTTTTGCTGGGCGCGGTGGCTCACTCCTGTAATCCTAGGACTTTGGGAGGCCAAGGCGGGCGGATCACGAGGTCAGGAGTTTGAGACCAGCCTGATCAACATGGTGAAACCCTGTCTCTACTAAAAAAAATACAAAAATTAGCTGGGTGTGGTGGTGTATGCCTGTAATCCCAGCTACTCTGGAGGCTGAGGCAGGAGAATCGCTTGAACATGGTAGATGGAGGTTGCAGTGAGCCAAGATCACACCACTGCACTCCAGCCTGGGCGACAGGGTGAGACTCCATCTCAAATAAAAAAAAAAAGTATAATATAAACCATATGCCAATCACAAACAGAACCAAAGTTATATGTTAGCATTAACATTTTTTTTTAGAGTGAGGTCTTGCTGTGTTGCCCAGGCTGATCTCAAACTCCTGGCCTCAAGTGATCCTCGTGCCTCAGCCTCCTGAGTAGCTGGGACTAGGCATGAACTACTGTGCCCAACATTTTTTTGTTTGTTTGTTTGTTTTTGAGATGGAGTCTCACTCGGTGTCCCAGGCTGGAGTTCAGCGACACAATCGCAGCTCACTACCACTTCCACCTCCTGGGTTCAAGGGATGGGCTGGGTGCCCAGCTATTTTAGGATAAATTTTCAAAGAATGTGCATGGCTCAAATGAAGAAATCTAAAATATCTTTCTAAGGTATTTAAAAGAAAATATGAATATTAGTAAAAATGGTCTATGCATAGAACCCAGAAACTAGAAAAGAACAAAATCAAGCAAAAGTATTAATACTTAGGATGATGGAAGTAACTTGGGTGGGTTTGGGGCAAGAGCTCCTTAAAATAAGAGAGTCTGAAAGACATTTCTGGCTAGGTGCTATTTTGAGCCAAAATCTGCAGTATGAGAATGAATGAATTACGTGAGGATCTGTAGTGAAAGATTTCAGGACAAATGAAGGGTAAGTTTGAGAGTCCTGGTCAGGTGTGATGGGTCATGCCTGTAATCCCAGAGCTTTGGGAGGCTGAGGCAGGAGGATCTCTTGAAGCCAGGAGTTCAAGACCAGACTAGTCAACACAGAGAAACCCCATCTGTAAAAGTTTTTTTTTTTTTTTTTAATTAGCCAGCTGTGGTGGTGCATGCCTGTAGTTGCAGCTACTGAGGAGGCCGAGGTGGGAGGACCTGCTTGAGCCCCAGGGTTTGAGGCTGCAGTGAGCTATGATCACACCACTGCACTCCAGCCTGGGTGACAGAGCGAGACCCTGTCTCAAAAAAAGAAAAAAAGAGGTAGGAAAGAAACAAAATATTCAAGGGCTGGAGAGACAGACTGTCTGATAGGATGCAGGCAAGGAAAGTGAAGCTAGGGATGGCAGAGAGAGAGGCACTATGCACGCAGCCTTTTGTAGGAGTTTGAATTTTATTCTAAGAGAAATGAGAAAACCTGAGTCACAGACGGGTTTCTAATCTGCTATTTATTTATTTATTTATTTATTTATTTATTTTTGAGACGGAGTTTCACTCTTGTTGCCCAAGCCAGAGTACAATGGTGCGATCTCTGCTCACCGCAACTTCTGCCCCCTGGGTTCAAGCGATTCTCCTGCCTCAGCCTCCCAAGTAGCTGGGATTATAGGTGCGCACCACCACACCTGGGTAATTTTTTGTATTTTTAGTAGAAACGGGGTTTCACCATGTTAGCCAGGCTGGTCTCAAACTCCTGACCTCAGATCATCCACCTGCCTCGGCCTCCCAAAGTGCTGGGATTACAGGCATGAGCCACCGTGCCAGGCCTGGTTTATGTTTTAAAAAAGCATAAATTTCGAGAATACGCAGTACACGTATGCATTAGGACGCTCCTGGAAAAGTATAAAATTATGTTTAAAAGCAGTTATAGGCAGGGCATGGTGGCTCATGTCCATAATCCCAGCACTTTGGGAGGCTGAGGCGGGCAGATCACCTGAGGTCAGGAGTTTGAGACCAGCCTTGCCAACTTAGTGAAATCCCATCTCTACAAAAAATACAAAAATTAGCTGGGCCTGAGGGCAATGCACCTGTAGTCCCAGCTACTGGGGAATCTGAGGTGGGAGGATCACTTGAGCCCAAGGTCGAGGCTGCAGTAAGTCATGATTGCACCATTGTACTCTAGCCTCGGCGACAGAGCCAGGTCCTGTCTCAAAAACAAACAAACAAACAAACATACATGAGAGCAATGGGTCAGCCTGGGCAACAGAACAAGACTACATCTTAAAAAAAAAAATTGGCCCGGCATGGTGGCTCACGCCTGTAATCCCAGCACTTTGGGAGGCTGAGGTGGGCAGATCATGAGGTCAGGACATCAAGATCATCCTGGCTAACACGGTGAAACTCTGTCTCTACTAAAATTAACTGGGCATGGTGGCATGCGCCAGTAATCTAGCTACTCTGGAGGCTGAGGCAGGAGAATCGCTTGAACCCGGGAGGTGGAGGTTGCAGTGAGCCAAGATTGCGCCACTGCACTCCGGCCTGGGCGACAGAGCAAGACTCCATCTCAAAAAAAAAAAAAAAAAAAAAAAAAAAAAAAAAAAAAATTGGCCGGGCGCAGTGGCTCACACCTGTAATCCCGGCACTTTGGGTGGCCGAGGTGGGCCAATCACCTGAGCTCGGGAGTTTGAGACAATTCCGGCCAACATGGTGGAACCCCGTCTCTACTAAAAATAAAAAAATTAGCTGGGCGTGATGGCATGTGCCTGTAGTCCCAGTAACTCAGGAGGCTGAGGCAGGAGAATCGCTTGAACCCGGGAGGTGGAGGTTGCAGTGAGCCGAGATCTCGCCACTGCACTCCAGCCTGGCGACAGAGCGAGACTCCGTCTCAAAAAATAAATAAATAAATAAAGAGAATTGACAAGTGAAAGTATTGCCTATAAGATAATTTCTTTTTTTTTTTGTGAGATGGAGTCTCGCTCTGTCGCCCAGGCTGGAGTGCAGTGGCATGATCTCAGCTCACTGCAAGCTCCGCCTCCTGGGTTCACGCCATTCTCCTGCCTCAGCCTCCCGAGTATCTGGGACTACAGGCGCCCGCCACCACGCCCGGCTAATTTTTTGTATTTTTAGTAGAGACGGAGTTTCACCGTGTTAGCCAGGATGGTCTCAATCTCCTGATCTTGTGATCCGCCCGCCTCAGCCTCCCAAAGTGCTGGGATTACAGGCGTGAGCTACCATGCCCAGCCCCGCCTATAAGATACATTTTAAAGTTATTCTGTATTTTATAGAGCCATATGAGCTTGGTGTTTTATTTTTTTTTTAACTTTTACCATTTTAGATTTAGGAATTCCACTTTAAAAGGATGGGAAGGGTGACTGAAAGGTAACGTTTAAATTTTTAATTGATGTGAGTATTAGAGCCATCAAAGATTGCTGTTGAGCATTTGCTTTTATAAGTGCATTGATCCAGGTGAAAGAAGATGTATGTTTGGACTGATGGCCGTGAAACCATTTGTAGAAAGAGCTAGCTGCAGCTCTATGCCCTGTGGCAGGGTATAGAGTTAAAAGGTTTATTGAATATGGGAAGCCGGGGGATAAGTGGTCAGGAAAGAGAGCTGTATGGGAGGGGACCCATGGGATGTGCCTTTGGGTTATGTGAGTGGGAGGTAAAGGAAATGGAGGAATCCAGGATAAATTCTAAGTTTTGGGCTCACCCAGCTGGAGGGCAGGGATACCATTTATGCGAGAGGAAAGACTGGAGGTCGATTTGGGACATAATAGGTTTGAGGTATCTATGTGGATATCTGTCTGTCTATCTATCATCTATCTGTCTATCTATCTATCTATCATCTATCTATCTATCTATCTATCTATCTATCTATCTATCTATCATCTATCTATCATCATCTGTCTATATCTATGTAAAGACAGGGTCTCACTCTGTCACACAGACTGGAGTGCAGTGGTGCAATCAAGACTCACTGCAGCCTCGAACTCCCAGGCTCAATCAACCCTGCTGCCTCAGCCTCCTGAGTAGCTGGGATCACAGGCATGCGCCACCATGCCCGGCTAATTTTTTGTATTTTTAGTAGAGACAGGGTTTCACTATGTTGGTCAGGCTGGTCTTGAACTCCTGGGCTCAAGCGATCCGTCTGCTTTGGTCTCTCAAAGTGCTGGGATTACAGGCATGCCTGGCTACCCCCTGCCTGGCTATTTTTTTGTATTTTTAGTAGAGACAGGGTTTCGCTATGTTGGCCAGGCTGGTCTTGAACTCCTGGACTCAAGTGATTCACCCACCTCGTCCTCCCAAAGTGGTAGGATTACAGGCGTGAGTCACGGCACCCAGCCTGAGATAAAAGCTTTATAAGATTAGAGGTTAATATTCCTGGTGTGTAGAGAGATCCTGCAAATTAATAAGAAAAGGTAAAAAAAAAAAGAGAAAAGTAGGCAAGAGTATACCACAGTTCATAAACAAGAAAAGCAAATGGCCAATGAACATACAGAGAAACACCATTTTCACACTAGAGGTCACGGAAATTCAAATGAAAACAAATTAATATGCCATTGTGGTGAATTTGTATAATTCTATATTGTCTTAGCATCCATTCTGAATATGTTTAACTTTCTCATGCCAAAATCTGGACTTAGTTATCCTTGACACAGTTTCCAGCTCTATACTTCCTCCCAGTCCTTCCTCCCTCCCTCCCTGCCTCTCTTCCTTCTCTCTATTTCTTTTTTAGAGACAGGGTCTCATTATGTTGTCCAGGCTGGTCTCAAAATCCTGGCCTCAAGCAATCCTCCTGCCTTAGCCTCTCAAAGCACTGGGTTTACAGGTGTAAGCCATCATGCCCGGCTCTCCTTCCAGTTTCTTACTGGAGTTGATCAAGGTATCAGCTTTATCTCACCTCCTCCTGTATGGGACCATCTCTGTATGGGACAGCTAGATAGATACAAACTACTTGACCCAAGCTACTGATCCCCACACCTCCAATGAATGGACTGTGCAGATATGACAACCTCCATCACAGTGTGTCTCTATGGAATTCTTGTGCCTGCTTGTTCTAAACCCATCAGTTAGAACTCTCCTGGGGAACTCCGTCTCCGCCATGCCCTGGACCGCAGTAAAGGCTTTGGGGGGGTCTCTCTCCACCTGCTGGTTGAGCCTGCATGTCTCAGGCAGCTGCCCCCTTCCCACTGGCCCAGGGAAGTGTGCTGCTCTTTTCTCTCTGGGATCCATAAGTAATAAACTGCTTCTGTTATATCTTTCTTTCTTCTTTTTTTATTTTTAAATAGAGACAGGGTCTCGCTATGTTGCACAGGCTGGTCTCGAACTCCTGAGTTCAACTGATCCTCCTGCCTTGGCCTCCCAGAGTGCTAGGATTACAGGTGTGAGCCATCATGTCCAGCCTCTGCTTCTGTTATTTCTTCTTCCTTTATTTTTTTGAGACAGAATCTCCCTCTGTCGCCCAGGCTGGAGTGCAGTGGCATGATCTTGGCTCACTGCAACCTCCACCTCCTGGGTTCAAGTGGTTCTCCTGCCTCAGCCTCCTGAGTAGCTGGGACTACAGGCGCACACCACCACGCCCGGCTAATTTTTTTATTTTTAGTAGAGACAGGGTTTCGCCATGTTGGCCAGGTTGGCCTCAAACTCCTGGCATCAAGTGATCCTCCTGCCTTGGCCTCCTGAAGAGCTAGGATTATATGCGTGATCCACTGCACCCTGCCTCTTTCTGATATTTCATGTGTTTTGTTGAGTTGCCTCCTTTGTGTGTGTCACTTGACTGACACACCTGAACCTAATGACTTTCCTGGTTTGGAATAAACTGGACACAGGTCAGATAAGAGCCACAAAGGGTCTTGGCCAGTATAAATACATTTCCTGTGAGAGGGACACCTGTGTACAAGTCAGACACTTAGGCATTGGGCTGCCTGCCAGGATAAAGGAAAATCTGCTGAAAAGCACATTGTAAACACTTATGATCTAATCCCCTGGAGCCCAGGCAGGGCAAAGCCAGAGTCTATGGCCATGCTCATGAAAGGGACCTCAAGACCAAATTATCGGCCAGGCACGGTGTCTCACACCTGTAATCCCAGCACTTTTGGAGGCTGAGGCGAGTGGATCACCTGAGGTCGGGAGTTTTAAGACCAGACTGACCAATATGGTGAAACCCCGCCTAAAAATTAGGCCGGGCACAGTGGCTCACACCTGTAATCCCAGCACTTTGAGAGGCCGAGGTGGGTGAATCACGAAGTCAGGAGTTCAAGACCAGCCTGGCCAACATGGTGAAACCCCGTCTCAACTAAAAATACAAAAAATTAGCTGGGCGTAGTGGCGGGTGCCTGTAATCCCAGCTACTCAGGAGGCTGAGGCAGGAGAATTGCTTGAACCAAGGAGGCAGAGATTGCAGTGAGCCGAGATTGTGCCATTGCACTCCAGCCTGGGCAACAGGAGCGAAACTCCGTCTCAAAAAAAAAAAAAGAGACACAAATATGAGAGCCATTTTGTTACCCATCAAGTAGGCAAAAATTTAGAGGATAATTGCAAGTGCTGGCCAAAGTATGGAGTAATGGGCACCTCACACACATTGACAAGAGTGGGAACTGCAGGTTTTTTGGAAGAAGAAAGTTGTTAATACAAAGTTTTTTAGAGGCCGGGCTCAGTGGCTCAGGCCTGTAATCCCAGCACTTTAGGACGCCAAGGCAAGCAGATCATTTTGAGCTCAAGTTCAAGACGAGCCTGGGCAACATGGTGAAACCCCGTCTCAACAAAAAATTCATAAATTAGCCAGGAGTTGGTGGCTTATGCCTGTAGACCCAGCTACTCAGGAGGCTGAGGCTGGAGAATCGCTTGAGCCTGGGAAGTGGAGGTTGCGGTGAGCCGAGATCTTGCCACTGAACTCCAGCCTGGGTGACAGAGTGAGACCCTGTCTCAAAAAAATAAAAAAATAAAAATTTTTTTTTTAGGCTGGGTATGGTGGCTCATACCTGTAATCCTAAAACTTTGTGCAGGAGGATTGCTTGAGGCCAGGAGTTTGAGACCTTGTCTCTACAAAAAATAAAAATAAAAATTTAGCTGGGTGTGATGGCATGTGCCTGTGGGTCTAGCTGCAGAGCAAGCTGAGGCAGGAGGATCACTTGAGCCTAGGAGTTTGAGGTAGTGAGCTATGATTTTGCCACTGCACTCCATCAAAAAAAAAAAAAAAAAAAAGAATGAATGACAAAGAAAAGCCCACTTTTGGGTGAATCAGTGAGAGAAAGCTGTCACAGTAGTGGTGGGTGAAATCAAGGAGTAAATTATTGCCATGGGAAAACCGTCAGGAGCACTTCCTACCACCACACAGTTGAAAAACAAACAATAACCTTGTGTTTGTTTTAAATGAATTCAATAAACCATGGGATCTGAGCGCCTTAACGTGGCCCATGAGCTCTTCTGCCTGGGCAGGCTGCTTGGTTTACCTACCAGGAAGGAGGCTTCTGTGGCATCCGAATAATTTCCTATGGTGACAGATCCCACTCTGTCCACTTTGTGGCTGAGGTGACTGAGAGCAGAGAGTGGAGCTGCGTGCCTGAGATTTGAGAAGGCAATGCTAGGAGGCCCTGGGTGGTGTGTGAGTGCAATGCCCCCATCACCCCACATGGCTCTAAGATCACACTGACACCTCACAGCAGCCCGCCGTGGCCAAAGTGCAATTGATCCCCATTCGATGCACAAGAAAGGCTCAGAGAGGTGAGGTCGCCAGCCAGTCACCCGTGCTGACCTCCCGCTACCCTCCTCCGTCCTTCTAGGCAGCTGCTTGCATTTCCTCTCTCCCTTTCCAACTGCAATGATCTCTCTAACTCCAGTTCTTCTTTCTCTGTATTTCTCTTTAAAAAATTATGTAGAGATGTGGTCTTGCTGTGTTGCCCAGGCTGGTCTTGAACTACTGGCCTCAAGTGAACCACCTGCCTTGGTCACACAAAGTGCAGGACCACAGGTGTTTGCCACCATGCCCAGCTAATTTTTTATTTTTTTGTAGAGATGGGGTCTCACTATGTTGCCCAGGCTGGTCTTGAACTGCTGGCCTCAAGTGATCCTCTTGCCTGTGCTGAGGACTGCAGTCGTGTGCCACCATGCCCGGCTAATTTTTTATTTTTTGTAGAGATGGGGTCTTGGTATGTTGATCAGGCTGGTCTCAAACCCCTGGCCTCAAGAGATCCTCCTGCCTCAGCCTCCCAAAGTGCTGGGATTATAGGCATGAGCCACTGGACCTGGCCCACTACTCTTTTTGTCTGTCTCCCCAGATCTATTTTTGTCTCTTACTCCAGGGCTCTCTCGGAGCTTCCCAACCCATCCCTCTTGCCTCCCCCTAAATCTTTCCATCCCTTTCTCACGTCCCTCTTTCTTGGCCTTGTAATGTCTGTGTGTCCTCTCTGCCCCAGGCCCCCTTTTCTCTGGATTCCTCCAAGCTCCCCGCTTTCCCCAGGGACTCCTCCCCAGAGGAGGTGGCTCCATCCCTAATTCTATTGACTCTACAGCTAAGAGGGAGCTTTTCCTCGCCCAGTTTCAATTCCCTCTGGGGCTCTGGCAAGACAGACTGGGAACTTTTACTTAAGGGGACAGCACCCATCTCCAGGCAGACGCTGGTCCTCGGGGGCCAAGCCCAGCACCCTCGGGACCTGGCATCTTTCCGTCCACCCCCGGCCAGCTAAGTCGCCCTCTGCGTGCTCACTCGCTCTCATGCTGTCATTTCTTTTTCTTTTCTTTTCACGGAGTGTCTCGCTCTGTCGCCCAGGCTGGAGTGCAGTGGTGCGATATCGGCTCACTGCAACCTCTGCCTCCTGGGTTCAAGATTTTCTCCTCCTCAGTTTCCCACGTAGCTGGGATTACAGGCTCGCGCCACCATGCCTGGCTAATTTTTTGTATTTTTAGTAGAGATGGGGTTTCACCATGTTGGCCAGGCTGGTCTCAAACTCCTGACCTAAAGTGATCCCCCTGCCTTGGTCTCCCAAAGTGCTGGGATTACAGGTTTGAGCCACTGAGCTTGGCCTCTTTTTGTTTTCTTCTTTTTTTTTAGAGATGAAGTCTCGCTTTGTCACCCAGGCTGGAGTGCAATGGCGTGATCATAGCTCACTGTAACCTCGTATTCCTGGGCTCAAGGAATCCTCCCACCTTAGCCTCCTGAATAGCTGGGACTATAGGCACACCTGGCTAATTTCTGTATTATTAGTATTATTATTTGTAGCGATGGGGTCTCCATATGTTGCCCAGGCTGGTCTTGAACTCCTGGCCTGAAGCCACCCTCCAGTGTCAGCCTCTTAAAGTGCTGGGATTACGGGCGTGAGCCACCACCACTGGGATTACAAGAATGAACCACGGCGCCCAGCCCTGTCTCATTTCTTTCTCCATGACATCAGGCGTCTTCTGAGGTCTTGCAAGGGGGCGGATGGGGGGGCAGCTGAGAGCAGGGAATCACCTGCATCGCCCTTCCCCTCCCTACTCCCAGAGGAAGCTCTGGCCACAGGATGGTGTTGATGTGACAAACAGCATTTATTCCAGACTCCAGTGTCCACAGATGATGGGGTGGGGCGGAGGTAGGGCGGGGGCAGGAGTGGGACCAGGGGCGGGGTGAGGGGGGGGAATCCAGTGTCAGACTCTGCAGCAAGACGTCAGGTGGGGGGACCAGCAGGGGAGGCGGGAGGTAAAAATAGCTCCGGCCAGCCGACCCTCGGAGCCTTGTCCCAGGCTGGGCCTTGGGCTTGGGTCCAGGAGCTATTCTGGGGCCTGGGAGAGTCACATTCCCTGGAGGAAGGCCCCCTCCCACCCACCCACCCTCCCTCTCCTTCCCTCCCGGAGGCAGGCAGCCACTGTGGGTCCCTGCCTTGCCGGCAGAGGAAGGAAGGGAGGGCTGGGCAGGGAGAGGGAAGAGGGAAGAGGGAAGGCGGGGGCGGGCATGGCGTGAGCAGGGCTGGTTCTCTGATGCCTGCAGCTCCAGGTCCAGGGACAGCCTCTAGGAGGTTCTTGGCTCAGCACTGGGGAGCGGATGGAGAGGTCAGCCTGTGCCCACGGGCGTGCTCCACTGCCCAGCAGGTCCCTCTCACCAGGGGGCCCAGGCCCTCACCCACCTCGTCTCCGAAGCCCCCGCTGCCACCCCTGGCTCCTCCGGAGGCACCTCCCATGAGAAGGCCGGTCTGCTCTGGTTGCTCCGACCCCGAGTGGCTCAGCCCTGGCTCCCCTGGCGGCCTGGGGGGAGGAGGCAGCGGGCGGAGGCGTCGTGTTGGAGGTGCACACGGCAGGGGGAGGAACTGAGGATGGGGGTGGGTGGGACTAGGATGCGGCTGGGGATGGAGGTGAGGATGGGGGTGTGCTGGGTGGGGATGGCATAGGGATGGGGTAGGGGCTGGTAATGGCACTGGGGTTAGGGTTGGGCATGGGGATGCAGATGCTATTGGGGTTGGAGGTGGGAATGTAGCTGGAGTTGGCTTTGGGATCGGTCTGGGATGGTTACGGATTGGAGGTGAGGACGGCCATGTGGTTGGGGCTGGAGACAAGGTTAGATGAGGAGGAGCTTGGGGAGGCTTAGGGGTTGGATTTGGAGTCAGGAATGGGGACAAGATTGGGGATGGGGACATGGGTGAAGTTGGCTTCGGGACGGTGGAGGACTAGGGTTGGGAAATGGCTAGGTGAGGGCTGGATGGTGAGAGATAGGCTTGGAGGATAAATTGGAGTTAAGGGTGAGCTCAGGGGGATGATGGGTGTTGGGGCTGGAGGTTGGGGGAGGATGGGGATGTGGCCAGGGCTGGAGAGGAGCTTAGTTGAGGATGGTTTGAAGGGGGTTATGGATTGGAGTTGAGGGGAGATTGGGGGCAGGGTTGGGATTGGAGACAGGCATGGAGTTGGGGATGAGGCTGAGCTAGGGGCAGGAGAGGTGATTAGGGAAGGGGATGGTGTTGAGTTTGGCTTGGGGATGGGTTTGGGGATGGCCCTGGGTTGGGTTTGGGGCTGCAGTTGGGGATGAGGATGAGTTGGGGATGGCTGTGGATTAGTCTGGGGCTGGGTTTGGGGCTGTAGTTGGGGATGAGGATGGGTTGGGGATGGAGGTGGATGTGGTGGGATGTGGGGTGGAGGATAAGATGTGGTTGAGGTTATGGGTTGAGCTTGGGGTTGAGGGTGGGGATGGGGTTAAGCTATGGTGGTCATTGCAGATAGCAGGCCACTCACGGAGCCCCCTTCTCCCGCCGCTGGCGGCAGCAGGGGCCCCCTTTGCGTCTCACGCAGTAGAAGACAGCAACGACGAGGAGCAGGAGGCCCACGCTGACGGCCACGGCCATGACGGCCACTCCAGCCTGGGAGGTCTGGGGGCTCACTGCAGGGACAGGATGGAGAGAGGCGTGGGTCAGGCAGTGGGCTCTGTCTGCCCCACACCCGGCTCCTCTGCCACCACCTCAGTCACTCACCGGTGCCGAAGTGGAAGACATGGCGCTTGTTCCCGTGGGGGTTGGAGGCTTCACAGGAGATGCCATCGCGGCTCAGGGCGCTGGTCACTTTCAGGGTCAGAGAGCTGCTCACCCAACCCTGCCGTCCGGGGATTGGCTCTGCGGGCTATGGAGGCTCCGATCAGGCCCCGGCTGGTGGGGTCAAGGGGTGGGGTCAAGGGCAGAGGTGAACGACGTCCAGTCTCCCAGGAAGTGGAAAGGAGGGTGTGATACTTGGATGAGTGAGAGGGGGCTCAGGGTGGAGAGGAAGGTCCCTTACGCTGCCCCCCAATTGGCTCCAGCTGAGTTTGGGGTCTGGATGGCCGCGGGCAGAGCAGATGAGTGTGACTTCGTCTCCTTCCCTCCAGCTGCCATCTGCCTTGGGCTCTATTTCCGCTGTCTTTAGCTCTGGCGAGCCTGTGGGTGGTGGGGATGGGAAGAAAGTGAAGGGAGAGGAGAGAGAGAGAGAAGAGAGGCATCGAGCAGAAGATGGAGTCCCCAGCCAGGGACTCAGGAACTCGTCCTGTTTGTCCAGGTCCCACACCCCACACTGTCCCCATCCAAGCCCACCCCCTCCCTGCCCCCTGAACCTTGGACCAGCAGCGTGAAGTTCTGGGTGCGGCTGAGGACCGGGACTGTGGGCAGGGAGGCCTCACATACGTAGGTGCCATTGGAATCGAAGGTGATAGAACTGAGCGACAGCATGGGGCCATCGCCCAGGGGAGTGGAGTCCTGGGAAGGGCAGAGGAGGAGGAGGACGCTGTGAGAGGGCGAGGAGTGAGGGGAGAGAGGAGGGTGCGAGTGCAGGGCCCGAGGGGGCTCCTCTCCCTCTCACCTTGGTCCAGCGTAGGGCAGGGGTGGGCAGGCCGTGCACGGAGCAGTTCACGACTGCACTGCTGTTTAGAGGTAAGGAAAGCACCTTCCCCTCGCTGAGCTCCAGGGGGTCCAGATCTGCAGTGGGGGACAGTCTGTCACTCGTCCCAGACCGCCACCCACTCAATTAGGGGCTCTCCAGGGGCGGTCGGGGGTGCAAACATGAATGGACAGTTGGAAGCAGAGAACAGCAAGTAATCCTCCTGGTTTACCCCATCTCCATGAAATCTCCATTCTCCCATCCAGGCTCTCCAACCAAAAATCTAGCAGTCTAACCCCAACATTGACATGCCCAAGTCAATTACTTTTCTTCAGAGCTGACATCTGAGCCCAAGGTTAATGAATAACCTTAGGTGTGGAAGGTGTCCCTTCTGTGACTTTAGCACACAAACCTTTTGCTCAAACCCCAACCTGTGGGGTAACCTCCCTGTTACCCCCAAACATCTTTTCTGCAAAGTTTTGTTTTTGAATAGAGACAAGGTGTTGCTATGTTGGCCAGGCTGGGTCTCAAACTCCTGGCCTCAAGTGATCCTCCTGTCTTGACCTCCCAAAAGTGCTAGGATCACAGGCGTGAGCCCCTGCTCCTGGCCTCAGCAAGTCTTTATCTGGTCTGCTCCCAGGACAAATCCTCTGGCTTCCTGCCACCTCTGGCCCCAGGTTTGACTGTCCCAACCACCTCTTCACTAGCCTGCTCCTCCCTCTTGTCCATCCTCCACTGAGCAGCTAGAGGGACCTCTTTAAAACATCCACTGGTCAGGCCGGGCACGGTGGCTCATGCCTATAACCCCAGCACTTTGGGAGGCCGAGGCGGGTGCATCACCTGATGTCAGGAGTTCGAGACCACCCTGGTCACATGGTGAAACCCCATCTCTACTAAAAATCCAAAAGCTAGCTGGGCATAGTGGTGCATGCCTATAGTCCCAGCTACTTGGGAGGCTGAGGCAGGAGAATCGCTTGAACCTGGGAGGTGGAGGTTGCAGTGAGCCGAGATTGTGCCACTGCGCTCCAGCCTGGGTGACAGAGTGAGACTCTGACTCAAAAAAAAAAAAACAAAAAAAACCAACCACCCACTGGTCATCCCTCCCCTCTGCATAAAACCCTGCAGTGGCTCCCCAGTACCCTTGGCATCGAGGCCAAACTTCTTGAGGGTGCCTAAAAGATGCTGCCTGGTCTGGCCCTCACCCACCTCTTGAACCATCTCCCACTCTTCCCCATTCCTCCTGTGCTCCCAGCTACCCCGTTCTCTTGCTGTTTTTCTTGAGTAGACCAAGTTGGGGCCTGCCTCAGGGCCTTTGCACTTGCTCACTCTACTTGCAGTGCTCTTTTTGTAGCTCTCTGCATTTCTTCTTCTTATTATTTTTTTTTGAGAGAGTTTGGCTCTGTCGCCCAGGCTAGAGTGCAGTGGCGGGATCTCAGCTCACTGCAAGCTCTGCCTCCTGGGTTCATGCCATTCTCCTGCCTCAGCCTCCCGAGTACCTGGGACTACAGGCACCTGCCACCACGCCCAGCTAATTTTTTGTATTTTTAGTAGAGACGGGATTTCACCGTGTTAGCCAGGATGGTCTCAAACTCCTGACCTCATGATCTGCCCGCCTCTGCCTCCCAAAAGTGCTGGGATTACAGGTGTGAGCCACCGTGCCCGGCCAATTTCTTTTTTCTTTGAGACAGACTCTTGCTCTGTCACCCAGGCTGGAGTTCAGTGGCACGATCTCAGCTCACTGCAACCTCCGCCTCCCAGGATCAAGCGATTCTCCTGCCTCAGTCTCCTGGGTAGCTGGGATTACAGGCACCAGCCATCATGCCTGGCTAATTTTTATATTTTTAGTAGAGATGGGGTTTCACCATGTTGGCCAGGCTGGTCTCGAACTCCTGACCTCAGGTGATCCACCTGCCTCGGCCTCCCAAAGTGCTGGGATTACAGGTGTGAGCCACTGTGCCTGGCTGCTGTCTGCTTTTCTGAGTCTCACT